>NC_000011.10:46423636-46726666 GCF_000001405.40 Homo sapiens | reverse complement strand
CCCCGCAGCCCCGCATCCCCTCGGATGCCCACTACCTCACCTGCCTCTCCCGAGCCAAAGGTCCTCGGATTGAAGAAAGTCTGGTACTCACTGGTGGCGGTACGCCCTTCGATGGCCCTGTCTGAGTCCTCATCCAGCCCATCTCCTGTCTCCTCCTCCACGGCCTCCTCTGTTGGGACCCAGGCACCGGCTGGGACTGGGCTGGGCCATTCCTCACCCATCCCCTAGATCCCCCCAATTCCCCTACGGGCCTTGGAGGCCATTTGGTGCAGAGGTTAAGCGTGCATGCACAGTTGGGCTACTAGGCAATAACCTCCTGGGGCCTCAGTGTACTTATCTGTGAAATGGGCACAGGACCTTACCCCCCACCTGGTTACTGTAAGGCTGTAATGAGCGCACTCAATGAGGTAAGCGTTCGATAAGCAGAAGCGGCTGTTGTTATTCCCACCAGGATTTGTCCCTGCAACTCAGGCCCCCTACCCAGGCAGCTCACCACAATAGTTGAGGTCGCAGTACCCAAAGTCGCCAGGCTTCCCGGCCACATAGCACCACACGCCCTCCTCATCCCCGTCTGGGTTGCGGCAGAAGTTCTCCACCAGCTGCACAGCTGAGTTGAAGTCCTGGTGCTTGCTCAGGGCCTTGGCCTGTGCGCTGGCCCAGGCCAGGCAGGGGAGCCCATGTGTGGTCACCGCCAGGCGCCCCTGGTACTGCTGCCCCCGATCAGGGACACACTGCTCCAATGGAGGTGACAGATTCACACTGGAGCCTTCGGAGCGTGGAGTCATCGCTACAGTGACTTGATCCTGGCCTGGTGGGTGAGGGGCAAGGAGGCAGCAGAGTGAGTGAGACCACACATGGACCGGAACAGACAGGGGTGTGAACCCCGGTCTTGCTGCTTTCTGCCTGTGTGACCTCAGGTTACTTAACCTCTCTGGGCTTCTGACCGTTTGCCTTTAAAGGGGTTACTAATGCCACTTTTGCAGGTTTGTTGAGAGGATTAAACAAAATATACAGCATAAGTGTCTGGCACATAATAAACCAGAGATAGTAACCAGGTTTGGCCTCCTAGGCCATCTGTAATTAACTGGTAGTGGCTGCCTGGAGCTGCTGGAGGAGTCATGTTTTTATAGCTGCACAGCAGGACGCTTGCTGGGATCACTAGGCTGTTCACCTGGATGGGTCAATTTCTGCAAGCCTGCAACTTATTTATCATCAATGTGTGTGCGTGTGTATGGGGGTTGGGGAGTAAATAGTAGCTGTTTTTGTTGGGATAAACTTGCTATAAGACCAATTCCAGGGGCCAGGCGCAGTGGCTTACACCTGTAATCCCAGAACTTTGGGAGGCCGAGCTGGGCAGATCACCGGAGGTCAGGAGTTCAAGATCAGCCAGGCCAACATGAAGAAACCCCGTCTCTACTAAAAATACAAAAATTAGCCAGGCGTGGTGGCGTGTGCCTGTAATCCCAGCTATATGAGAGGCTGAGGCAGAGAATCGCCTGAACCCAGGAGGTGGAGGTTGCAGTGAGCCAAGATTATGCCACTGCACTCCAGCCTGGGTGACAGAGTGAGACTCCATCTCAAAAAAAAAAAAAAAAAAGGCCGGGCGCAGTGCCTCACCCCTGTAATCTCAGCAGTTTGGGAGGCCGAGGCGGGAGGATCACAAGGTCAGGAGTTTGAGATCAGCCTGGCCAACATGGTGAAACCCCGTCTCTACTAACATAAAAAAAAATTAGCCAGGAGTGGTGGCACACGCCTGTAATCCTAGCTACTCAGGAGGCTGAAGCAGGGGAATCGCTTGAACCCAGGAGGCGGAGGTTGCAGTGAGCTGAGATAGGGCCACTGCACTCCAACAGCCTGGGCAAGGGAGTGAGACTCCATCTTAGAAAGAAAAAAAAAAAAGACCAACCCCAGGAATGAGCAATGGGCCCGACAGGGATGCCTAGAGAACAAACACTAACCCATGTTTGTGGACTGGTAATCGGCACAAATTCTTTACCCCTGCCTGCATCCACATCCCTTGCTCTGTGATTTTACAGGCTGAGGTGTAGTTTACCTCTTGACCCTGGCCTTGAACATATACTTGCTCTGGCCAATGGAACGTGGGCAGGGCTGACTGTGCCTGTTCTGAGCCAGGCCTTCAGGACAGAAGACGCTTTTCTGTTCATTGTTTTCTGTGTCTGTCATCAGCATAAGAAGAGTTTTCCCAGGTACCTTCTTTCAGCCTCAGCCCCAGCATGAACGCACGTGGAGCAGATCTAGGCCCAACCCTCAACGAGGAGCCAGACTCAGCTGGACCCATTATTTGAATCAGAGCCACCCAGCCAGGGCCAACCTCCGTCAGTTGACCCTACAGACGCATTAGCGAGTGCAGCCACACCTGCCAACCCTCATGGGAAAAAGAAATGCTTATTGTGGTCTGCCTCAGGGAAGGGGTGGCTATAGCTACTTAACACACCAAGGAAATAATAATGACAGAATCCCGCAGGGCCAAACTGCACAAGGCTTGCTCTGTGATACTCAGAACAGGGTGTGTGGACTGAAATGGCTAGGGAGGGCTTCCCGGAGGGAGGAGTGCCTTGATCAGAAAGGAGGCATGTTTGGAATGAGCCACAGCCTGGACCATAAGGAAGTCAAGAGTGGGGAGGGGGAGGAGGAGGCTGGCAGATCCCCCCACTCAGATCCCCTGATTCCCTGACTTTACTGAGCAATAGGCACAGATATGATCTGAATGACTGACGCCAGCTCTGAAGGTGGCCAGCATCTTTTTTTTTTCTTTGAGACAGAGTTTTGCTCTTGTCGCCCAGGCTGAAGTACAGTGGCAGGATCTCAGCTCACTGCAAACTCCGCCTCCCGGGTTCAAGCGATTCTCGTGCCTCAGCCTCCAGAGTAGTTGGGATTACAGGCGCCCACCACCACGCCTGGCAATTTTTGTATTTTTAGTAGAGACGGGGTTTTGCCATGTTGGCCCAGCTGGTCTCAAACCCCTGACCTCAGGTGATCTGCCTGCCTCAGCCTCCCAAAGTGCTGGGATTACGGGCATGAGCCACTGTGCCTGGGTAGCCAGTATTCTTGGTTCCCATCCCAGGCTGCCAGGCCCCATGAAGCCCCCGGGCCTTGGCCATGGGCCGCCCCACTGCCCCCAGCTTACCACAGACAGGGATGCTGCATTCCTGCCTCCTCACGGTGGGGTCTGTAGTGTAGCACCAGGGTCCCGTGGTGCTGCTGTCGGGGTTGCGGCAGAAATTCTCCTGTAGGTCGGCCCCAGGATGGGTAGTGGAGTTGATTCTGGAACAGGAAATTGCCCAACAGGAGGCTGTTGGGCTTGAGGTACGCTTGCTCCCTGTTCTCAGCCCATGGTGGGAAGGCCGGCCCCTCACTCACTCAGGCTTATGTGGGTAGCGACTCCTCCATAGCTGGCACTCAATGCCTGACCGGGTGATGTTCACATGCCCTCGGTAGTTCGTACCCAGACCCTCAGCACAGTTACCTGCGGAGACCCCACCCCGGTCAGCCTTGGAGCCTGGGGACTTATTTCCTCTCTCCCTGCAAAGTTGTCTATCCCCCACCTCCCAGCTCATGCAGGTCCACAATCCTGAACCTGCATTCACCCAGCCCCTCTTCCTCTGCAACCAGCAGTTCTCCCATTCACTCAACAGTGGCCTCCAAATATTCGCTAAGTGCCTACCATATGACAGGCACTGTCGGGTGCTCAGTACACATCAACCAATAGGACAGTCACAGCCCTGCCCTCATGGAGCTTCCATTCTGTGGCTTCTCTTGGCCAGCAGGATGAAAAAGTGATGAAGGTCCTTTTCAACTGGCCCTGGTCTACCTGTCCCTGCTAGCTCAGCTTCTCATGCCTCTGGGTCTTTCCACGGATTGTTTCTTCTGACTGGAATGCCCACTTGTTTGTTCATCCATGCATCCCACCAGGCCAGGCAGAACTCTGCCTCTCCTGGGAAGCCATCTCTCATTTTTCTGGCAAACCAGACACTCATTTTCCTGTGGTCTCTTGGTGCCTTGAACAGAACTTTTCTTGCAATCACTTTATTGAATTATTTATTTTTATTTATGTATTTTGAGATGAGTCTTGTTCTGTTGCCGAGACTGAAGTGCAGTGGCATGATCTCAGCTCACTGCAACCTCTGCCTCCCAGATTCAAGAAATTCTCCCCCATCAGCCTCCCTAGTAGCTAGGATTACAGGCGCGTGCCACCACACCCCAGCTAATTTTTGTATTTTTAGTAGAGGTTGGGGGTTTCACTATGTTGGCCAGGATGGTCTCAAACCCCTGGCCTGGGCGCCCACCTCAGCTCCCAAAGTGCTAGGATTACAGGCTTGAGCCACCACACCCGGCCGCAATCATTTTAATATTTTGTATTTTTGTTCTCTTTTGAGATTTTGAATTCCTTGAAGGCAGAGACTGTATTTGATTCTCTTAAAATCCCCAGCACCTGATATAGTGCCTGGCACGTAGCAGGAACTTTGTAAAATGTCTGTTGAGTACGTAATTTAACAAATGAGGCTGGGCGCAGTGGATTACACCTGTAATCCCAGCACTCTGGGAGGCTGAGGCTGGTGGATCACCTGAGGTCAGGAGTTTGTGACCAGCCTGGCCAACATGGTGAAACCCCGTCTCTACTAAAAAATACAAAAAATTAGCTGGGCATGGTAGTGTGTGCCTGTAATCCCAGCTACTCAGGAGGCTAAGGCAGGAGAATCACTTGAATCCGCTAGGCGGAGGTTGCAGCGAGCCGAGATCGCGCTGCTGCACTCCAGCCTAGGCGACAGAGTGAGACTCCACCTCAAAAAAAAAAAAAAAAAAATGAAAGTATGGCAGCCAGGCATGGTGGCTCACACTTATAATCCTACTCCTTTGGGAGACTGAGATGGGAGAATTGCCTGAGCCCAGGAGTTCAAGATCAGCCTGGGCAAAAAAGGGAGACCCTGTCTCTTATAAATAAACAAAGAGTTCCATTTTTGTCGTGCTAAAGGTGCCTTCAGAACACAGTGCAGGAGGGAGGGTGCTCCCTGAAGTCTCAGCAAAAGTGGTGACATTTGAAGCAGTCCTTGAAGGATAGGAAAGTGTTCAGTAGATGTGATGGTCGCTCCAGAGGAAATTGACAACATATGCAAGGCCAGGTGCTAGAAACACCTTGGCATGCTTAGGGAAGTCCTTGGTGTCAGAGCAGCTGGGGGTTTGGGTTCCTGTTTGGTTCAGTGACACCTAAAGCTAGAAGGGGAATGTGACATCATCAAAGCTCTGACTAGGTGGGGGCAGAGACTCGGGTCAGGCAAAGGAGAATGAAGCCTTAAACATGAATTCATGGCCAGGCGCGGTGGCTCACTTCTATAATCCCAGCACTTTGAGGCCGAGGTGGGTGGATCACGAGGTCAGGAGTTCAAGACCAGCCTGGCCAACATGGTGAAACCCCGTCTCTACTAAAAATACAAAAATTAGCCAGGCGTGGTGGCGAGCACCTGTAATCCCAGCTACTTGGGAGGTTGAGGCAGAGAATTGCTTGAACCCGGGAGGCGGAGTTTACAGTGAGCCAAGATCGTGCCACTGCACTCCAGCCTGGGCAACAGAGCGAGACTCTGTCTCAAAAAAAAAAACATTAATTCATTAGTCCATTCATTCATTCATTCGTTCGCATGCCAGACACAGAGCCAGGTACAAAGAGACATCTTGACCCCAGGAATGGGAGCAATGTCAGATGCTGGGGACTGCCTCGGCCTCCACCAGCCACACTCCAAACCCACCCCTGAGCTCTTCTCCCAGGCTCCCCTCCATGTCCTGCTCCCCAAACCCGTGTCAGTTGCTCACCTTCCAGACATGCAGCAAGCTTATCTCGAGGCGTCCTCGCTGTCTCACAAGCTGGAAAAGACCCAGGTGTTTACCTTTGGGATTGGGGTATGGCCAGGATGAGCTGGAGTCAGGGTGGATGGGATGTTGGTGAGAAACAGAAAGATGGATGAACAGATGGGAGGGACCAAGGAAGGAGTGGGGAAGGGGTGGATGGGTGGATGGCTAGGTGCAGCAGAAGATTCTCTGGGTAGAATTCTCTCACTGGGGTCCCCAGGCCTCCCTTCCTGGGGCAAATCCTTCCCGGTGCTCACCTGTGTACTTGGCCCAGAACACATCCTGAAAAACAAGGGCTGGGAGTGAGGCTACGGCAGCTCCTGTTTTGTGTTGTTTTAGTAAATGTTATGTCTCCTCCTCACACTTTCCTTTACCCTGGTCACGCAGGGGGCAGGCTCTGGGGAGGTTTGTGGCAGAGTTTCCTACTTTTGTTTCCAAAAGGAGAAGAATATTTGAGGATAGGGGAGTTCCTCCAACACACACACCGAGACTGAAAGAGGCTGGGGGAGATGGGAGGAGAGGGGGCAGTGGGACCCTGGCAGAGCCCTACAGACAGGAAAGGCGACACAGAGCTCCAGGAACACTGAGTCTTGAGCCCGGGGGCTTGTGGTGGCCTCCCCAGAGTCCCACCCCTCAAGGGTGGTGTGGGAGTCTGCCGCTGAGGAGGCCATGTGGACACAGAGCTCCAGGGCAGGTGGATGTCTGAAGACTGTGGAGGCCTCCCCATGTCATGGAGCTGCACAGGGACACAGTCCAGGCACAGAGACCCCCAGGAAAGGCTGAGGCCGCTCCTCTTGCCAGCCCTGTGAGGAGGGGCTCAGAGTTGAAATGAGGCTGTGAGCAGCGAAGGGGCTGTGGCGTTCCTCGCTTGCTTCTCTGTGGAAGTGTCTAGAGTTGGGCCCGGTCTGAGGCCCCGGCACCGTCCGAGCAGCCCAGGCTCACCGTAGCCGTGGAGGACTCCAGAGCCTCGAAGGCCTCCTCGTAGCTGCACGTCTCCTCCACGCACTCTCGCTCCAGGTTGCCCTTGCGCACCTCCTCCAAGAAGGTGTTGGCTCGCCGGACCCGCTGGAGCAGCGACCGTGCTTGCTGAGGAGCCAGGAACACTGTAAGGCGGTGGGGGGGTCATGGGACAGCGGCCTCAGGAACAGGCAGTCTTGGCCATTCTGGGGGCATGAAGCAAGCCCACCCTCCCCTGCTGGCTTCTGAGAGAGGCTGTCTGGGCTGGTGGAAGTGCCTGGAAGGCTGCTAAATGTGGCCCCCTGTGCCCCTCCTACACTGCCCCTTGCCCCCAGCCTGCTCCCTATATTGGAAGAGAGAAGCAGCCATTCTCTTTCCAGCCCTGAGCTCCTGACTTCTTCCCTAAGCTGGCCGCCTGGGGCTGAGACCTACTTAGGGGCCAGCTCTGTGTGCTCTGTCCAGCCAGGAGACCCCAGCCCATGGGCCCACACCCCAGTCCTCCAGCCTGTTCCAGCCTGCAAGCACTCCCTTACCATGCTGGCTGTGCACAAGGCTACACAGGGCAGCCAGGGCCAGGCAGCCAGGCAGCTGCAAGCCTCGGACGTGCGCCATAGTGTGTCAGCTCCTGGGTCACTGAGGAATTGTCTGTCCTGACCCCTCTGGGTTAATGTTGAACTAACATGAAGAAATCAGCGGAGAGGGTGAGGTCAGAGGGTCAGGGCCGTGGGGACGGGTGGGTAGATAGTCCTCCTGTCCATCTCCACCATCTGGGAGGACAGGTCCTCCTGGGAGCAGGGATGGATGGTCTAGGAGGAGTCACAAAAAAGGTCACTGTCACCCCCATCTCCCACCCTCCCCCTCTGAGATTTAGCCCATTCTGGCCAGTGGGGCTATGAGACTTTCCTGGAGCTCCTTCGAATCCTAACATATAGCGGTGGTTGCTTGTCATCTCTGTGTGCCTCAGTTTCCTCATCTATACAATGGGAATAATACTTTGTTGTGAGGACTAAAGGAGATTAGGAATGGAATGTCCATGGAATATCGTAAGTTCTTAATCAGATCTGCACATATAGGCCAATGTGGGGGTTTGTATAATCATAATACACAGATATCAAAAATAGAGACAAAGATAAAAGGTGTGGCCTGATGGAAGTTGCCCCTCGCCATGGGATGCACCAGGGATAGGAACAGCCAACATTTGCCCCAGCTTCTCAGCCACTGGAGGAGGGGCCCATTTCTCCTCCTTCCTGTCCAGGGTGCCTGGAGGTGTGTTTGTGTGTGGCAGCTGCCTGGGAGGAGTCAGGTCCAGGGACTCTTGGGCCTTTAGTCTATCTTCTGTCACCTCCCAGGACCTGCGCCTGTCCCGGAACAGGGGCTACTGAAATCCCTGGGTCTCCACTGAGGGGCCCTCCTTCTCCCTGGCTGCCTGCCCCATGGCAGGCCTAGAGAGGCTTCTGGTCCTACCCTACCCTCCGCCCTACTCCTGTCCCTCCCCCATTTCCTGTTTGCAGTACCCAAGGCAAATATTAGTCTAAGTAGGACAGAGGGACAAAGAGCAGGAACACGGGGAGGCACAAGTTCTCGCCTCGCCTCACCTGTCCTTTGGGCCTGGCTGTTTGGGGTCTGGACCAGGTCATGTGTGGGAACAGGGAGTGTTGGCAGAAAAACTGGGGACCAGGACTCCCGCAAACACCTTAATTCCTGGGAGGCCCATTTCTTATATATTTTCATATATATATTTTTAGGCCAGGCATAGTGGCTCACACTTGTAATCCCAACACTTTGGGAGGCCGACATGGCAGGATCGCTTGAGGCCAGGAGTTTGAGACCAGCCTGGGCAACATAGCAAGACCCTCATCTCTACCAAAAAAAAATTAAAAATTAGCTGGGAATGGTGGTGCATGCCTGCAGTCTGAGCTACTGAGGAGGCTGAGGCAGGAGGATCACTTGAGCCCAGGAGTTCCAGGCTGCAGTGAGCTATGATTGCACCACTGTACTCCAGCCTGGGTAACAGAGTAAGATCCTGTTTCTTTCTTTCTTTCTTTCTTTCTTTTTTTTTTTTTTTTTTGAGACGGAGTCTCGCCCTGTCACCCAGGCTGGAGTGCAGTGGAACAATCTCGGCTCACTGCAATTTCCATCTCCCTGTTCAAGTGATTCTCCTGACTCAGTATCCCAAGTAGCTGGAATTACAGGCGTGTGCCACCACACCTGGCTAATTTTTGTATTTTTAGTAGAGATGGGGTTTCGCCACATTGACCAGGATGGTCTCGAACTCCTGACCTCAGGTGATCCGCCCACCTCCACCTCGGCCTCCCAAGTGCTGGGATTACAGGCGTGAGCCACCATGCCTGGCCTGAATGAGACCTGTTCCTAGAAAAATAAAATAAAATAAAATAAAATTGAATAAATAAAATAAAATTATAATATATATTTTGGGTTTTTGTTGTTTTGTTTTTGAGATGGAGGCTGGAGTGCAATAGCGTGAACTCGGCTCACTGCAACCTCTACCTCCTAGGTTCAAGCGATTCTCCTGCCTCAGCCTCCCGAATAGCTGGAACTACAGGCACCCGCCATCATGCCTGGCTAATTTTTGTATTTTTGTAGAGACAGAGTTTCACCATGTTGCCCAGGCTGGACGTGAACTCCTGACCTCAGGTGATCTGCCCACTTTAGCCTCCCAAAGTGGGGATTACAGGCGTGAACCACTGCTACCTACCTGTTGGGTTTTTTTGTTTGTTTTTGTTTTGTTTTGTTTTGTTTTTTTGAGATGGAGTCTCACTCTGTCACCCAGAAAGGAGTGCAGTGGCGTGATCTCAGCTCACTGCAACCTCGGCCTCCTGAGTACAAGTGATTCTCCTGCCTCAGCCTCCCAAGTAGCTCCCAAGTGCATGCTAGGGATTACAAGCATGCACTACCACGCCCAGCTAATTTTGTATTTTTAGTAGAGATGGGGTTTCACCATGTTGGTCAGGCTGGTCTCGAACTGCTGACCTCAGGTGATCCACCTGCCTCGGCCCCCCAAAGTGCTGGGATTACAGGTATGAGCCACTGCCCGGCCTCTTTGCAGACTTTTACTCACAGTTGCAGGCCTGTTCAGTATATGACATTCTTATACCCAGAAATGGCTATCTTAGCCTGGGCTGCTATAAAATTACTGTAGGCCAGGTGCAGTGGCTCACGCCTGTAATCCCAATACTTTGGGAGGCCGAGGCGGGCCGATCACAAGGTGAGGAGTTCGAGACCAGCCTGGCCAACATAGTGAAACCCCGTCTCTACTAAAAACACATAAATTAGCTAGGCATGGTGGCACACACCTGTAATCCCAGCTACTCGGGAGACTGAGACAGAAAAATTGCTTGAACCCAGGAGGCAGAGGTTGCAGTGAGCCGAGAGTGTGCCAATGCACTCCAGCCTGGGCGACAGAGCAAGACTTCATCTCAAAAAAAAAAAAAAATTACTGTAAACTGGGTGGTTTAAACAACAGACATCTACAAGGGGTCTTCGAAAAGTTCATGGAAAATGCGTATTATGAAAAAAGACTGCATGGATTTAAAAAAATTTTTGTGCACCAAAATAAACTCACACTAACTTGCTATAACATGAGTGAACAGGATGTAGTTTGAGGCACTAAGAAGGATAAGACATCAGTTTGAAGCGAGCCCTTATCAGAGCTAAATGAATTCTGCTGAAATTGAAGCAAGAACAAACAACAAATTTACGGTGAAGCTTGGGTGGAAGAATGGTGAAATCACTGATGCTTTATGAAAAGTTTACGGAGACAATGTCCCAAAGAAATCAGCAGCTTACAAATGGACAACTCATTTTAAGAAGGGACAAGGCAGGCCGGGCGCGGTGTCTCATGCCTGCAATCCCACCACTTTGGGAGGCCGAGGCAGGTGGATCACTTGAGGACAGGAGTTCAAGACCAACCTGGCCACCATGGAGACACCTCGTCTCTACTAAAAATAAAAAAATTAGCTGGGCATGGATGTGCGTGCCTATAGTCTCAGCTATTTGGGAGGCTGAGACAGGAGAATAGCTTGAACCCGGGAGGCGGAGGCTGCAGTGAGCTGAGATCGTGTCACTGCACTCCAGCCTGGGCAACAGAGCAAGACTCTTGACTCCCAAAAAAAAAAGACATTTTTTGGACAAACAAAAACACTTAAATATAGGTTAGGTGTTTAGTGCACTACCATGGGTGCAGGACAACAATGGACCCAGCACATGCTTAGTCTTCAGGGTCTGATACAAGCCCCCAGCCTCCAGGAACCAACTGTTTGTTCTCCTTGGAACTCTGAGGTCCCTAGTTGGTACCATGCAGCCAAGTTTGGCATTCCTGCCGTTCAGCACAAACACGGCCTGCATACTTAAAGCAGACATATATATATTTTTTGTGTGTGAGACGGAATCTTGCTCTGTTTCCCAGGCTGGAGTGCAGTGGCATAATCTCGGCTCACCGCAACCTCCGCCTCCTGGGTTCAAGTGGTTCTCTTGTTTCGGCCTCCCAAATAGCTGGGATTACAGGTGTGTGCCACCACACCCAGCTAATTTTTGTTATTTTTAGTAGAGACAGGATTTCACCATACTGGCCAGGCTGGTCTCAAACTCCTGACCTCAGGTGATCTGCCCGCCTTGGCCCCTCAAAGTGCTGGGATTACAGGCCTGAGCCACCACACCCGGCCTTAAAGCAGATATTCTTGCCCTATAGGAGCAAGGCCATAACAAAGCGGGGGGCAGGGGGTGCATTCCTGCCCAACAAGTTGGCGTCAAACAAAATCATGGGTAAAGACCAATGCTAAATTGTAAAGCAAATCTCTATAACCACTGAAAACAGTAAAATTATGTTCCAAGACATAGTGTTAGAGAATTTCAGGGCTCAAAGAAAGACCAGATATTATTAAATCCAGCCATTTCCAAGCCTAGGGCTGTGTGCACGTTCTACGGGGTGGCCTTGTCTTTCTGCATATATTTTGTTAAAACCTCAAAAATTGTGAATTTGCCTTATTAAGACAAAAATGAATTTTTTTCCCTTTCGACTGAAATTTTTTCTCTTTAGGTGGTGAATAATCTTATGTTTTTCTCAATCTGATCAGCAGTTTTCAATTTTTTATTTCTTTTTTTTTTTTTGCTCTTCTGCAGACAGTGACTTAAGCAGTTTTCTATTTTGACTAGAAAATGTGAGTAAGCGGCTGGGCATAGTGACTCACGCCTGTAATCCCAGCACTTTGGGAGGCTGAGGTGAGCAGATCACTTGAGGTCAGGAGTTTGAAATCAGCCTGGCCAACATGGTGAAATTCTGTCTCTACTAAAAATACAAAAAAATTAGCCGGGCCTGGTGAGCACCTATAATCCCAGCTACTCAGGAGGCTGAGGCAGGAGAATCACTTGAACCCGGGAGGCGGAGGTTGCAGTGAGCTGAAATCATGCCACCACACTCCAGCTTGGAAAAGTATAAGTCAATTTCTATTTAGTAAAAATCTTTAAAAATATGGGATCCATAAGAGAAAAAAAGAAGTTAGCAAATGGTTCCATGATAGAGCCAAGACTGGGAATCATTGATTTCATCCAACTGCCCCATGTCTCTATGTGGTCATGGAGGAAATGGAGGGGGCACGGTCATACAGAATTGGTGGTAGAGCTAGGATGGAAACCCAGACTCCTGCTTCAGACCAGCACTTTTGCCTCTCCCAACCCTTGTCCCCTGACATTCTGGTAGAGTACGGCCTCACTGGGCCATAAAGTTGACCCAGAGAACACGCACCTACAGTACAGAACTACTGTGCGGGTGATGCTGGCCTGCCCCAAACTACTATACCTGAGGGCACATGTTAAGTCCCTTAATTTTGCCTGTCCTCCTATTTAGGAAGACTGATGACAATACTGTTAAGTACAATTTAGTAATTTGTTTTTTAATTTTTATTTTACTTTACTTTGAGACAGGGTGTCACTCTGTTGCCCAGGCTGGAGTACATACAGCAGGCTGGAGTATGGTGGCGTGATAATAGCTCACTGCAGCCTAGAACTCCTGGCTCAAGTGATCCTCCCACCTCAGCCTCCTGAGTAGCTTGGACTACAGGCAGGTGCCACCATGCCCAACTTATTTTTTTATTAATTAATTAATTTATTTATTTATTGAGATCGAGTCTCGCTCTGTCTCCTAGGCTGCAGTGCAATGGCACGATCTTGGCTCACTGCAACCTTCGCCTCCCGGGTTCAAGCAATTCTCCTGCTTCAGCTTCCCCAGTAACTGGGATTACAGGCGTGTACCACCTCTCCTGGCTAATTTTTGTAATTTTAGTAGAGACAGGATTTTGCCTTGTTGCCCAGGCTGGTCTCGAACTGCTGAGCTCACAGTGATCCACCTGCCTTGGCCTCCCAAAATGTTGGAATTACAGGCATGAACCACTGTGCCTGGCCTAATTTTATATTTTTAGAGACAGGGTCATGCTCTGTCGCCAGGCTGGAGTGCAGTGGTGCAATCATAGCTTACTACAACCTTGAACTCCTGGGCTCAAGCAATCCTCCTGACTCAGACTCCCAAGTAGCCGGGACTACAGGCCTGCACCACCAAGCTTGGGTATTTTTTTTTTTTATTTTATAGAAACACAGTCTCACTATGTTGGCCAGGCTGGTCTGGAACTCCTGGCTTCAAGCGATTCCCCTACCTTGTTCTCCAAAAGTGCTGGGATTATAGGGACTAGGCCTACAATTTAGTAATTGCTCACCATGTGCCAGGTAGGCAGGACTTATGAGGTAGGTACTATACTTATCCCCATTTTATGGATGAGGAAACTGAGGCACAGGGAAGCGAAGTGACTTGTCCAAGTTGATGCAGCTAGTCAAGGTCAAAGCCCCAACCCACTCCTGAACACGTCTAGAGATGGAGCTTTTTATCATCTGTGATGCCTTGCAATCTCTAAAGGTCTCTGAACGGTACCCATTTTTTATTCTAAGATTTTTTTTCTTGCACTACTAAAGTTGCAAATCAGGACAGAAGAGCTTTGATAGCCCTCGCTTTCTGATTTTGGGTTCAGCAGCTATAGACACTGCCTGGATTGACTTGCATCTGTGAAAAGGCTCCAGCAAAATCTTATTAGCGTCTTTGCCCTGTAGCAAGAAGCATCCAAATTCAGTATATACATCAAATCATTAAAAATGACCTATCAGGAGTGAATGAGAGGAGAGGTGTGGAATAAAGGGACTTTCAACATTATAATTAATAAAAATTATATGTGGTCAGGCGCAGTGGCTCACGCCTATAATCCCAGCAATTTGGGAGGCCAAGGTGGGCAGATCACCTGAGCTCAGGAGTTCAAGACCATCCTGGGCAACATGGTGAAACCCCGTCTCTACTAAAATACAAAAAATTAGCTGGGCATGGTGGTGCATGCCTGTAGTCACACCTACTTGGGAGGCTGAGGCACAAGAATCCCTTGAACCCGGGAGGCAGAGGTTGCAGTGAGCCAAGATCACGCCACTGCACTCCATCCTGGGTGACAGAGTGAGGCGGTCTCAAAAATAATAATAAATAAATAAATAGACTAGGCATGGTGGCTCATGCCTGTAATCCTAACACTTTGGGAGGCTGAGGTGAGTGGATCACTTGAGGACAGAAGTTCAAAACCAGCCTGGCCAACCATGGTGAAACCCTGTGTCTACTAAGAACACAAAAAACAGTCTGGGCATGGTGGCTCACCCCTGTAATCCCAGCACTTTGGGAGGCCAAGGTGGGTGGATCACCTGAGGTCAGGAGTTCGAGACCAGGCTGGTCAACATGGTAAAACCTCGTCTCTACTAAAAATACAAAAATTAGCCGGGCGTGGTGGCAGGTACCTGTAATCTCAGCTACTCAGGAGGCTGAGGCAGGAGAATTGCTTGAACCCAGGAGGCAGAGGTCGCAGTGAACTGAGGCAGTGCCACTGCACTTTAGCCTGGGCGATAGAGCAAGACTCCATCTCAAACAAAAAATCCATCTCAAAAAATAAATAAAATGAAAATTATATTGAAATCAGAGGAAAAAAAAAATAAAATATATATATATATATATATATATTTTTCAGACAGGGTCTTGTTGTGCTGCCCAGGCTAGAATGCAGTGGTAAAATCACAGCTCACTGTAGCCTTGAAATTCTGAAAATATTTTCTCAGTGAAAAAAAATATTCCAGTGATTAGTCTTTCCAAGAATGGTCTGCCTTTTATTTGAGCTGGAAGAGCACTAAATTAGGAATCAGAAGGCCGGAATTCTGTCCTGGTTCTGCTACTGACTGGTCTTCTGACCCTGGCAAGTGACTTGTGTTGTGGCCTCTGTTTTCTCATGGGTAACTGTAACATGAGGATCTTGGGAGATGCTGTGTAACACCCATTCTCACTTGAGCCATGCGTGTTGCCAGAGCAGAGACTCCCAAATCACCTGCCTTCCAATCCGTTGGCTCTGTCCTGACCCTGCTCCGACCCTGCTCCATGTACCATGTACCAGGGACGGCTTTAATGGAGGAAAAATTCTCCAATCTGTGTGGGGAATGTGGAAAGGGAGTGTGGGCATCTCAGCTGTTGGCCTGGGGATGCTGTGGGGTGTCAACAGGCCTCCCGGACAGCCCAGAGCATCCCCACGTCCTGCACAGTTCAATGTCAAGCAAGGAGCGTGTCCCCAGGATGCCTAAAACGCTAGGCAGACACTGCTGAGCAGTCCCCTGAGTTGAAGTGGGCCTGCCTGAGTCAGGAGCTGGAAAAGAAATTGAGCAGGTTCCAAGTCACAGGGTAGGCTGACTCAAAACTAATCTTAGCAGCTGTTTCTCAGGCTTTGGACAGTGTGGCCTTTCTCTTCACAGATCACCACGATTTCCTGCTGTCCTCCCGCCCCTTGGACAATTTTAGGTTTATGCTTTGCCAAGTTTTTCAGATTGGGCAGGCAACTGGGTTAATGTCAGTGGCAAACCAGGAGGCACGGGGCTGCCGGTGACATCGTGGTCAAGTGCTGGGAAGCCAGAAAACCACCCACATTAGAATCCTGGCTTTTGGCCGGGCACGGTGGCTCACGCCTGTAATCCCAGCACTTTGGGAGGCTGAGGCAGGTGGATCACTTGAGGTCAGGGGTTTGAGACCAGCCTGGCCAATATGGCAAAACTCCATCTCTACTAAAACTACAAAAATTAGCCGGGCATGTTGGCACACACCTTTAATCCCAGCTACTTGGGAGGCTGAAGCAGGAGAATCGCTTGAACCCGGGAAGAGGAGGTAAAGTTAGCGGAGTAGAGTTAGCAGAGACCGCAACACTGCAGTTCAGGCTGGGTGACAGAGTGAGATTCTGTCTCAAAAAAAAAAGAAGAATCCTGGCTTTGCCTCTTACTGATGGTGTGATCTTGTCATCCTCTCTGAGCCTCAGTTTCTTTTTTTTTTTTTTTGAGACAGAATTTTGCTCTTTTGGCGCAGGCTGGAGTGCAGTGGCGTGATCTTGCCTCGCCGCAACCTCTGCCCCCCGGGTTCAAGCGATTCTCCTGCCTCAGCCTTCCAAGTAGCTGGGATTTCAGGCATGCGCCACCACGCCCGGCTAATTTTTGTATTTTGAGTAGAGACAGGGTTTCTCTATGTTGGTCAGGCTGGTCTTGAACTCCCGACCTCAGGTGATCCGCCTGCCTCAGCCTCCCAAAGTGCTGGGATTATAGGCATGAGCCACCATGACCTTCTGCCTTAGTTTCTTTATCTGTAAGACAGGGACCACAATTCCTATTTTGCAGGACAGTAGAGGCATAAAACAAGCAAGTCTATCTTTTCCATCTCTCTTGCCTCCCGCCCCTCAAGGCAATCCCATCTGGCTTCCTCCGGCTCTCCCTCAGCTTGCCAGTAACTTCCATAAACTTCAACTCTCCCAATAGCAATGGACATTGCTAACCACATCCCCCTTGTTGAAACTTTTCCATCAGCTTCAATGGCATGCACTTTGTAGGTTTTTCTCTTTCGTTGGGTGATTTTTTGTGTCCCTTGATAAGCCTACCTCCTGTCACTGAACCTGAAGCGCTTGACCATCCTGGCCTTGGTCTTCCTCCCTGCTCTCTGTATTGAGGGAAACTAAAATATTTCACCCCAAAATATACTTCTTTGATATATTTCAAGATGGCTATTCAGAAGGGCTGGAAATACAAGAATAGCTGAAAAACTGTCTTGTGTGGGGGAGATTGTCATCTGCAGAGAAAACTGAAGAGAGCCAGGCATGGTAATCCCAGCACTTTAGGAGGCTGAGGAGGGCGGATCACTTGAGATCAGGAGTTGAAGAACATCCTGGCCAACATGGTGACACCGTCTCTACTAAAAATGCAAAAAATTAGCTGGGCGTGGCGGCGGGTGCCTGTAGTCCCAGCTGCTCGAGAGGCTGAGGCAGGAGAATGGCGCGAACCTGGGAGGCAGAGCTTGCAGTGAGCTGAGATCGCACCACTGCATTCCAGCCTGGGTGACAGAGAGAGACTCCATCTCAAAAAAAAAAAAACCAAAAACAAACAAACAAAAAAACACTGCATGGATGCAGCCAGGCTTTCTCTGAGCCCTCCCTTGTCCAGATCTAGAAAAGATTAACTGAGAGTCTGAGTCTGACACCTTTAAGATGGAAATTTTTTTTTTCTCCTCACTGTCACCGAGGCTGGAGTGCAGTGGTGCAATTTTGGCTCACTGCAAGCTCCACCTCCGGGGTTCACGCCATTCTCCTGCCTCAGCCTCCCAAGTAGCTGGGACTACAGGCACCCACCACCACGCCCGGCTAATTTTTTGTATTTTTAGTAGAGACAGGGTTTCACCGAGTTAGCCAGGATGGTCTTGATCTCCTGAATTCGTGATCTGCCCACCTTGGCCTCCCAAAGTGCTGGGATTACAGGCGTGAGCCACCATGCCCAGCCTTTTTTTTTTTTTTGAGAAAAAGTCTCACTCTGTTGCCCAGGCTGGAGTGCAATGGTGCTATCTTGGCTCACTACAGCCTCCACCTCCCCGGGTTCAAGTGATTCTTGTGCCTCAGACTCCCGAGTAGCTGGGATTACAGGCACGTACCAACACACCCAGCTAATTTTTGTATTTTTAATAGAGTCAGGGTTTCACTATGTTGGCCAGGCTGGTCTGCCACTCCTGAGTTCAAGCAATCCTCCTGCCTTGGCCTCCCAAAGTGCTGGAATTACAGGTGTGAGCCACCACGCCCGGCCAAGACTGACACCTTTAAAAGTCTGACAGAAACATTTATCATCCATTCTCTCTGAGGGCTGCTACATGTGAGGTTTCATTTACATCCCAAGACCCCCTTTGTTGACCCCCTTTGGGATGAGTTCTGAGTTTGAACTCATCCCAAACCCAAATCATAATTGTCCTGGGTCCCACCGTTACCTACTTACTTACTTTAGAAACCTTGAGGCTAGGTGCTGTGGTTCACACCTGTAATCCTAGTACTGTGGGAGGCCGAGGTGGGTGGATCGCCTGAGGTTAGGAGTTTGAGACCAGCCTGGCCAGCATGGTGAAACCCTGTCTCAACGAAAAATACAAAAATTAGCTGAGGGGCCTGGTGGCAGGCACCTATAATCCCAGCTACTCAGGAAGCTGAGGCAGGAGAATCGCTTGAACCTGGGGGACGGAGATTGCAGTGAGCCGAGATCACACCACTTCACTCCAGCCTGGGAGACAGAGGAAAACTCCATCTCAAAATAAAATTAATAAAACAAAAAAAAAAAGAAAACTTGAGTTAGACCTCCCTCTTTTCCACTGTCTTTGAATTGTGTCACTTGTGCCTCCTGGAGCACATAGCCACCCACCCACAGCCCTAACCCCAGCCTGCATGCATGGCACCTCTCTGACCTCATCTCCTTCCACGCTGTCTTGGTCTCCCTGCTCCTGCTGTCTACACTTGGCTTGTCCTCACTGTGCCCTGCTCAGAATCCAGCTCCTCCCCGACATCCTCCTCTCCATTATTCAGGCCTCTGCTTAAGCCTTTCTCTTAGAGGCCTTTGATGACCACCTTCTGTAAATCCCATTCCCATTCTTTGTCACCCCAGCTCCAGTGCGGTGGCTTGATCACAGCTCACTGTAGCCTCGACCTCCTGGGCTCAGGCAATCATCCTCCATGAGCTTCCTGAGTAGCTGGGACCACAAGTGCATGTCACCACTCCCAGCTATGTTGCCCAGGATGGTCTCGAACTCCTGGGCTCAAGTGATCCTCCCACTTTGGCCTTCCAGAGTGCTGGGATTACAGGCATGAGCCACCGTGCCCGGCCACCCTGCATTACTCTTAATACGCTTAACACTTTTACCACCATCTGACATGCATTTGTCATTTTCCATGCTAGGTGAGCTAATGTGAACACAGATACTGCTACATCCCTAACAACTTGCATTCAGGAAGCACTCAGTAAATATAAGCTGGGTGGATGACTCCATTTCTCTGCATTTCCACAGCTACCACCCCATTCCCAGGCACCCCGCAGACTCCTAATTGACTTTGCCACAACTTCATTTTGCTTTCCAATCCATTTCCTAGTTGTCTTTTCAAACACAATTTTGATCCTGTTATTCCCCTGTTCAAAACCCTTCAAAGTGCTCCTCGACGTCCTGAAAATAAAGTCCAAACTCCTGAGCCATGGTCCTATGTGATCTGGCCCTCCTCCCTCTCCACCTTTCCCCCGCCCATCCATGTTGGTCCCAGTAGCTCAGACCTACCAGTCTTTCACCACCTCCCCTCCCACCTCCACATCCATCGAGCCACAGCTGAAACACGGGGCAGGAGAGTGCAGCAGTGAAGAGCCTGACTCCAGCGCGAGGTTTTGTGGGCTGGGATCTCAACCCACTTGTAGCACTGTGAACTTGGGCAGGATACTTAAAGCTCTTTGCTCTTCAATTTCCTGATCTGTAGGAAAAAAACACTACTCCTACCTCACAGGGTTGTTATGAGGATTATATAAAGCACTAGCCCACAGTAAGGGCTGAATGTTATTATTCTTGGGGACATCTTCCCTGGCACTCCAGACCACATTAAATTGCCCCATTAAACAAGTTCACAGTACCCAGCTATGCCCCTTTAAACTTTCATCCAATGATTTCTGCCTCCCTGCCCCCAGCATGCGTGGATCAGTAAAGGGTACTGCCTCTGTTACGTTCATAGCTGTGTCCCAGTGCCTAGCACAGTGCAGGTCACAGTAAATGCAAAACACATGTCCTTCCCTGAACAGGGCGGCCTTTAGACCAGGCACACAGAGGGGCACAGATCTGGCCCTAGCCACCTCCCAAGGTGTTCAGTCTATTTTTTTTTTTTTTGAGACAGAGTCTTGCTCCGTCGCACAGGCTGGAGTGCAGTGGCGCGATCTCGGCTCACTGCAAGCTCCGCCTCCCAGGGTCATGCCATTCTCCTGCCTCAGCCTCCTGAGTAGTTGGGACCACAGGCGCTCGCCATCACTCATGGCTACTTTTTTTGTATTTTTAGTAGAGACGGGCTTTCACCATGTTAGCCAGGATGGTCTCGATCCCCTGACCTCATGATCCGCCTGTCTCGGCCTCCCAAAGTGCTAGGATTACAGGCGTGAGCCACTGCGCCCGGCCCGGTGTTCAGTCTTAAAAGCCATTCGATTTGCTTCCAAATTGAAGCGCCTGTCCCTCAAGGAGCTCCATGGGTGTGACCATCCTGGTGCTAAGCAACCAGTCAGCAGTAGCGCTGCCAACGACCACTGCCTCACTGGGTCCCTTCAGCAGCGCTTAAACAATAAGCACCCTGTGGCGTTCCTAGGGAAGGAGGCAGAACAACAAGCTCTACCGGATGTCAATTCAAACATCTCTACTTCAGAAGAGGTTTGACCTAGTATGCTTGGAACACGATTTGGTGGTTCTTAAGCAGGAAGGGAAGTCCTTGATCTGTCTGTCATAGTAGACTCTAATCCCTACTAGGCAACCCCAAGAAAGAAGATGCAGACACGCAGCAGTGAGAAAGCACGAGTCTTTATGGAGCTGTGTCAGCAAAAGGCAAAGCTGTCAGGTGCCCATCTCCACCTCCACCACCTCTGCCCAGGCGCCGAGGCCCATGTCCTTATGGATTAGCACCAGGCTGGGGGCGGCATCTGGCTCCTCTGGCACCACAAAGCACTTCTCCTGGCTTTCTGAAATGGTGACCTCAACAACATCCCTGGCGGGGGAGACTTCCTCCTCTCTGTGTGTGTCCAGCAGTTGTGGCTCAGCCTGCAGGAGCACCACAGTGGGCTCAGAAGCAGCAGAAGGCACAGAGGGTGGGCTGCAGGGTGCCTCAGGCCGGTGACTGAGCTGATGCCGCCTGAGGCTCTGCGGGAGGGTGTAGCCCATGCCACAGGTGGGGCAGCGGTAGGGCTTGTCCTCCAAGTGAGATTTGAGGTGGCGCCGCAGCTTGGTGGCCAGCGTGTAAGCACGGCCACACTGGGGACAGGGAAAGGGCCTCTCTCCGGAGTGCAGGCGCTCGTGAGCTCGGAGCGTGTGTGGGTCTCGGAGGGCCTTGCCACACACCGGGCACAAGTGGGCCTCCCCGGTGTGTGAGATGAGATGGCGCCGCAGTTCAGGCAGCTGGGGGAAGGCATCGGCACAGTGTGGGCAGCGGTAAGGACGCTCCCCGGTGTGGAGCCGCAAATGCCCACGCAGGTTGCCCCGCTGACGAAACGCCCGGCCACAGTGCGGGCACAGGAAAGGCTTTTCTCCTGTATGGAGCCTCATATGGTTCCGCAGGGAGCCCTGGTTGGCCAGGGGCCGCCCACACACAGGGCATGGGCAAGGGGCAGGGGCAGCTGGCACCTGGTGGGTCTTGCGATGCAGCCGCAGGGAGGGCCGGCGGGCAAAGGCCTTGCCACACTGGTCACAAGCAAAGGGCCGGGCACCTGAATGTACCACCTGGTGCTCTTTGAGGTCTCGCTGGGTGCCATAGGCCTTGTCGCATTGTGGACAGGGGAAGGGCCGCACCCCACGGTGGCCCAGCATATGGGCTTTGAAGCTCTCCTCTGAGCTATAGCTCTTGCCACACTCAGTGCAAAGAAAGGGCTTGTGGCCCGTGTGCACAAATGCGTGCTTCTTTAGGTGGCACAGCTGTAGGAATGCCTTGCCACACTCTCCACACCGGTACCGTCGCCCCTGCTTTGGGGAGCTTCCTGCTGGGCCAGGAGGGCTCCGCGAGAGTGTAGGGAAGCCAGACTGCTGGGCTCCAGGCTCTGGGGTCTTTGCTCTGGGTGGGCACTGATCACTGGGGCTGTGTAACTTCTTGGCCAGGTAGCCATGCGGCTGGGTGCCCCTGGCAGAAGATGAGAAACTGGCTCCACTGCCATCTGGGTCCTGCTGGGTAGCCGAATTGCTCTGAAGTTCAGGTGGCATCTGTGCCTGGGCCGGGCATTCCTCATCCACGTCGCCATCCTGAAGCAATGGGCCAAGTGGCTGGCTATCCTTGGAAATTCGGTCCTGGGTTGGGAACTTAAGTCCAGGGCTCACCATATTCTCTGCCTGGATGCCAGAGGGTGACTGGGAACCAGGATCTGCAAGGCAAGGATGGGGTACTGGGTTTAGGGAGCTTCAATGCAGATGGTGTTACCAGGGAATTACAGGATCAGATGTTTTCTCCCACCCAGCCCCTGAGCCTTAGAGGGAGCAATGATACCAATCTCTTCCCTGGAGCATGGGGTGCACACTCCATTTATCTTCCTGTCCAGCCTTAAGCGCCTTTTGGAGAAGCACTCCTGAGAGCCATGGGGTCCCAGCCATCTGGATAATCACTAGAATAAGGCCATCCCAGATGGAGAATCCCCTTGTTCGCCCCTGGAGACACATATTTAGGATGTGATTCAAGACCCCTTCCAGCCGGGCACGGTGGCTCACACCTGTTAAGCCTAGCATCTTGGGAGGCAGAGACAGGCAGATCACTTGAGGCCAGGAGTTCGAGACCAGCCTGGCTGACATGGTGAAACCCCATCTCTACTAAAAATGCAAAAAAATTAGCTGAGGCTGAGGCAGGAGAATCACCTGAACCTGGGAGGCAGAGGTTGCAGCGAGCTGAGACCACGCCATTGCACTCCAGCCTGGGCGACAGAGTGAGACTCCATCTCAAAAAAAAAAAAAAACAACAACAACAACAACAACAACAACAAAACAAAACAAAACAAAAAAACCCCTTCCCACCTTAGCTCATCTGTAATATAAAAGAACCCCCACGCCAGAGAGAAGAAACATGGGAGGCTGGAAACCGTGTACATACAAAGCTTACTCTCTTTCTTACTATTCCAGGAAGCTCTTAGGAAGGTAAAAGTTGCAAATATCTATATTGTTATTCCAAAGAACAGACCCGTCGCTCTTCAACAGAAAGCAATGAATGACAATTCATAGTCTGAGACTGTCCCTTGCCTGAAAATTCTAGCCTTGCTGTATGTACCAACCCTAAGCTATTCAGTCATAATCCTTACCCAATACTAATCAAGCCCCACCCTCCTATCCCATGTTGAAAGATCCACCTTAAAACAGATTTTGAAAAGCTACTAAGACTCTATAGTGTCCTTCCTTACCGCAATGAGCCATAAACTCTGCTTTGTCTTATCAACAGGTTGTTTTGGTGGGGAAATTGCTGGGAAACCAGCATTTATTTGACACATACCTATGCAAGGTTCTGCTGCATCCTCCCCAGGGGAGGCCACTTCCTGCTGTACAGCAGACTCCACTTCTGTCACCACTGCTACAGCTGCCTCTTTGTCCAGCCCAGGCTGGGTGAGACTTGGGCCCTCAGAGGAAGGCTGGGGCCACAGCAGCAGTTCAGAGCCTGGCAGCACCAGCTGGTACACTTGCAGATGAAGCCTCTCGCTGATCCGCACTGGGGCCACATTTCCCTCACTCTCCAGCCTGCCCCGTTGTACCAAGCTGCAAAGCAAAGTAACAGCCAGCTAGGAGATGCTCACTATTCAAGTGGTCTTCCCCGAAAGCCCCAGTCCCCAAGCAGTCTGGGTCCTAAAGGACGCCGTGCCTTTGGAACATTCACTGCAAAAGAGCACTGAATAGGAAATGACAGTCAGCACCGGGTTCCATCCCAAACCACAACAGAAAACCTCAAAGGAACGACACACTCTCCTCTGACTTACCTAGTCCAGCCAGAACTCTGCTCACAGGCACACACGTCTCCCCATGGGCCTAATGACAGGTTCTGAAATAAACCAACAAAAGTCCTTCTCAAATGTGTTCGAGGGGTCGGGTAGGAATAAAAAAAGAAACTAGATGAAACTTTCCTGGGACAAATTTAAGATGAAACTCCTGGAAGGTTAGAAGCCTCTGGTTCTCCTCTAACAGGACAGTGCTGTCTGATTCTTCATTCAGTAAGGACCAAAAAGTCTGTCTCCTCACCTCCCTCCCAAGGGTATGGAGAATTACTAAATTGAACACATTACTGTCTTCCAGTGAGTACTAAACAGAAAAAGTAATAAGGAACACCAGCTTTTTAAAATGGTATTTATTGGGCCAGGCGCGGGGGCTCACACCTGTAATCTCAGCACTTTGGGAGGCCCAGGCAGGCGGATTACTTGAGGCCAGGAGTTTGAGACCAGCCTCACCAACATGGTGAAACCCTGTCTCTACTAAAAATACAAAAATTAGCTGGGTGTGGTGGTGCACATCTGTAATCCCAGCTACTCGGGAGGCTGAGGCATGAGAATCACTTGAACCTGGGAAGTGGAGGTTGCAATAAGGCGAGATCGTGCCACTGCACTCCAGCCTGGGCGACAAAGCAAGACTGTCTAAGAAAAAAGAAAAATAAATAAAATAAAATGGTACTTATTGTGCAGTGAAACCTTTTATCTTCACTATTTCATCAGCTCCTCCATATAATCCCAAGAGAGCCACTGCTTTGTTTCACAGATGAATTAAATGCGGCACGTAATTTAACCAGCTAGGTGACAAAGCTGGAATTTGATCCCATGCTTTCTTAATTCCAAAAACCTTAGCTCTTGACCTTCCTCACTCACTGCTGACACTGTATGATTCCAGCTTTCAACAACTTTTCAAACCTCGATTCTTTAACTACTGCTGCTGAGAGGAGACAGTCCTGAAGAGAAGGGACAAGACTATCTCCTATCTCTTGAAATACTCTCTTTCTTCAAATTGAAAAGCTGTCTAGCAATGTCCAAACCTCCCCTACATTTTCAAGGGCGGAGGGAAGTCGCTCTATCCTTCAATACCTCCTCCTGCCGTGGCTTTACTCCCTCGCCCTTCTCCTTGGAGGCAGACTCCTCTTCCAGCGGCCCCCACAGCAGGCCGGGCTGCAGGGGGTCCCCGACACACCAGACCCCCAAGCGCTGTTCCTTGGCGAGTGAGGGGCCAAGGGCCAAGCCCCGGGGAAGGCTCTTTAAAGCGAGGATGTCTCGGGTCGGCTCGGGTGGGACGTCTTTGAGGCCCTGCGTACAGCCTTCTCCGGAAGGGTTCCATCCTAAGTCCAGGCCCAGGCGCGGCTCGCGGGCTGCAGAGAGAAGGGAAGACAGTGAGGGAGCCACCCAAGAAGGTGGGAGGTGGGGAAAAGTGTGGGAGGAAACCGCAGGTCCAGGTGGGCCTGCGGAGCCCGAGGGACAGGTGAGGGCTCTAAGGAGGGCCCTGAAAGTTTTGAGGAGGCTCAAGGGCTCTTCAGAAGCCCCCAGCGACTCTGAGGGCACTGGAGGATCCTGGGATCCGGAGGAGAGAAGACTGAGGAGAAAGCTGACCACAGAGCGTCAGATCCACCTGGGCCAAGGTTGAGGGTCGCGGACATCGCAGGTCACTCACCGAGTTGCAGCGCCTTCTTCCCCTCCAAGAGCAGCTCCTCCGCCTCCTCCATTCCGGGTCAGAAAGCCTCCCTACGCCGGAAGTGAGCTTCCTCTTCTCAGCTCCTCCAGGAAACAGTCACGGACTTCCAAATTTTTTTCTCAGGAAAGAAGCCTCAGAGCTGGACCTCATTGGTGCACAGGACTGGGAGTTTGGGAGTACTGGGGAGGCAGAACTCTGTCCGAGAGCAATGCGAACCTCGGATTCCGGAGGTGCACCAGTGATTCGACTAGCTGGGAAAGCGGAACTAATTGTTCCAGCCATCTCTTTGGGAGCGACGAGTCGGACAGTTATGCTGTTACCTCCCCGAGGCAGGAACTTAGGCGGGCATGTGCAGGAAGTGGGCGGGGCTCCTGGAAAGGCCATGTTTGGGGCCGGAAGTGGGTTGGAGGTGTGGCGGAAATGGTTGGGGATAGAAGAGAGCGGGAGGGGGCGGTTCCCGTTCCACCGCGGAGCCGGATGTTTGCCGAGCCTTGACAGGCGTGGCAGAGGGAGCAGTGCCCGAGCGCGGTGAGCTGCTGGGCGCGGGGTCTCCCCGGGTGGGGATGGGGAAAGGAAAGGAGCTGGCCAGGTCGTCCGAAGGGATGGGGTCCGGATGGGGAGGACCGGAGCAGATCCGAGGAGGGGAACGGGGGTGGAACTGGGCTCAGAGGCCTGGCCTTCCTGCAGGGTTTCTGCCCCATTTTGGCGCCTGCAATAAGAGGACTTAATCATTTTCACTACCTTCTTCCTGCCTTCCCCAGGGCAGAGTCCAGGCCGGATCGCTGTCATCCAGCAAGCCGGCGGGAGGGGGAAATCTCCCAGATCTGATCTGGCAAAGCACTAAGAAGAAGAAATTTGGGGGAAGTGTTCCTCCTTGCCACTTATTAGGCCACGCTTTCAGTTCAACTTATTTATTTTTTTAAGACGGAGTTTCACTCTTATTGCCCAGGCTGGAGTCTCGGTTCACTGCAACCTCCGCCTCCCGGATTCAAGCGATTCTCCTGCCTCAGCCTCCTGAGTAGCTGGGATTACAGGCGTCCGCCACCACGCCCGGCTAATTTTTGTATTTTTAGTAGAGACAGGGTTTCACCATGTTGGCCAGGCTGGTCTCGAACTCCTGACCTCGTGATCCTCCCGCCCCCGCCTCCCAAAGTGCTGGGATTATAGACGTGAGCCACTGCGCCCGGCCTCAGTTCAACTTCTTAATCTGTGAAACAGGATAATTGCAAAACGTAACCTGGGCTTTGTAAACCGTGAAGCTCTATGCAAACATAATTGTAGTTGAGAGTTGTAATTGCTGTTGTATTGTGGTGGGATTTGCAACTGGGAGGCCGATTCCAACGTTGAGAATATGATTTCTTTTCTTTTTTTTTTTTTAGACGGAGTCTCACTCTGTCGCCCAGGCTGGAGTGCAGTGGCGTGATCTCGGCTCACTGCAACCTCCGCCTCCCGGGTTCAAGCGATTCTTCTGCCTCAGCCTCCCAGGTAGCTGGGAGTACAGGCGCGCGCCACCACACCCGGCTAATTTTTGTATTTTTAGTAGAGATGGGGTTTCACCATCTTGGCCAGGTTGGTCTCCAAATCCTGACCTTGTGATCCGCCCGCCTCGGCCTCCCAAAGTGCTGGGATTACAGCCGTGAACCACCGTGCCCGGCTGGTCCTCTCTTTCCTCACTGTAAAATGAGCTTAGTAGAACATGCCTCATCAGTGCTATCGTGAGGTTGAGTTTGTGTCCCCAGTTCATGGTCCTATATAGGCCCTCAACAAGTGTGGGTTCCCTTCTTTACTTAGGAGATGAATTAATTGGTTCATTCATTCAACAAATGATAGCATCTACTATATATCAGGTGTCATTCTGAATAGACCAGAAGTTCTTAAACAGTGATTCTCAGAAGGTGTATGAACCTCTTAAAATTGCATACATCTCCTAAGTTTTCTTAGGGAAAAAGTCCACACATGTTACCAATTTCAGAAAAGTCTACAACTTCCTAAAAGTGATTGCCTAAGGTGATCCTTAAGATTTTTGTAAAGGTTTACCTGCTGAGAATGGAAAAATTAATCTCAGAGTTGGGTGTATTTTGCACAGAGTAGAGCAGGCTTGTGGGTGGCTGGTGTCTTAAACAGGCAGGATACTTCATTTCTACTACTTGATGTTAGAATTTCCCTGTGCTAGCTTCCTCACCCTCCCACTGAATGGGAGTTTAACTTCCAGGCTCAGAAGTTAAACTGTGGGTTGGGGGTAGTGGGAGGGGCCAGTCTGACTGGGAGATGGGAACCACTGGGCTTAGTTATGCTGGGAAAGGAGGTTATGTGGGGGCGTTGAGGGAGGTCATGTCTGGAAGAACTGACAGCATAGAAGAGCAGTCACTGGAAAAGAGGTGAAGTTCAAGTTCAGCTCCCTTTTAGATGGTGTCCTTCTCCCTCCTTCACATCCACCCCAGCTCCCAGCTGCTCCTTTTTTTTTTTTTTTTGAAACAGAGTTTTGCTCTTTTGCCCAGGCTGGAGTGAAGTAGCTTGATCTCAGCTCACTGCAACCTCCACCCCCTGGGTTCAAGTGATTCTCCTGCCTCAGCCACCTGAGTAGCTGGGATTACAGGCACCCACCACCATGCCTGGCTATTTTTTTTTTTTGTACTTTTAGTAGAGATGGGGTTTCACCATGTTGGCAAGGCTGGTCTTGAACTCCTGACCTCTGGTGACCCACCCACCTTGGGCTCCCAAAGTGCTAGGATTACAGGCATGAGCCACCGTGCCCGGCCCCGGCTGCTCCTTCTAATCCTGTTGTTCACTGCAGCACAAAGTATTTCTGAACACTGGAGAATTATATTTCTGGGAGGCGCCATTGCCTCTACAGAGGAGGAAATTTAGGCCCAAGTAGGAAAAGGACTTGCTCAGCATCTTTGCAGCTCACTGGCTTAGGCAGGATGATAATCCAGCTCTCCATACTACCTCATCATTTCATGGCATCAGCACCTACTTTGTGCAGAAAGATGTCTCTGGGATAGCTGTAGGTGGGGCTGAAGGAGCCCCTGGTCCCTGGGCAGTGACAGGCTGAATAGAAAGGGTAGAGAGAAGGCTCTGGCCTGGAGGGGGTTGCTTTGAGCTGGATTCTGTCTTTATTACCCAGCTGGAGGTCGCTATGGGGAGCAGCTCCCACAGCCTCCTGGCTGGATGGCAGGAAGCACATGTAGATATTGAAGGGTTGAAGGGTTGAAGGGTTGAAGGCTGAAGGGGAGTGAGGGAGCTGGGCTTTGGCATCACTCAGAGAAATGCATTCCTGACCGTGAGGGATCATTCTTCTCTGTGTTCTTGGGAAGGGATTATATTTTGGTGGTAACCAGGGGTAGTGGATGAGGACAGGGGACAGGGAGAGGAAGAAGAGGGTTTTTTTGGGCTGTTTTCGCTGGTTGGCTTTGGCTTGGGAGCATGAAACAGCGTTACCACTCAATCCGTGTGGTTGCCCTGGTGATAGGGTGGCTGTTGCTAGGCACAGGGAGAGGGCTCACCATCCAGGGCCCTTGGCTGTGATGTGATGTGTGCAGGAGGTTGTCAAGTGGCCTCAGAGCCCAGAGTCTGTGGCTCTGGGATGGCAGCTCTCCCCCTCTTCTTCCTGCCCACCCCCAGGGCTTGTCTGCTCTCCTTATCTGCCCTGCTGATTCTCTGACCATATATGTCAGTTTTGGGGCTCCAGGAATGCAGCTGGACATGGAGCAGCCTCTTCCCTGGGGTTAGACTGAATAGGTTGAACTAAAAACTGCCCTCCCTCATGTGGGGAGCTTGTGGCAGGAGGGGGAGTTGCTGCCCATTAGGGCTGAGGGCAGAGGTGCCTACCCCCAGGCTGCATGCGGCTGCAGCCTTCTGGCCAGATTCCAGACCTACAGAAACCCAGCTTGGTGGTCGAGTCTGCCTTGTGCCTGCCGGAGCTGCTGTTCTGCTGGTGACCTCCTCATCTCAGCACCCCAGACATCACGAGCATCCCCCTTTCCCATCTGCGCCCTCCAATCCTTAGGGCCGTCAACCTTTCCACCTTGAAACTGGTGTCAGGAGCACCCTGCAGAGTAAGAGTGGGCTTGGACGCCCCTAGGAGCCTGCAGACTGTCTGCAATGACTGGCAGGCGATTCCACATCCCCTGCTGCTAGTTCCTGTCCTGGAGCAAGCCCAGCTGGGCCCCTCAGCCATAGCTTTTATTTTTTTATTTTTATTTTTTTGGGATGGAGTCTTGCCCTGTCGCCTAGGCTGGAAGTGCAATGGCACAATCTCGGCTCACTGCAACCTCCGCCTCCTGGGTTCAAGTGATTCTCCTGCCTCAGCTTCCTGAGTAGCTGGGATTACAGATGCCTGCCACCACGCCCAGCTAGTTTTTGTATTTTTAGTAGAGATGGGGTTTCACCATGCTGGCCAGGCTAGTCTTGAACTCCTGACCTCAGGTGATCCGCCTGCCTCGGCCTCCCAAAGTGCTGGGATTACAGGCGTGAGCCACGGTGCCCAGCATGTTCCTTAGATTCTTACAACATTTCTACCCCTGTAACTGCTAGAGCCTGGGAGGCTTCTGTGTCCAGGTCTCCTGAGGCGAGGGGCGTGGACCTCTGCCCTCTACAGCTGGGACTGCATCACTGAGCCAGCTGGGTGGCGGGCGGCACAGGACCTGGCACAGCTCTTCCCTCCCCAGCTGCAGGGCCTGGAGGGAGGCGCTGAGCTGTGCCATCCTCTGCCCCAGCTGCCTTTTCTGGCAACACGCCTGAGCCACGGAGCCAGGAGAACCCAGAGCTACGTGGAGCTCTTGGCGGGGATGAGGAGTGTTGAGGAATAGGGACAGGGAGCCTGGGAGAGGGAATGGTGGGGGCAGGAGGGCACGCGGTGGAGGTCGCAGAAGGTGAAAAGAGCAGGTCACTGACCTGCCACCTGTCTTCCTCTCTCCCAGGTTTCTCTTAAGGTTCTGCAGGGCAAGGCTGTCTGGGACAGGCTTGGCCATGGATCCGCTCTCAGAGCTGCAGGATGATCTGACCTTGGATGACACCAGCGAGGCTCTGAACCAGCTGAAGCTGGCCTCCATCGATGAGAAGAACTGGCCCTCGGATGAAATGCCTGACTTCCCCAAGTCAGGTGGGCTTGTGTCTGGTCTCAGGCAGCTACAGGCGCTTTAGAGGGGGAAGCACTCCTTCTGCTGAAGGGAGACGCCAGGAGGGCAGGATGGGGCAGACCAGTCCCAGGTTTGGGCTGGGAGCATGGGCCTTACTGGGGGAAGGGCCAGACAGCATGCCTGTGGGGCAGAGCATGGTGCCAGCCCCCTGGCTTGTCCCCTGACCCTGCTGTGTTCCTCAGATGACTCCAAAAGCAGCTCCCCGGAACTTGTCACACACCTGAAGTGGGATGACCCATACTATGACATCGCCCGGCACCAGATCGTGGAGGTGGCAGGTAAGCACACCCAACACTATTTTCCTAACCCTCAGAGCTCCTGGCCTCAGGAAGTCAGCCCTTCACACCACAGGGGAAGGGCCTCTCTGCAGTCTGACCGCTGGCCCTGGTGCTCCTGGCATGTGGGGAGCCATGTGGCCTAGTGGCTTTGAAGTCAGAAAGCCCTGGGTTTGATCTCCAGCTCTGCTCTTTGAACTCTAATTTCTTCCTTGTGGGTTACAATAATGAATGCATGTCAGGGCCTAGCCCAGAGCCAGAACACAGTTGGCCTTGAATAAGTAGCCTTCCCTTCCCCTCGTTCTATTGCCCTCCTACCCCTCCACCCTAATGTTGGCTTTTCCACCCTATCAGTTACTGGGGAGGATGAGGAGTGCCAGTCCTTCCTGGGAAATTGTAGCCCTAGGGAAGTCTGGAATGGGCAGAGCCTCTTTCCAAAAATGGGGAGGGGGCACATGGCTCCCTGGAGCACCAGATTCCTGGCAGATATGCTGCCCTGCTGAGAGTGGGTACAGAGCCCCGCTTAGGTCTCTGTCTCAGGGAGCTCCCTCCCTCCTGTTCATAAGGGGGGACCCAGAAGAAACCAGGAGCCAGGGAGTCAGGCTGATGAGGTGGTTGCTGCCCTTAGGGCCCCACTTTAGAAGGAGCAGCTGGAATCTAGGATCCTTTATCTTTTCCCTAACATTTGTCCATCCTTGCTGGTGAGGCCAGGCATTCATAAGCAGGGTGGCAGCATGGCCCTGCTCTGAGGCATTGGCGTGGGCAAGGAGAACCTGGCAGACACCGGCCCTGGAAGAAGCCTGTCTGGCTATGGGGGTGCTGGGCTTGGAAAGGGAGGGGGCAGTTGAGAGGATTGCCCCGAACGTCAAAGGTGTTTCCATGGCGTTTGTATTCTTGGCGCCTGCCCTGATCTGGGTTGAGGGCCTTGGCTCTGGCCTCATTCACCCCCTGCAGAAGCAAAGCTGAGAGTTTTTTCCCCAGTCTGGTCCTGAATTGGGCACGGGAAAGTCACCTTGAAGGTTCTGAACTTGACTGGAGTCTGGGGGGTACCTGATGTGAAGGAGTCTCTGTCCTGACATCATCCTGGCCTGTTTGGTCAAGGCAGAGCTGGGGGAGCCTGCCCCTCCCCACCTCCGTGGGTGACACCTCCTTCCCCACAACCCCCGCACAGAGCTGCAATTTGTTTCTATTTCCCTAGACTACGATGAGCCTGAGGGGGCCCAGCCAGGTAGGTGTCCGTCCTGGCTCGCTGTGCTTGTCCTCTTTGGACTGCAACCTCTGGGGCTGTGGATCAGGAAGGGCTCTCGGTGGAGGCCAGATGGGGCTAGCTTAATTGCAGTCTCACCCTGGGGAGCTGGGAGTTGGTGGTGCCTGGGAGTCGGAAATAGCAGAAGATTTATGGGAGGTAGGATGGGGGTGGGGGAGGCTGTGTGGGGACACACCCAGGCCCCAAAGGGAAAGGAGCTTGCGGGAGGGTCTGGCCTTGGGCAATGGCCTCTGAGTGGTGGCTCAGGGACCTTCTGGGTGATGGTGTCCCCATGGATGTGCCTCCCTGATTGCTGAGAGGAGGCTGGATTGGCATCACCAGGCACTCATTTGGTGAGACCGTGGAGATGTCCGGGAGAAGCCCTTGTAGGAAGGGAGGGTGGGTTATAGCCTCAGCTCTCCCTGCCGGGAATAGTTGTCATGCCCCAGGGTCAGATTTGGCTCAGTCCCAGTGGGTTCTTTCCAGTGGTGTGCTGGTAAATGGCTCTCTGGAGAGGGGGAAAAAGGCCATGATTTGTAGCATTTGCAGTTTCTGCCTCCCAGCTCTCTAGCTACCAACATGATGTCAACTGGCTTGCAAAATTCCTGACAGTTGAACAGCTTAACAAATGTGTGAGCTGGCTGTAGCACATGACTGGCTCCATCAGCCCAGCCCTACCTCCCAGGTCCCAGGCCTGCTGGTCCGGTTGTGGGTGGGGCTGGTTTGAGGGGGCCCAGAATGCCTGGGGAGACCTGTTGGTGATTAACTCCAGGGCCACCCTGGAGTTAGGACCAGCCTGGGCAACATAGTGAAACCCTGTCTCTACAAAAATAATAACAATAAATTAGCCAGGTGTGGTAGCCTGTGCCTGTAGTCCTAGCTACTTGGGAGGCTGAGGTGGGAGGATCCTTTCAGTCCAGGAGTTGGAGGCTGCAGTGAGCTATGATTGAACCACTGCACTCCAGCCTGGGTGATAGAGCAAGATCCTGGCTCAAAGAAAAAAAAAAAAGATTACAGTCTAGTGAAGTGGTTCTTAAAACTGGTCACAGTCCACTTTGCAACTATGAAAGGTATCCCCAGGATAGGGGGGATCTCTTTGACTGAAAAAAAAAAAAAGTGCAGCCAGGTGCGGTGGCTCACACCTAGTAATCCCAGCACTTTGGGAAGCCAAGGCTGGTGGATCACGAGGTCAGGAGTTCGAGACCAGCCTGATGAACACGGAGAAACCCCGTCTCTACTAAAAATACAAAATTAGCTGGGGTTAAGGCCAGGCGCGGTGGCTCATCCCTATAATCCCAGCATTTTGGGAGGCCGAGGCGGGCGGATCATGAGGTCAGGAGATCGAGACCATCCTGGCTAACACAGTGAAACCCCGTCTCTACTAAAAATACAAAAAATTTTCTGGGCGTGGTGGCGGGCGCCTGTAGTCCCAGCTACTCAGGAGCCTGAGGCAGGAGAATAGCGTGAACCCGGGAGGCGGAGCTTGCAGTGAGCGGAGATCGTGCCACTGCACTCCAGCCTGGGCAACAGAGCGAGACGCCGTCTCAAAAAAAAAAAAAAAATTAGCTGGGTGTGGTGGTGCATGCCTGTAATCCCAGCTACTCAGGAGGCTGAGGCAGGAGAATCGTTTGAACCCAGGAGGTAGAGGTTGCAGTGAGCTGAGATCACGCCACTTCACTTCAGCCTGAGCGACAGAGCGAGACTGTCTCAAAAAAAAAAAGTGCACATGCTTGTAATATTTGTCATATAACATCATGGAGGTGCTGTGTCTGCTGAGCACATTGGTGGAGCCCTGGTTCAGAACCCAAAGCTTCCCACTTACAAAGTGCTGTGGCCAGCTGAGAGGAGACACCACAGGCCTCCAGCCCTCCCCCCAACAGCTTCCCTAACCAGTTGCTACCTCTTATATTTTAGACCCAGGGGCCTCACAGACTTTCTGCCCTGGCTGAATCCTCAAATCTGCCAGCCAATGAGGCCTGCCTTGCTGCTGGTGCAGATGTGAGGTGCGGGGACTCATGGGCTGGAAGGAAAGATCCTTTTGGTAGCCCCCATTGTCCTCGAGCATTTCCCCCAAATCCTGGTTATTTCCTCGCTTAGAAGGAGGTAGGCAGATGAGGCCCCCTCTTCCCAGGCTGGTGGTAGGCATCTCTGGGGTTTCTGAAGCTCCAGACTAGTGAGACTGGGCTTGCCAGTCTAACCCTTTGTCCCTGGCCCCTGCCAGTCTGCTTTTCCTTCCACTGTCAGAGCCAGTGGGAAGTGAATCAGAGCAGGCACATAGCCCCAGAGCCACCCCCAGCTGGCCTCCGGGATCTCAGCACCTCAGGATCTAGGCTAGGGTACGAAAGAGAGCAGGTACCACCTGGTCCTTCAAAACAGACCTGCCGGGATGGAGCTGCACCTCCTCTGCAGACAAGCTGGTAGAGGATTCTCTACTTGCAAATCTGGAGACGTTCTGTCCTGAGCTTTGGGAAACTCACTATCTGAAGCAGTCTGACCCATAACCAAAGCATAATCAAGAACAAACACAGAGGCCAGGTGCTGTGGCTCATGCCTATAATCCCAATACTTTGGGAGGCTGAGGCGTGCAGATCATCTGAGGTCAGGAGTTGGAGACCAGCCTGGCTAACATGGTGAAACCCTGTCTCTACTAAAATACAAAAATTAAGGCTGGGCATGGTGGCTCACACCTGTAATCATAGCATTTTGGGAGGCTGAGGCGAGCAGATCACCTGAGGTCGGGAGTTTGAGACCAGCCTGACAAACATGGTGAAACCCCGTCTCTACTAAAAATACAAAAATTAGCTGGGTGTGGTGGGACATGCCTGTAGTCCTAGCTACTCAGGATGCTGGGGCAGGAGAATCACTTGAACCCGGGACGCAAAGGTTGCAGTGAGCCGAGATCGCGCCATTGCACTCCAGCCTGGGTAACGAGCAAAACTCCATCTCAAAAAAAAAAAAAAAAAAATTAGCCTGGTGTGCTGGCACCTGCCTGTAGTCCCTGCTACTTGGGAGGCTGAGGCAGGAGAATCTCTTGAACTTAGGAGGTGGTGGTTGCAGTGAGCCCAGATCACTCCACAGCACTCCAGCCTGGATGATAGAGACTCCATCTCAGAAAAAAAAGAAGAACAAACACAGAAATATAACTAGAACCAGGCATCCCATAGTTTAATGGTGACCTGCGATTTTGTGCAGGCTACCAAAACGTATTGAATACCTGCCACATGCCAGACACTGGACCAGTACTGGAGACTGTAGGTGCCATGGTACGCAACTGTAATCCCAGCTACTGGAAAGCTGAGGCAGGAGTTCAAGACTAGCCTGGGCAACATAACAAGATTCTGTCTCAAAAAATTGTTTTTAATTAAGCAGGTGGGATGGCATGTGCCTGTAGTCCTAGCTACTCAGGACATGGGAGGCTAAAGCAGGAGGATTGTTTGAGCCCAGGAGTTCAAGGCTGCAGTGAGCTACAGTTATGCCACTGCACTTCAGCCTGGGTGACAGAGCAAGACCCTGTCTCTTAAAAAAAAAAAAATCACAGCTTGCCAGGAGTAAACAAAGAAAAAGAACAAACAAAGACAATGAGACACAGCCTCTGTCTTTGAGCTGCTCACAAGCCTGTCAGGGAGACAGGTACATAAACAATTCTACAGGAGAGTGAAGGGTCAGGACAGTGATGGGTGACGGTTTATGCTGGGAGCCATGAAAAGGGGCAGCTAACCTGTCTGGGGAGAGAGGGCGAGGACACAGGATTCCAGGCGGCGATTATGCCTGCATTGAGTCTTAAGGGTTGGTGGGGGCCCTAGAATATCTTAATGAGAAAGGATAGAATGCTTAGAAACCTACAGAAGTCAATCAGAACCAGTGTCGTCCATAATTCTAGTAATAAGCTGGGTGCAGTGGTGCACACCTGTAGTCTCAGCTGCTTGGGAAGCTGAGGTGAGAGGATCACCTAAAGCCAGGAGTTCAAGAACAGCCTGGGCAACACATTGAGACCCCCATCTCTTTTCTTTAATTTTGTCTTTTTTTTTTTGAGACGGAGTCTCGCTTTATCACCCAGGCTGGAGTGCAGTGGGGCGATCTCGGCTCACTGCAAGCTCCGTCTCCTGGGTTCATGCCATTCTCCTGCCTCAGCCTCCCGAGTAGCTGGGACTACAGGTGCCCGCCACCACACCTGGCTAATTTTTTTTTTTGTGTGTGTGTTTTTAGTAAAGACGGGGTTTCACCATGTTAGCCAGGATGGTCTCGATCTCCTGACCTCATGATCCGCCCACCTCGGCCTCCCAAAGTGTTGGGACTACAGGCGTGAGCCACTGTGCCTGGCCGAGACCCCCATCTCTTAAAAAAAATTCTAGTAATAAAATCAGAAAGCGATTGTCAGTGGTCAGAAATGAGACATGACTGTTAAGTAATCAGACTGATTTCCTCAGTGGCTGAAACATGCTGAGAAGGTAACTTCAAGAGGCTTTCCAAATACACACTGCTCAGCGGGGGTGCTTTTGGAAAAGTGTAGACTTATAAGATGACTATTTGGCAAGATCACAAATGCTTTAGTGAGCATTTTTTAAAAATTGAGGTAAGAGCCGGGCGTGGTGGCTCATGCCTGTAATCCCAGCGCTTTGGGAGGCCAAGGCAGGTGGATCGTGACGTCAGGAGTTCGAGACCAGCTTGGCCAACATGGTGAAACTCTGTCTCTACTAAAAATACAAATATTAGCCAGGCATGGTGGCAGGCGCCTGTAATCCCAGCTACTCGGGAAGCTGAGGCAGGAGAATCGCTTGAACCTGGGAGGTGGAGGTTGCAGTGAGACAAGACTGTGCCACTGCACTCTAGCCTGGGTGACAGAGTGAGACTCCATCTAAAAAAAAATAATAGTAATAATAATTTGAGATAAGAATCACATAACAAAATTCATCAGTTTGCAGTGTACAATTCAGTGGTATAATATTTAGTGCATAATGTCATAAAATTATCACCTCCATCTAATCCCAAAACATTTTCACCACCCATACCCATACCAAATGCTGTACCCACTAAGCAGTCTGTCCCCATTCCCCACTCCTCCCAGTACCTGGAAACCACTAATTTGCTTCCTGTCTCTATGCATGTACCTATCTAGACATCTCATGTAACTGGAATCATAGACTTGGTGGCCTTTTGTGACTGGCTTTCACTTGGCATAATGTTTCGGAGGTTCATCCACATTGTAGCATGTATCAGTACTTCATTCCTTTTTATGGCCAAACAGTATTCCATTGCATGGATTAACTACATCTTTTATCCGCTGATGGACATTTGGGTTGTCTGCACCAGGCATAACTTTTTTTTTTTTTTTTTTGAGACACTCTTGCTCTGTCACCCAGGCTGGAGTACAGTGGCACCAGCTCAGCTCACTGCAACCTCCGCCTCCCAGGTTCAAGCAATTTTCCTGCCTCAGCCTCCCCAGTAGCTGGGACTATAGGTGTGCACCACCACACCCAGCTAATTTTTGTATTTTTGGTAGAGATGGGTTTTCACCATGTTGGCCAGGCTGGTCTCGTAACTCCTGACCTCAGGTGATCCCCCTGGTTCAGCCTCCCAAAGTATTGGGATTACAGGCGTGAGCCACCGCGCCCGGCCGGCATGACTTTTTAAAAAGTGATGTTGGCTGGGTGCGGTGGCTCACATCTGTAATCCCAGCACTTTGGGAGGCTGAGGCAGGAGGAGGCCAGGAGCTCAAGACCCAGCCATGGCAAGATAGTGAGATCTGTCTCTACAAAAAATTTTAAAATTTCACCAGGTATGGTGGTGCTCACCTATAGTCCTGGCTACTTGGGAGGCTGAAGCAGGAGGATCTCTTGAGCCCAGGAGATTGGGGCTACAGTGAGCCGTGATTGCGCCACTACATTCCAGACTGGGTGAAAGAACAAGACCCCATCTCAAAGAAAAAAAAATCACTTTTTTTTTAATACCCCAGCTCAGTAGCCCTGAAAGCAAGCTGTCCCTGTCTTCAGTGGCACACCCTTGCATGCAGGAGGCTGCCCGGAGGTCTGTCTGCATGGGCACTCTGGCCCCTGTGGTAACTGGCTCAGATCAGCAGGCCTGGCCCCTTTAAGTTCCTCACCCCACTTCTTTTGGTTCCCCTTCAACCCACTGTGCTCCATCTTTCTCCACACCTAGGAGATGACAAGTATGGGCGGAAGATCATTGTGTTTAGTGCCTGTCGAATGCCCCCCAGCCACCAGCTCGACCACAGCAAGCTCCTGGGGTGAGTACCTGCTGGGAAGTGTGTTGGGGCTTTGCCCAGATCCCCATTGTAGCCTAATGCCACGTTCTTTACTGTCCCTCCCTGCCTGTGGGTGCTAGGCCACCTGCCTTAATGCCTTCCCTCTTCTCATGAAGGAGCTGGTTTATATTTAGGGGAGAGCACTGGACGAGGAGTCAGACCTAGTTTCTAGTTATTGAAGCTGGGTGACCTTGGTAAGCATCTTTAAGCCTCGCTTTCCTCACCTTTCAAAAGGGATAATAATATAGGCCTCTTTCCTTGTAGGAGTGACAAACAGCACATGAAAAGGAAGGACTTTTGTCCAGATGTGATGATTGACTGTTATAATCCTATGGTGTTTCTGAGATGGTTGCAGTTGTTTATCGTTTATAGGACTCATTAGTGTTGTCTTATTTTGTGCCTTTGGTGTCAGTGGTTTCTATACCGATGTGGGTTCTGGGGCCAAACATATGTAATAGCTCTGGCCGGTCCAGACATGTCCTGATTCATGTCTGAAGGCTGGTTGAATGCCAAGGCTTGAAAGACTCATTTATGGTTGAGCCAGCTCTGGGCCCACAGGCGAGCAAACTCACTTCCTGCTGCTGTCCTCGGGGTGTGTAGTAGAGTGAGACCATCTTGCCCTTCTTTCTGTTTTCTCGGCAAATTTTAGAAAGATGCAGTTCTTTCCTGACCAGTTTGAAGCACTCTCTGAAATGTAAAATCCTGGCACTGTCCCAAGCAGCTCTTTGAGACCCTGAATGGTTGCGTGCGAGCAGGAGGAGGTGTGGGCTTAGGGACAGACCCAGAGGGCAGCCGCAGAAGGAGAAGGGCCTGAATTTGGAGTCTCAGCCAGTCCTGGCAAGCCAGGGCCACAGGCTGAGTCTTCCAGCGTCATCTAGGAATTCTATCTCTCTGGCCTTCTGAACCCTCTTCCCACTGCTCTTCAGACAAGGCAGGCAGAGCCTTGTCCAAGCCCGCCGCACGGCCCAGCCAGAATGGGCAAGAGCTTGGCCTGGGGCTGGTGGAGGCACATGGCCTTTTCTCTAGTTCTTTCTATGTCTGATGTACCAGGTGACAGCCTCCTGCCCAGATAATAAGTGAAGTGGGAGGAAGTCAGTGGATGTGGGTGGAAAGCACCTGGTTTTCAGGAGACAGCTTGCCAGGGAAGGCCACACCCACCCCAGGGCGTCCTTGGCTTCAGGAAGTCCTCAACATCAGCTGCTGCTTGTCCTCCATCACTTCCGTCCTAGTCACAGTCCCTGCTGAGGGCAGTGGGGTGCTTCCATCATGGAGCACTTTGTCCCATTTTCAGTCAGATTATCTCAGATGTGGCTCTTCCCAGCTGTCCACCCAGATCCAGGAGGTTGAAATAGAAAGTGCCTGAGCGCCACTGCACTCTAGCCTGGGCGACAGAGCGAGACTCCGTCTCAAAAAAAAAAAAAGAAAGTGCCTGAAGTGGCTGGACGCGGTGGCTCACGCCTGTAATCCTAGCACTTTGGGAGGTCGAGGCGGGAGGATCATGAGGTCAGGAGATCGAGACCATCCTGGCTAACATGGTGAAACCCCGTCTCTACTAAAAATACAAAAAAAAGATTAGCCAGGCGTGGTGGCGGGCGCCTGTAGTCCCAGCTACTCAGGAGGCTGAGGCAGAATGGCGTGAACCCGGGAGGCAGAGCTTGCAGTGAGCCAAGATTGAACCACTGCACTCCAGCCTGGGCGACAGAGCGAGACTCCGTCTCAAAAAAAAGAACGTGCCTGAAGCTTGGAATCAAATTCAGAAGACACATTCAACTTCAGCTCTGCACCTCTTGCTAGCTGCGTGCCTTGGGGCAGGTCTTTTCCAAGCCCTGTAAAAATGAGACTTGTGGCTGGGCGCCACAAGTCTCTTGTGGCTCCTCGTCCAGCGGCTCATGCCTGTAATCCCAGCACTTTGGGAGGCCAAGGTGGGTGGATCACGAGATCAGCAGTTCGAGACCAGCCTGACCAACATGACCCTGTCTCTACTAAAAATAAAAAAATTAGCCAGGCTTGGTGGTGCATGCCTATAATCCTAGCTACTCAAGATAATCCCAGCTACTCAAGAGGCTGAGGCAGAAGAATTACTTGAACCCGGGAGGCAGAGATTTCAGTGAGCCCAGATCATGCCATTTCACTGCAGCCTGGGTGACAGAGCGAAACTCCATCTCAAAAAAAAAAAAAAAAGTCCGGGTACGGTGGCTCATGCCTGTAATCCCAGCACTTTGGGAGGCTGAGGCAGGTGGATCATGAGGTCAGGAGATTGAGACCATCCTGGCCAACATGGTGAAACCTCATCTCTACTAAAATAAAAATTAGCTGGGCATGATGGCATGTGCCTGTAGTCCCAGCTACTCAGGAGGCTGAGGCAAGAGAATTGCTTGAACCCGGGAGGTAGAGGTTGCAGTCAGCCGAGATTGCGCCACTGCACTCCAGCCTGGGCAACAGAGCAAGACTCTGTCTCAAAAAAAAAAAAAAAAAAAAGAGACTTGTGCCCACCTCCCAGGGCTGTTGTGGGCATTAGGTAAGAACATATGACCTGGCGCGGTGGCTCACGCCTGTAATCTCAGCACTTTGGGAGGCGAAGGTGGGTGGATCACGAGGTCAGGAGTTCAACACCAGCCTGACCAACATGGCAAAACCCTGTCTCTACTAAAAATACAAAATTAGCCATGTGTAGTGGCATGCGCCTGTAATCCCAGCTACTTAGGAGGCTGAGGCTGGAGAATCACCTGAACCCAGGAGGCGGAGGTTGCAGTGTGCCAAGATCATGCCATTGCACTCCACCCTGGGCAACAAGAGTGAAACTCTGTCTCAAAAAAAAAAAAAAAGAATATACATGAAATCCATTGTGTACATTTTTAAAGTATTACAATTTAGAGAGTTTAGAAAAATATACATAGCCATAAATAAAAAAATATATAGACAACTGTGAAAAAAAAAAGGTCTCCCACACACCCACCACCTAGAGAGAAAGTTACTGTTAATATTTTTGTGTAGTCATTTCCTATTTTTTCTGTAATGTATATGGAACTCTATAGTCAGTTTGGTATCTTTTTTTTTTTTTTTTTTTGAGACCGAGCCTCGCTCTGTCACCCAGGCTGGAGTGCAGTGGCACGATGTTGGCTCACTGCAACCTCCACCTCCTGAGTTCAAGCGATTCCCCTGCCTCAGCCTCCCGAGTAGCTGGGATTACAGGCGTGCACCACCACACTCAGCTAATTTTTGTATTTTTAGTAGAGAGAGGGTTTCATCATGTTGGCCAGGCTGGTCTTGAACTCCTGACCTCTGGTGATCTGCCCGTCTCTGCCTCCCAAATTGCTGGGATTACAGGCGTGAGGCACCACACCCAGCCTGGTTTTGTATCTTACATAACATTTTTTTCTGAGCATTAAATATTCTTCAAAGATATCTTCTAAAAAACATTTTATTGACATCAAATATGCTGACAGAAAAGTGAATAAAATATAAGCGTACTGTGTGAATTTTCAAAAACTGAACACATCTATGTCACTCACACCCTACAAAGGGCATAAACACTGTTCTGACATCTGACTTCACAGATTCATTCTGTCTGCAGAAATGTCCTGTGAGCTATTCTATTTATGGTTGTCACGTGGTTGATTTAACCAATTCCCTGCTGTTGCAGTTAGCTTGCCACTAGATTTTTTTTTTCCCTATCATAAAATGGGCCATGAAGAACAGCCTTCTACAAAAATGTTTTCGTTCATCTCAGATTATTTCCTTAGGACAAACTCCTAGACATATTTTTACAGGGTCAGAGAGTATGAGCATTTTATAGCTTCTGATAAACATCACTTTATTTCCCTACAAAAGGCCATAACCTCCATCAGTGGATGAGAGTGTCTGTTTTCACTACAATCTTTGCTATTTTTGTAGTTGCAAAATGCAATCTCTTTATGCGACAGCTCTTTGTAAACTGCAGTGCTCAGTGTGGAGAAGGGGTAAATGACCATGTACTGGGGATCCCAGCATCAGCCACCCCATGCCTGCCTGTGCTGGCCCAGCCTGGCACCCACGGGCCAGTCTTGAGCATACTCTGTCTGGGTTAGGTCAAGCTCTGGCCACTTCACCAGGCTTCTCTCCTTCCCTGCCTCCCCTTGGAAGTGCTTAGCATTCTGCCTGCCCAGCCTCCCAGCCTGCAGTAGTGTCCCTGTGGGAGCCTAGGAGCTGTTTGGCCAACTAGAAAGAGGGCTCTATGGCCGGGCGCAGTGGCTCATGCCTGTAATCCCAGCACTTTGGGAGGCCGAGGCAGGCGGATCACCTGAGGTTGGGAGTTGGAGACCAGCCTGACGAACATGGAGAAACCCCATCTCTACTGAAAATACAAAATTAGCTGGGCGTGGTGGCACATGCCTATAATCCCAGCTACTTGGGAGGCTGAGTCAGGAGAATCACTTGAATCTGGGAGGCAGAGGTTTTGGTGAGCCGAGATCATGCCACTGCACTCCAGCCTGGGCAACAAGAGCAAAACTCCATCTCAAAAAAAAAAAAAAGGAGAGGGCTTTACACACACTCCCTTCCCTTTCCCCAGTTCTTGTTCATTCCATCCATAACTCTCAGTGTGCTCAACACCAGGTGTGTATATGTTTGTGCTGAGCTGGTAGATAGCGTGTCATGAGCATAATAGGGAACCAGAGGAATTGGGGCTCTTTGGTCCACTAAAGGCCCAGTGACTGGAGCAGGTGACTCTCTGGCCACCCCATCCCCTCTCATGGGCACAGTGTTTTACCGCCGGCACTGGAGTTCATGTGTAGAAGGCAAAGCTGTCCCATGGTCAAGAATGCAGGCTTTCGGCCAGGTGCAGTGACTCATGCCTGTAATCTCCCAGCACTTTGGGAGGCTGAGGTGGGAGGATTGCTTGAGGCCAGGAACTCAAGACCAGCCTGGGCAACATAGTGAGACCTGTCTCTACAAAATAAAAAGTAGAAAAAAGAGCCGGGTGTGGTGGCTCACACCTGCGGTTCCTACTACTCAGGAGGCTGAGGCAGGAGGATAGCTTAAGCCTGGGAGGTCAAGGCTGCGGTGAGCTGTGATTGCGCTACGGTGCCCCAGCCTGGGTGACAGTAAGACCCTGTCTCAAAAAAAAAAAAAAAAAAAAAGCAGGCTTTGGTGTTAGACACTTCACTTCCAGGATCTACCACAAGCTGTGTGACCTTGGATCAGCACTTGACCTCTCTGGTCATTGCCTTCATTTGTAGGATGGGGATTACATCAGCCTCAGTTATAAGCAATGTATGAGCTAATGTATGTGAAGTGCTTGGCAGACACTAAAAACTTAATATTGAGAAATGGTGACTGTCATCATTATTATTGATTCAGAGAAATCCCTGATTCAGGGGAAACGTCATTCCCCTTTTCACTGCAGGCCTAGGCAGGCCCGGGTTAGGGTCCTGGTCTCCTGACATCTAGTTCCTGCTCAAGAGTGAGAACTGTTATTATTATTACTATTATTGAGACAGAGTTTCACTCTTGTTGCCCAGGCTGGAGTACAGTGCCACAATCTCTGCTCACTGAAACCTCCGCCTCCTGGGTTCAAGCGATTCTCCTGCCTCAGCCTCCTGAGTAGCTGGGATTACAGGCCTGCACCACCATGCTCGGCTAATTTTTGCATTTTTAGTAGAGATGGGGTTTCACCATGTTGGCCAGGCTGGTCTTGAACTCCTGACCTCAGGTGATCCACCCGCCTTGGCCTCCCAAAGTGTTGGGATTACAGGCATGAGCCACTGCGCCCGGCTGAGAGCTGTTATTACTATTCTCATTCCTCTGCCCAGCCTCTACCCTAGGCCTCCTCCACAGCAACCTGGTGACTGATTATGAGCCAGAACAGACTGTGCTAGGGGAGGGCCTGTGGGGAAGGGGCTGTGACGTGGTGGGAGACTCTTGGGGCTGCTTTCTGTCTTCGTGGGGCCGCCCCTGTGCACAGGGCAGGCCTGAGCAGGGCTTTTCCCTGGAAGGTACCTGAAGCACACCCTGGACCAGTACGTGGAGAGTGACTACACACTTCTGTATCTGCACCACGGCCTGACCAGCGACAACAAGCCCTCCCTCAGCTGGCTCCGTGATGCCTACCGGGAGTTTGACCGCAAGTGGGTTGGGGCATGGGGCCTGCACAGTCAGATCCAGAGGCAGCGGCTCTGCCAGCTTCCGGGCTGCCCTCCACTTGGGCAGGAGCTTATTCCAAGGCAGGGGGTGGCGGGGGCTGCCGTCTACGTCAATGTAAAGAATCTGCAGTCAGATCACCCTGGGCTTAAGTAAGGCCCAGTTTCTCAGCTTATTTGCACTCTGACCTCTTGTTTTACTTAACCTCTTTGAGCCTCCTGTTTTCTAATCTGTAAAATGAGACAGTGATGGCCCTTACCTCGCATGCTGGCCATGCATGTTCAAATCAGAAAATATGCACTGAGGCAGGGTGTGGTGGCTCACACCTGTAATCCCAGCACTTTGGGAAGCTGAGGCGGATGGATCACTTGAGGTCAGGAGTTCCAGACCAGCCTGGCCAACATGGTGAAACCCTGTCTCCGCTAAAAATACAAAAATTAGCTAGGTGTGGTGGTGGGTGCCTGTAATCCTAGTTACTCAGGAGGCTGAGGCAGGAGAATAGCTTGAATCCGGGAGGTGGAGGCTGCAATGAGCTGAGATCACACTCCAGCCTGGGTGAAGGAGACTCTGTCTCAAAAAAAAAAAGTATGCACTGGGACCCTAGCGTGGCACCTGTCCCACCACGCCTGCTCCTGAGTTGTCCATTCTGTCTCTGCAGGTACAAGAAAAACATCAAGGCCTTGTACATCGTGCATCCAACCATGTTCATCAAAACTCTGCTCATCCTCTTCAAGCCCCTCATCAGGTGAGTGGCCACGGGCAGGGCTGGTGGTCCCGGCTTGCCTGGAACTCTGAAGCTGGGAGGCTGGGCAGCCTGGGGACCACCAGGTGCGGCTGGGCTTCCGTCTGAACTGGGTGGGTGTTGAGGGGAGAGTGGAGGCCACCGGAAGCGGGCCCCCACAACCCAGGCCCTTTCTTCCACCAACAGCTTCAAGTTCGGGCAGAAGATCTTCTATGTGAATTACCTGAGCGAGCTGAGCGAGCACGTGAAGCTGGAGCAGCTGGGGATCCCTCGCCAAGTGCTCAAGTGAGGCGGGTGCGGCGGCTGGGGGCTCGTGAAGCCAGGGTAATGAGGACGTGTGTCCTGATTCAGAGACCGCGTGGGGCTTAGGCAGAGCAAGCCCGTGTCCCGACCTCTCCCAGGTCTTTGCTTTCTGCTGTGGAAAGCGGAGTTGTTACAGAGATCGCATGAGATGATCCTCCTGACCCCGCGTGGTCAATGCTTGATTGAATTGGCAGAGTGACTCCAGAGCCAGGCAGGACCTGACCCACCTCCCTCTACTCCTACAGATATGACGACTTCCTGAAATCCACACAGAAGAGCCCCGCGACAGCCCCCAAGCCCATGCCCCCACGGCCCCCCCTGCCCAACCAGCAGTTTGGAGTCTCGCTGCAGCAGTAAGTATGAAAGGTGGCTGGGCCACGGCGGGGCGGGAAGGGCTGCAGGCCCGGCTCACCAGCCTTTTTCCCGCAGCCTCCAGGAGAAGAATCCAGAGCAGGAGCCCATTCCCATTGTACTCAGGGAGACTGTTGCCTACTTACAGGCCCACGGTGAGTGCCGGGCCTGCCTCCTCACCAGCCAGGTCTCCCGGCTCCCTTCAGGAAGCTGGGGAAGCTGCTGGGCAGGGCAGAGGGAGGTCCTGCAAGCCTCAACGTCCCCACCCAGCCCTGCCTAGAACCCCAAGACAGAGAAGGGGCAGGGAATCCAGCCGGTGCCCAGCGCTCGGAGGCTCACCAGGCCCTACTGTTTCCCAGCTCTCACCACCGAGGGCATCTTCCGGAGGTCGGCCAACACCCAAGTGGTCCGGGAAGTGCAGCAGAAGTACAACATGGGTGAGCAGCCCTGGGCTGTTGCAGGGCCATATGTGTGTTACTGGTAGGGGGCTTCTCTGCCCTCTGCTGCCCTGTAAATGAGAGTCTCAGAGTCTCTTCCTGCTGGAGGTTTCCGTGGCTCTGGGTGTCACATAAGTCCTACTTCTGCCAGGCCTGCTGCCTCATCGGTCGGGCTCCCGGGTCCTGGGTATAGGCACATTCAGAGGCAAGGAATAACGGTGGGGTGTGCCGGGCCCCACTTCCCCAGATGGCCGGAACCTGCATTCTCTGATCACAGAGGAAGAGGGAGGCAGGTGTCAGAGGGCGCCCCTGGGAGGAGGGGCTTATGCAGTGTCCAGGGGCAGTCAGGCAGTGCGGCCCGCGTTGTCTGCAGATGGGTGCTGCCCTTCAGGCTGTGCCGAGCTTCTCTCACGCTGCCCCCACCCCAGGGCTGCCTGTGGATTTCGACCAGTACAATGAGCTGCACCTGCCAGCAGTCATCCTCAAGACCTTCCTCCGGGAGCTTCCTGAGCCCCTGCTCACCTTTGACCTCTACCCCCATGTGGTGGGCTTCCTCAGTGAGTCCCCATCTCTTCTGTTGGGCCTGGGGCTGGACTTGGGGCAGGTGCGCTGCAGGCTTTCGGGCCTAGGCGCCTCCCAGGGAAGACTGCTGGGGGTCTCCCCTCTAGCCTGCATCAGAGCGTCCTGAACCAGCCCAGCCTAGGGCCCCTATAACCCGGGCCTCCTTTCCTCATAGACATTGATGAAAGCCAGAGGGTGCCAGCGACACTGCAGGTCCTCCAGACGCTGCCCGAGGAGAACTACCAGGTGCTTCGTTTCCTGACTGCTTTCCTGGTGCAGGTGAGACCTTGGACTTGGCCTCTGGGGTGAAGGGAGGGGGAAGGAGGAGCTGCCGCCTCCTCTGCGCCCTGGTCATTGTTGCTGGGAGTGGGAGGCAGCATCTGTGGCTTCCTGCTGCAGTCCCTGATTCCCTCCACAGATTTCTGCACACAGTGACCAGAACAAGATGACCAACACTAACCTGGCTGTTGTTTTCGGCCCTAACCTGCTGTGGGCCAAGGATGCGGCCATCACCCTCAAGGCCATTAATCCCATCAACACCTTCACCAAGTTCCTTCTGGATCACCAAGGGGAGCTGTTCCCAAGCCCGGACCCCAGCGGGCTCTGAACCTGGCCCCTGCCCCACCAGCCCCTTCTCTGGTAGCCCGGGTTTGGACTCTTCCTCCTGGCATCAGGGGCCATGAAGCCCCCTGGAGAGAGATGTTGGAGCCACCCATCAGGCATGCTCTCCCCCACCTCTGTCCAGCCCGCCTCACGGCCCTGGCGGCCTCGCTGTTACCAGAAGACGTTTTTCTCTGCCTTACACTTCTCACTGCCTCTCTGGACACCGGGCTTTTGCTGGGCTCTCCAGAGCTGGGCTTGGCTCTTCCAGCTGGAGAAGGACTGAGCCCCAGTAACCCCTTTCCTGCTTTTTCCTGCCTCTGTTTCCCTAGCAAGTGTGGATGAATCAAATGACTGCCGGCTGGGCTGGTAGCAGGGGCCAGTCCTCCCCTCTTGATTGCTGGGAATGAGCAGCTGAGCTCTTTGGTGTGGACACCGCCCCAAGCTGAGGTGCCTCCCTATCTGGTAGGCTGCCCTGCTTTGCAGAAGCCCCACTGCATGAAGGCCTGAGTGCAAGCACCCTTGCTCCTGTACTGCCCCCAGCAGCGCAGTCTGGGGTATTTCCCCTGCTGAGGAGTGACAGGGCTGGAGACTGTGTCTGCTTTCTGCCTCCTCTTCCACACATCCTGGGTCAGCCTTTCCCAAGTGATACTGCCCCTGGGGTGTCCTAACCCCTTGGTTGTGCAGGGACTGGTAGCTTGGATGACATGGCTCAGAGTCCCAGCATCCACTTGAAACCTCCCTCTCCACCTCCCCGCCCCCGAGAGCTACAGCGTGTGATGGAATCAGTGACCGGCCAGGTTAGCCTCTCCCCTCTTGGCCTCCTTTCCCACACGGGCAGATCATCAGCCTTCATGTTCTTGTGGACCTGTCTGTTACGGAGTCACACTGGCCCCTGCCCCAGCCAGAGGTGACTCAGTGCCTCAGGATCTTATGGCTCCTTCCTCCAGCTGGGGGACTCTTAAAGGGGCTGGGGTAGAGACTAAGAGTGCCCGTAGGAGGGGCAGAGATTGTGCTGATAGGTCAGTCCAGATAGGTGGGTTCTAGCAATTTCCCCAGGGGATTAAGGGGCTCTAGGGCCACCTTTTTTTTTTTTTTTCTGAGATGGAGTCTCGCTCTGTCACCAGGCTGGAGTGCAGTGGCGCGATCTCGGCACACCTCCGCCTTCTGGGTTCAAGCAATTCTCCTGCCTCAGCCTCCTGAGTAGCTGGGACTATAGGTGCATGCCACCATGCCCAGCTAATTTTTGTATTTTTAGTAGAGACGGGGTTTCACCATGTTGGCCAGGATGGTCTCGATCTCCTGACCTCATGATCCACCCACCTCGGCCTCCCAAAGTGCTGGGATTCCAGGCGTGAGCCACTGCACCCGGCCAGCCCTGTTGTCTTTCAAAGAACCTCGGCCCCAGTGATGGCTGATCTCACTCCCACTGTCTCGTAGAATTACACTCCTTCCTGGGGATCCCTCTTCCTGCAGCCTTGTCCTTGGGGAGTACAGGGAAGTACCTGCAGTGACCCTGCCCCCATGACCTTGGCCAGGCAGGATGATTCCAGAGCCCGTACTGTGGGGATCCTCACTGACCAGCCCAGCCCCATCCGCAAGCCAGGCTGGGCCTGGGCATAACTTCGCTGGGCTCTCCCAAGACCATCAGCAGTGCATCCAGCCCCCTGGGGCCTGGGCTGCTGCTGGTTCTTCATCAGTCCCTTGGTCTCTAGCCTCGGCCAGGGCTGCTCTGCTCTCCGCCCTCCTTTGTGTATCAAGTGTCGCTCACAGCCCCATTCACTGGGGAGCCTTTCGGATCTATTTGGTCTTTCTCATGTCCCCCACTGGTCTGTACCCCAGGGAGCGGGTGCTTGTACTGTGTGAATCCAGTGTTCACATTCACACTTAATGACTTCCTTGGCACCAATCATGTATTTCACCGTTTGCACTTTTTGTATTTCAATAAAAATGTTGATGCAAAACTGCTCATCTGGATGTTGGGGAAATGAGTTGGGTGTGGAAGTTGGAAACTGGATGGGAAGTGTGGTGCGGTGGAGGAAGAGGAACAGATGGGGCCTCAGGAAGTCCCCTCCCCAGTCCGTCTGCCGCTTCCTCATCTTGTGCACTCGAGTGGTGATGAGGGCAGCTTCCTGACCAGCTTCTAGGCATGGAGGTGTCCACGGCCACCTTCCCGTTGTTTGTACCCCCAGCATTCCAGCAGGCCACCATGTGCTGCATCCTATGACCAGGGCCTCTCCTGTTTCCCAACTGGAAGGTACCGGAAGTTTGAAGGGATCTTAGATTTATCTAAGGCAAGCAGGGGGAAGAAAAGTGGTGTGGACTGTGATGGACAATGGTGTGGGATCTGGAGTCACACGAGAGTTTGAGTCCTCGTTCCCTCACGTGCCAGCTCTCACCGCTAACAGTCATCATCACTGGCTCACCACCCCTGTGGCTGCTGCTTCATCAGAAGACGGTTCCTTTGAGGATCAGAAATAATGCAGACACCCCAGGCACGTGGCTCACACCTGTAATCCCACCACTTTGGGAGGCAGAGACAGGAGGATTGCTTGAGCCCAGGAGTTCGAGACCAGCCTGGACATAGTTAGATCTCACATAGTAAGATCCTGTCTACCAAAAATAAAATAAAAAAAAATATTAGCCGAGCATGATGGCACATGCCTGTGGTTCCAGCTACTGAGGCGGCTGAGGTGGGAGGATTGCTTGAGCCCTGGAGGTCAAGGTTGCAGTGAGCCGTGACTGCACCACTGCACTCCAGCCTGGGTGACAGAACAAGACCCCACCTCAAAAAAAAAAAAAAAAAAATGTAGACCGTATCTAACACCGCGAGTGTGCAGTGGTCATGGGTGAATGGTGTGATAGCCCCAGCCTCATGCAACAGCAGCTGGGAGAGGGTCCCTCAGCCCGAGTCCTCCCTTCCTGCCCACCCCTCAGCCTGAGGCCAGGCCATTTCCACCTGCCAGGCCCACACGGAGGCTGTGACAGATCCAGTTCTCCTATCCTCTCTTAAGCAAGTTTTGCTTTGCTTTAAAAGTTAAGATGATTATTTACCGCATTTTTTTTTGACAGGTTTGTTGGTGAGAAGGTAGGCCAGAATTTCACCTCCCATAGTGGTCAGGTTCCAGGTGTCTGCTGCTTGCTTGCTAATGGCAATCAGGAGGCTATAGCGGCCCCAGTTGGGCCTGGTTTTTCTCCTCCTTGCTTGTCCGGGCTGGGGGAGCAGGGCCAGAGCTGCAGGATCAGGCTGTGGTTACAGATGGTGATTACAAACATTGGGCCTCAGCCCCAAGAAGCAAGTCCCATTCCACAATGGTGGCCTTCCTCCAGGCACTGGGGGCCTCCTCTCTCTCTGGATCTGCTCAGCTAGAGCTGAGTGGCTGGAATAGAGAGGCAGTGACCCAGGGAAACAGGAGCGAGGAAACTGTTTACTTGGGTTGGGCTCCTGGCAGGGCCTCTGCTGAGTGACTCAAATGCCAATTTACCAAGGCCTTAACAACGATGGCCTCCAGGGGTAGAGTGTAGGGAGATGCTTTAAAGAGGTAGGACACCATTGCTGGGCATGGGGCAACTGAAAACTTTGTTATTGGGGGTTCCTGATTGAAGGGGGAACACCAGAACAGCCTTTTCGTCACTTCTGACTCAGGTATTGGGCAACTGTCCTGGCTGGCCACATGATCAGTGTCACCTGGTTTACTAATAATCAGGAGCTCCTGGCTCCAGGAATAGGCTGGATTTGGACTTTTCTAACCAGCCCTTTTAATCCTGGGCCTAGCTTCAGCCTGAAGGCGGGTGGGGAAGCAACCCAGACAGCAGCTGTCCAGTTCTGTCAGTTCTCTTTTGCCTCTAGAACCATCCCTACCTCCGGGATGTTGTCTCCACCAATCAGCTCCCTCCCCTAACTATGGTCACAAACTAGGAGAATTAGGAGGCGGGGCTGGCCCTGGCCGGGTTGAGAGGCCTGCAGCCCCAGGCCCCAGGAGCCAGACAGGACGCATACCCCGGGGCTCTTCTACTCTTCCTGGCTGCTCAAGCACCGCCAGTCAGATCAAGGCAGCTAACAAACTTGCATGGACCTTTAACTTCCTGCTACTTCTCTTCTGCTTGCTCAGCCACAAATCCCCCAGATGGCTTGGGGAGCCCTGCACTCCCTGCCTTGCACTGTTGTTTTTCCCTCCAGGGTGAGTTGTTATGTAAGAGCAATAAAGAGCTGATAACGGTGGCCTGCATTTTATGGAGATTTTACTATGGGTGTATTTTAAATGCATTCTCCAACTGAATATTCAAATTCAAGCCCCTGATAGGGGACCAGGGAAAGAGAAATACTAAGAAGTTTCCTGACCCAGGAAACCCCAGGGTATACAGCCCCTAAGAGGCCACACCCGACTCAAAACAGGCTTGCCCAGACACTTGAGGTCTTTCTGCGCTTCACAACGCACCACTCTCCCCTTTCCCAGACCTGCACTGGGGCAGGGGTGGGGAAGGGGTTACGAGGTCTTCAGACAACCTACAGGACAGGAGGCTGTAAAGTACAGAAAAAAATTTATTGGAAATCCCTTGAATACATTTTGAAGTGTAGCTCGGTATTTCCAAACAAAGTAGGTTGGAGAGGTTGGAGGAGGAGGAGGGACTCTGACACCTGGAGACAAACAGCTGGTCCCAGCCTGTCCCGGGGGTGCTGCAGGAGTCAGTCTAGGGCTCATTCCTTTCATGGCAGGTCTGAGGGGCAAGGGCTGGCCTTAACAGTTGCTTTACTTCTCCCAAGCTCAGCTCAAAGTCATGGCTGAGACTCTTCACAGATGGAGCCCTGGTGAAAGGCTGCTGCCACCTGTAGATGCCAAAGATTGCTGCCTCAGACAATGGCTAGGCCTTTCCATGCAAGGCCTTGGAAAGAGAGCAGTAGCTGAAATATGGGGGCATCAATAACTTACCAGGGGCCTTCCCCCTTCTCAAAGCTGGGGCCTTGGGGATAAACCTGAGCCTGGGTTCAGCAAGCCACGCATGTGCTCTGGGCCAAAGTCAGGAGGGCCAGTTGGCTGCTACTGCTTCTGCTAACACTTCTTGGTGGCAGCAGCAGCACGCAGAGCTCTGGTCCCCGCCAGAGCCTGCTCCAATCCTCAGAAGTCAGCCTTGTATGTGGGAACAGTGTCACATGCAGTATACTAACAAGCAGCTGAGAACCACCTGCTCCACTGAAGCACAGCTGCTGCCAGTGAATGCCCCAGGTGGGCCAGGAGGAATGGAGTAGACCTAGATCTCCTTGACCAGGACTACCAGCGAGGCTGGGAAAGGACAGATCATAGGTGGGTGAGGCTAGGCACTTGACTTATTCAAGTAACAATACCTGAAGGGTTAAGTCAATCATACGCCCAGCTTTGATTTCTCAACCAGAAGCCAATCCAGCTGGTAAACCCCAGGGCAGTGTAGAGAACCTGGGATTAGAGGGAGATGGTAGCTAGGCCCAAGCAGGAGGAAAAGCTCCACAGGACAGCCCCAGGGATCAGGAACAAGTACCCAGGCAGTTGGGGGACACACACAACATCCCCTAACCACTACATGTGGCCATCACATTTAGCACCCAGGACTTCCTGGGCTGCCAGAATGGAGTCAGTCACTCTGCAGAAACTGTGGGAGATGTAAGGCTCTCACCAGGAATACGCAACTATCCAAGGTAAAGCCTTTAGTCAGTTCCAGTGCAGCCACACTGGGAGGTGACTTTGCCCCCGGCCAGCCCTCTTCTTGGATCTCGCTGTCTGTATGGTGGGAAGATCCTCAAAGCAGCAGCCCGGATTCTCAATAACCTCCGGAGGAGGAGGTCTCCGTCCCAGGAAGAGCCCTCCGCCTTCTCCAAGTGAAAAACAACTCACCTCAAACATATTTCCTCTATAAAATATCTGGTTTCTCTGAAAGTAATAAATATTTACCATGTTCTATAACCAAGGAGCAGCAACGGGGGGACAAGAGGAAGAGAACTTTGCTGTGACTCCAAGTGACAAAATCCTAGAGATTCAGGGTGCCATTTTTATTTCCCATGGAGCTGAGGACCTGAGCACAGGCAGCCACCAGGGCTGCTCAGACCCTCCCGACCTTCAGGGGTGGGAGTGGTTTTGGAGTTCTGATCTTGGGTAGGCAGGCCTGTCATATTGCCAGAAATACAGGCATAGAGGCAAGAGAGAGAAGAAGAGGAGAAGAAGATAGCAGGAAGTAAAGGGGACAATGAAGAGAGCTAAGGGACTCCTTCCTTCTTCCTCCTGGCACTGTCTCCTTCCTCTTTCTGCGACTCCACACCAATCTCTTGGCCACCAGCTGGAATGTCAAACAGTGGATGGTGACAGCAGGCAGGGAAGGGGCCAGCTGCAAGGCAGGCCCAGGCAGGAGGCCGGCAGCAGGAGGAACAGGATGACACCCTTGGGAAGCAGTTGGTGATGGGCAGGGCACACAGATGGCCCTGCTGAGGGCTTTTTCGTACGAAGGTTCTTCCCATCTCCAAGGCCAGCACGTGAGTCTTCTCCAACTGGGCACTGGGCTTGACTGCCGCCACGGAGTCTCCAGGAGGTCCAAGAGTAGGGACTTCTGGGTCCCCATGGGAGAAGCCAGCCTCCCTTCCACCTGGCTCAGAGCAGGATGAGGGGTGGGAGCAGCTGATGCATGGGAGGCTGCTTATGCCCTGGGGCCACAAAAAGGGGGTGCTGCTGGGACTCAAGGATACTTTTACTGCAGGGTTTCCACAAAGGCATCAAACTCGCGGACATTCTTCTCATGCACAGCCAGCTTCTCTGGTAATGAGTCCTGTACCGGAAAGAGAGGGAAGAGCCGTTTATTCAGGCAGGGCCTTGAGGAGGCAGCCAGCCCAGTCCCGAAGAGGGGAGGCAGCAAGCAAGACGAAGCTCAGCCCTAGCTGGGCCGAGCAAGTGGGAGAACGCAGGGCAGCTGCGTAGGCACAGGGTAGGGAGGGGTATATGCATCAGGGCTTTGCAGGGGCTGGAGGATTAATGGAACGGCCTTGGGAGTCCAAGTGGGCCACACACTTAACAAAAGAGAAAAGGACCACAAGAGCAAGATGATTCAGAAATTAAACATGAAATATCCCTGGCACAGATCTGACTGACACTAGAATAAAATACCAAGTGTACAGCTCTACAAATTAAACAGTTTACAAAAGATTTCTTCACACCCTTTGCTGGGCATCGGGACCCCCTGGGGGGAATGTGAACCAGGTGGCCCCACTATACTACTGACATTCTGACACAGTAGCAGGTCTGTGGTAAGGCCTAGGAATCTGTATTTTTAAATTTTTTTCTTGAGACAGAGTCTCGCTCTGTCACCCAGGCTGGAGTGCTGTGGTGTGATCTCAGCTCACTGCAACCTCCGCCTCCCGAGTTCAAGCAATTCTCTGCCTCAGCCTCCTGAGTAGCTTGAGTAGCCTCCTGAGGCGCCCGTCACCAAGCCCAGCTAATTTTTTGTATTTTTAGTAGAGACAGGGTTTCACCATGTTGCCCAGGCTGGTCTTGAACTCCTGATGTTGTGATCCACCCGCCTCGGCCTCCCAAAGTGCTGGGATTACAGGCATGAGCCACTGCACCCGGCCAGAATCTGTTATCTTTATACCAGCTGAGGAAGGGGTGAGTTAGAGATTGAGAGAGAATGGTAAAGACAGAAGCAGAGGAAAACAGAACTGTGAGAAGTTTAACTGTCCTAGAGTATCAACTATTAATAAAAATGCGTCTCTACTGATGACTAAATGAACAGAAGCTGCATCTGCAGAGTTTCACCATCACAATTTCCTGCCAGTAGGGGTTTAAACACGACCACAAGGGAGCGTGGAGAGTCTCTTGCCTCAGAGTTTTTAATGTGGCCTGGAGACACCAACAGCTGAGGGTGGTTTGGGTGCAGCTTCCTGAAAGGAGAGGGAGGCCTCAGAACTGGCTACGGCTGTGGCATCAGTTGAGAGAATTGGAGCCACACTTTCTTCCAAGTGCATGTCATGATAGGCAAGGGAGTTTAGTGGTTAAAAGGCTAAATTGAGGAACCAGATCCTCTAAGATCAAGCAAAGCTTTGTTTTGCCTGGGTCTGTGTGACTATGAGCAAGCTAATCATTGTTGGTTTTCTCATCTGTAAACTGGGATGAGAAAACTTACCTCTTAGGGCTGTTGAAGATTCATGTAAAACACTTAGAAAAATGCCTGGCACTCAAAAAGCCTTGATTTTTATTTATTTATTTATTTGTTTTTGAGACAGGGTCTCACTCTGTCACCTAGGCTAGAGGCAGTGGCGCAAACATGGCTCACTCCAGCATTGACTTCCCCAGCTCAAGCAAGCAATCCTCCTGCCTCCACCTCCCAAGGCAGCTGGAACTACAGACGGATGCCACCACGCCCAGCTAATTTTTTGTACTTTTTGTAGAGACAGGGTTTCACCATGTTGCTCAGGCTGGTCTTAAACTCCTGAGTTCAAGTGAAGGCCTCCTCAGCCTCCCAAAGTGCTGAGATTACAGGTGTGAGCCACTGTGCCTGGCCCAAAAGGTCTTGGTAGTAGTAATTATTACTTTTTTTTTTTTTTTTTGAGATGGAGTCTCACTCTGTCACCCGGGTTGGAGTGCAGTGATCCAATCTTGGCTCACTGCAACCCCCACCTCCCAAGTTCAAGTGATTCTCCTGCCTCTGCCTCCCGAGTGGCTGGGATTACAGGTGCCCGCCACCATGCCTGGCTAATTTTTGTATTTTTAGTAGAGACGGGGTTTCACCATGTTGGCCAGGCTGGTCTCGAACTCCTGACCTTGTGATCTGCCTGCCTTGGCCTCCCAAAGTGCTGGGATTACAGGCGTGAGCCACTGCACCTGGCTATTACTGTATTGTTATTACTGGGCATGCTTTTCTCCTTAAAGCAAATCCAGGGCAGCTACCATAGGATCTTAATATCTATTTAGGAGGTGATCATTCCACCTCAAAGAGGGACATCTCCTGGCATGGGGCACCCAGTTTGTGGCTTGTGCGGGGCACTCTTCTGCCCCTCAGAGGCAGGAAGAGGAAATGCCCTAAGCAGAGATGGGGTCATTATAATCAGTATCAGGACATCTGGTCAAGTGTGAGAACTGCTAGATGACGGAGTGAGCTCTCTGAGGAAAGAGCAAGAACACAGATACTCAGGACCTCACAATCTCCTCTGCCCAGTACCACTGGCATCTGCCTGGAAAGCTAAATAGCTAATGCAATGGCTGTTAGAGCAACTTGGCCTAGTGGCATCTGCAAGGAGAAGACGTCAGGCACAGAACAACAGGAGCATGTAAGTAATGCTGAGAATGTGCAGAGAAAGAAGGAACCAAGCTCAAGCAAATTCCAGATAATGACTGCTGGGCACAATGCCAATCTCAAGAGTGATCAAAAGATAATTTTCTAATTATGTCTCTTTCCTATTACAGGGAAGATAGAAGGTGGTAGGCCTCCTAGGCCTTTGGCAAAGGAATGACCATCAAATAAGGATGCACTGTGGTAGAGGAAGACGTTTCCATACCAAGTCTTCAGCCATGGACTGTGCTCCAATATCTATGGAGAGGCTGCTCAGCTGAGGTGGGTTCTGAAACTCCCGATAGAAGGTCCCCAGGTCCATCGGAAGAATGTCATCTTTAGAAAAAGCTGGTTTCTTCAAAAACAAGACAGAGTCAGTTTAGCTTGCCTTGAACCACAGAGGAGATAAGCTATGAACAAGTCTTTCCTTCTAGCAATTATCAAAAGGTTCTTTCAGGCTTATCTTAGGGAGAGAAATCTTTACACTTTTCTCTCCCAGACTGTTCACTTCTAATGCTGGTGATAATATTCCTCTCCACTAGTTAAGTTTATGTCCCACTCCTTCAAACTCCTTGCCTAGCCACGAATAGGACCTAAGTGGGTATCAGTGGAAAATCTCCATTTAGAGTTGAATTTCATTATGAATTTTAACCAAAGGCATGACAAAAAATGCCTTGTTGTTTATCGGCCTCCAAAATGTCTCCCCAGACCAGACTCCACCTGTCCATCCCTTCTGTCTACACCAGCACATCTGATCCCTATGAAGGAAATCTGGATCAAGTGCAGTAGATGCTTCTAGGTCTAGTTCCCCGGGACAGCAAAGGTCAAGGAAGGTGACGGCGACTTACAAAGTCTATCATAACAAAGTCATCATGGGTATTGCCACTGCTGCCCCCGCTGGAGCCATCTGAGTGCAGGCTGCCCTGGAGAGGAGATTCAGTCTCTGGGGAATCTGGAGGATTCACCTGTTTCATAGCAAGGCAGGATTAGGGCTGATGCTGTGACCCAGATTCAAGTTACTGTAAACAATCTGAAAATTCTGGGAAGAACTTAATGCTGGCTACAAACCCGTAAGCCGAGGGGCCATGGTTTATAGTCTGTGGGGGATTAGTGACTCTGGCTCAGGAAGAACAATGACTAGCGCACCATCTACTGGGAACTCGTAGTCAACGGTGGGCTCACCATTGGATCGGTATCCTCCAGCTCCAAATTCTTGGGAGCAAACATGGCAAAGGGTATATCCAAACTCGTCAGGGTCACCTGAAGAGACACAGGAGAAAAGCATTCATGCCTGCCCCTCCTGCAGTGTTCATGCTTCCTTCCTGGTTGCCAGAAGCCTAGAGGTCCAGCAAGTTCACACAGCTATGCTGACCATGCTGCCCCTTAGGCTCCTGCCTTGTTAGAGGCTCTCCAAGCTCGCTCACCTCCCTGTCCCCCATCACATACACCCACAGCATAAACAAGGGTTGGGGTCCTGAGGACCCTGGGAATTCAGCTTTGGAAGCCTGATCCACAGTAATGCAGTAATAATGTGCTTCACTGGCCCCGCTGAGGAGGAACCTCCTAGTTCAATTCAAATAAGGCCGAGGCAATGACACAGTGTAGTGTTTTTGTACTAAATGGTATCTAGGTCTAGTCTCCCTTTCTTGTAGGAGGCTTTAAAAGGTCACAGGACAATAGTTCTTAACTTATTCTGGAGGGGTAGCACAGGTTATTAATCCTCTTCACAGAAAAATTTACACACACATACAGTTTTGCATGCCAGTTCAGTAGTTTCATATATATTAATATCTCAGGTTAAGAAAACTGCCTGTGGGGCCTTACTCTAAGAACTCAGACATTCTCACAGGTGGCAGTGGCAGAAAAATCACCTGGTTAATGGGTTTGTTGACAAAAGCCCCCACTTTTCGGACAAAGATGGTCTCCAAGACATCGTGAGGGGAGGCCCGTCCCTCACTGCTGTTTGATACGGTTTCAGTATCCTCACTGGAGGAGAAAGGTGAAGTTAGTACTCGTTCTCAAACCACAGCAGGACGACTTAGTTCACTATAAATACACCATCTGGTGGGGCTGTGGCCTAGGGCAGGAGTTGGTCCCCACTGGCCCATCAATGGGAGATGGCATTATGTGGTCTGGCTGATGCCACTATTGCCCTGCCTTTTGAGTTGATTGTAGAGGGCTGCACTTCCTGGAACTACTAAAATTTCTAGCTTTTCTTCTTCTTTAGTTCCAAATTTGATTCCTTAGCCTGCCAGAGATCTCTTCACCCTTGACAAATTGCCTGGGCTAAGGTTCTCTAGGCTCCCTGCCATGTTTCCTCCCCTCTCCTCGCCCCCAATCATCCCTCCCTCAACTAAAGGTCTTTGAATGACATATTTAATTTGGCTGTTCCCACTCCCTCCTTCCCCAGCCTTTCAGACTGAAGCTGAGTCCTGCACAGGGGGCCCTAAGCAGCAGCAGTGGGGGCCCATGGCTGTGGCTGCCAAACCAGCAGTCACAGCCCTGCAAGCAGCAAGGGTTAGGAAAAGTCCTCTGGCCAAAAACGGGGATTCAAGGTGGGCAGGAGGATTGTGCAGTCAAGTGGCCCCTGGACTCCAGCCAGCAGGGAGGACCTGTACTATGCAAAGGCTTTTGAGCTCTTATGACCTCCATTTAAGAATTTCCACACAGGGGCCTCTGTCTTTAGCTACTCCTGGATATGTCCCAAGAGTCAAGGCTCAGAAAACTAGAGTGTAAAATGCCTTTAATCATCTAACAGAGGGAGAAAAGGGAGAGGATGGAAGTTTGAGAAGCCAGGAATGACATAAATTATTTTTCCTGATGGATGGCACACACACACACAAAAACCTTCCTAAATGACTCCTTCCCACTTTACCGTGGGAATGAAAAAAAAAAATCAGGAATTTCTATCAGGAGAAAGTTCATTTAGAATGTGAGGGGGCAAAGTAATCTCAGTATCTCTGGGGCCTTCAAAATCAAGGGAGGGTAGGGCAGGTCAAAACAGCCCATGGCTCCCCAGGGAGAGTGAAAGCATCGTGGAAAGAAGGGGTGGGGCTCTGGAGTCAGAGAATCTGCTCGCCCTTGTGCCCTGTGAGCTAACTGAGCTCAGGCCAATCACTTAACCGTTCTGAAAGTTTCTTTCAGTCTTTAAATAAGCAGGTAACAGTGGTGACTTCTGCAGGGTGGAAATATGAGAACGTTCACTTCCTATCTAATGTCTTTAGGATTTGAGTTTTACAGAATGTATCACTTCGGTAATCAGAAAAGACAAAGATTTACATTTTTTTAAATGAGGAAAACAGTTGTTCCAAAGGCTCTCCATGAGGCTCTGACACAGCAGAAAAAGGAGATCAATCCCAACTATAACACAGACATACTGTGGCCCAGACTTCAGGGCCATGGTCAACACCCTGTTCTGGTCCTTGGGAAACACTAAGGACTGACTCCAAGGATATAAATCTTGGGGTAAGAGAAAAACATCTGACAACCCCTTTACTGGATAAGGGTGACAAGAACCGAGCTCCTGCTGTTTCCCGTTGGTACTGAAGTTCCACGCCAGCTTCCTGACATCCCAGCAGATATATCAGATTCTTACCAGGGAACTTCAAGGAGTCTACACTTTTTCTCTTTCATTTAAAAAAAATATTTTTGAGGCTGTGCGTGGTGGCTCACGCCTGTAATCCCCGCACTTTGGGAAGTCAAGGCGGGAGGATCACTGGAAGCCAGGAGTTCGAGACCAGCCTAGGTAATATGACGAGACCCCCCATCTCTACTAAAAATACAAAAATTAGCCAGGTGTGGTGGCACGCGCCCGTAATCCCAACTACTCAGGAAGCTGAGGCACAAAAATCACTTGAACTCAGGAGGTGGAGGTTGCAATAAGCCATGATTGTACCACTGCACTTCAGCCTAGGCAACAGAGTGAGACTCTGTCTCCAAAAAAAAAAAAAAAAAAAAAAAAGGAAAAATAAATTTTTTTGAGAGACAGAGTCTCACTATATTGGCCAGGTTAATCTCAAAATCCTGGCCTCAGGCAATCCTCCCACCTTGGCCTCCCAAAGTGCTGGGATTATAGGTGTGAGCCACCACTCCCAGCTAGGAGTCCATGCTTTGGGCTCAAATGCCATGTCCCAGCCAATGCTGAAAGTTACTCTTTACTAATTCTAAATAAGCACGTGTGTCAGGGAGCCCAGGCCCCTGGCCAGCCTTACCAGAGACAGAGCCAAAATGTGAACTCACCTACTGGAGGGTGTGGCAGCACAGTGGGTTCTGTCAGAAGGGGTGCAGGTTGCCAGTCTCTCCTGGTCAGCCTGGGTACCATGGACAGGCTGGTTGGGAGCAAGGGGTACCCCACCTTCCTTCCCAGGAACCATCAGCTTTGGGGAAAAATGGAAAGAGACAGTGAATCATGGCATGCCAGGCAGGAGGGGAACTTCACATTCTAGCATGATGGTATCTGCTTTTGACTTTTCCATCACCAACGCTGCCACCAAGTAGGCAGCAATCCCTGGATCTTTATCCTCTCTGAAACTCAGTTAATGGAAGAAATGCACGGTAATGACTAATGACTACAGAGGAAAAAGGAAATGGAGAAAAATCCTGGAAAAGTCTTCTTTCCTTTCTGAAGTCTAAGAGGCTCCTTCCTCTCGAGTCACTTTTGGTCTCTGAAGTCACGAAAGAGTTTTGCTTCAGAATATAGCACTTAGAACATATCCCTCTGCCTTGAGAGACCCCTCAATTGCCTCCGGGCAGGGGAGGCAGCACTGGAAACCCATAGTCCTCCCCATCTTTAAAGATACCTGGTGAGGGTGTGTAGCATTTAAGCCAGCAGCAAACACTACTGGATAAGCCAGGTCAGCTGATCCAACGCCCAGGGCAGCAGGCTGATAGGAAAGGCGAGAGCTTGAGAGCTAAGCAAGAGAAAAACAAAGAGGAGAAAAGGAAAGGCAAGGAAAAAATAGGCAATCCCAGAGCGTGACAAACAAGATGGCTCAGTAGAGAGATAAGGAATGGCTCCCGCCCACATGCCCACAGTGCAGGGGGCCTGACGTGATAGGGGTTAGGGACAGATGAGGCCGTTATTAGAGAAGAAAACACAGACTTGTTTGTACTGGGATTGGGATTCCAAGCTGTGGAGCTTCCCAAAGGCCTCAAATAAGTTCCTTGCTCCCCGTTTTCCCAGGGGCTGAGCTAACTGTTTCAGTGCTAAGCCCAGCAGATGTGTGGAGCACAAGCCTGCGCAGAACTGGTAGCCGAAGTCACCAGGTTCTCCAAAGTCATTCTATTCTCTCCTTTGTCCTGAGGCCCCTTTGACATAGAAAGTCCTCTTCTCTAATCACACCCTCCATCACCCCTGGGTATGGGAATGTTGCTATTTATATTGAAAAAAGACAGAATACCAGTTGTGAGTTGTTTATTTAAAAATCTGATATAAATAACTCCATGTATTTTTCACATCAATGGTAGGAGGAGGGGCAGATGAAAATTCCCTATTTTAGGCTGTTGGGCCGTGGCTGTGTCCTATTAAAATCTATTACCAAGCCTCAAAATAATCCCACAGAACACTTGGGACATTTAAATAACTGTACCTTATAATTTATTTACAATTTTTAAATAAAAGGATGCCATCTGATTATATCCCCTTCTTCCCATTATGGACTCACTTGATGGGAAAAGGCCAGTCCTGCCATGGGGACCCTCAGGGTGTCCGTCACCACAGGAGTAGGGGTCTGAAAATGTGCCTTTGTGACAGTAAACACACACTGTGCACAGACACACACAGAGACAGGAGAAACAAAAAAAAAAAAAAAAAAGAAAAGGGACTTGAGAAAGAAGTGAAGAAACTCTGGAAGGGGCAGTAGCAAGAGAGGCCAGAACTGACACTGGAGTCAGGAGTGAAGCAGGGCAAGGGCGTGGGGCTGTCTTTCCAAAGGGACAACTTGGAAGATTCCTAGAGTGATGTTTATTTCAGGGCATTCCATGTATGCCTGTGTCCCTGATAAGCAGTTAGAAAACAAAGCTGAGGTGAGCTGGCTACAACTTGGCAAAACAGAGAAACTTGAGTCAACCATTAGTCTGTCTCTACTCAAAAAAGACAGGAAGTCAGACAGCAGCTTCCAACAGAAAGGTCTGACTGCAGATGCAAGGTGTGCTGAAGATGAGTAAGGATGCGGGGCTTGTAATGTTCAACTGAAAGCCTTTTTCAGGAAACCCAGAATCTGCAGGACAGTTTCAAACAGCTGAAGGGGTGGCTGGAACTTGAAGAAGCTCAGATGCATGCTTCCTACGTCATTCCAGGGAAGACAAGTGGGTGTGCAGGGGTGTGTGTATGCGTTCTTACAGTCCCTGATGGCATAGGTGAACCTGATGAAGTAAAAAGCTGGGGGCATGTTGAAAACTCTTATGATTTCAAAGCTACTTAAGGGCATAATGATTATGGTCATGATGATTATTTTGGGTCTTACTGTTCCATTTTTTTTTTTTTTTTTTTTTTGAGATGGAGTCTCACTCTGTCGCCCAGGCTGGAGTGCAGTGGTGCGATCTTGGCTCACTGCAATGTCCACCTCCCAGGTTCACGCCATTCTCCTGCCTCAGCCTCCTAAGTGGCTGAGACTACAGGTGCCCGCCACCAAGCCTGGCTAATTTTTTTGTATTTTTAGTAGAGACGGGGTTTCACCGTGTTAGCCAGGATGGTCTCGATCTCCTGACCTCGTGATCCGCCCACCTCGGCCTCCCAAAGTGCTGGGATTACAGGTGTGAGCCACCGCGCCTGGACTGTTCCAGTTTTAAACCTGACCGATTAGCTAATTAATGCTTAGAACTAGAGGCAGGACCTTAGGCCACACAGTAGGTTCATTTCTAGACTCAACTCTGTGCCCAAATGGCACAACGATCCTTATACTGTTGGCAAAACCAACAACATCACATTAACATGTATTTACTGGACTCCAGCAAAAGCTCCAATAGAAGTTGCTGAATTGAGTAATTATGCAAGTCACTAAGAAAAATACTACATTATTAACAGGAATAATATTAACAGGAATGAGGAGAAATGATAGCAAATGACTGTCTCTCTACTGCCAAGAGAAATTAGGTTCAAAATTGAGTATTTTTGTACCAAATTGTACCAGCCTTGATCAGAGGTCCCCAGGGAGTAATGATGACAGGGCTCACTTATGGAGTGCAGACTGTTGATAAGAATTTGGTGTGATCTAGTTTTAAATTGCAATAAGACACAATAAGAGACAGTTACCATTAAAAAGATAGCCTCTAGTCACACAGGCATACAAACTTTGATGCAAACACCAGGTGCAGAAACTACTAAACTTCCATTTACTTTTAGGTTCAACTTTCCATTGTATCAGGGAAACAGACAAACTGATTTGGTTAAGGCCTAGTCTCACCATCCCTCATATCTCGCAAGTTACAACTTTATTATTTATGAATCTATTACTTGTAAAACAGAACTGCTTACTGAAATTTAAATTTGACATATCTTTTAGAACAGCTGGGATGAGCTTATAAAAATAAAAAGAAAAATATTAGACATATCTACAAGTTAATTACCTAAAAACAACAACAACAACAAAAAACCCTGCTTCTATTAATGTGCACTAGGAAGAAAGTAGGTCTTTGTCTGCTTTTTTTGTCAATGCTACTCTGTGTCAGTAAGCATACAAGAAGCTCCCCTGACCAGATCACTGCTGACATTCATGCCTACATATGTTCATGAGAGCAGGGGAATGACAATTCTCAAACCCCCAAACTAAACTGTTCTGGCAACTTTAGAACAAGAATCTCTTTCACCCAAAACAAACTAGGACAATAGAAACAATAGTGATCCATGGATTCTACAACATCAATCACAGACATTAACTCCTGCTTTTGAAACAGATTACAACTGTGAGTTTATTATTTTATTTTTTTTTGAGACAGGATCTCGCTCTGTCACCCAGGCTGGAGGGCAGTGGTGCGATCTCAGCTCACTACAGCTTCAACCTCCCAGGCTCAGGCGATCCTCCCAGATCAGCCTTCCAAGCAGCTGCAACTACAGGTTTGTACCAACACACCCGCTAATTTTTTTATTTTTGGTAGAGACAGGGTTTCACCATGTTGCCCAGGCTGGTCTTGAACTCTTGGGCTCAGGCGATCCTCCCTCCTTCCTTGGCCTCCCTAAGGGCTGGGACTACAGGCATGAGCTACTGAGCCTTGCAGAACTATGACTTTTTTTTTTTTTTTTTTGAGACGGAGTCTCACTCTGTTGCCCGGGCTAGAGTGCAGTGGGGAAATCTTGGCTCACTGCAACCTCTGCCTCCGGGGTTCAAGCAATTCTCCTGCCTCGGCCTCCTGAGTAGCTGGGATTATAGGCGCCCACCGCTAGGCCCAGCTAATTTTTTGTATTTTCAGTAAAGAGGGGGGTTTCACCATGTTGGCCAGGCTGGTCTCAAACTCCTGACCTCATGATTTGCCTGCCCTGGCCTCCCAAAGTGCTGGGATTACAGGCGTGAGCCACTGCGCCCGGCAGAACTATGACTTTAATCCAATATCTCCTCCAACAACCAAAGATGGAAAAAATTTTTTAATTTTTGGAATTACAAAAACAGTACTTGGGAGACTGAGGTGGGAGGATGGTTTGAGCCTGGGAGGCGGAGGCTGCAGTGAGCCAAGATTGCGCTACTGCACTCCAGCCTTGGCGACAGAGACAGACCCTGTCTCAAAACAAAACAAAACAAAACAAAAAACACAGAAGGGCTGGGTGTGGGGGCTCAAGCCTGTAATCCCAACACTTTGGGAGGCCAAGGCAGACAGATCACTTGAGTCCAGAAGTTCAAGACCAGCCTGGGCAACATGGCAAAACCCCATCTCTACAGAAAATTAAAAAAATTAGCTGGGCATGGTGGCATATGCCTATAGTCCCAGATACTCCGGAGGTTTAGGTGGGAGGATCACCTGACCCTGGGAGGTCTAGGCTGCAGTGACCCATGACTGCACCACTGCACTCCAGCCTGAGTAACAGAGTGAGACCCTGTTTCAAATTAAAAAAAAAAAAAAGGCCGGGCGCAGTGGCTCACACCTGTAATCCCAGCACTTTGGGAGGCCGAGGCGGGCGGATCATGAGGTCAGGAGATCGAGACCATCCTGGCTAACATGGTGAAACCCCATCTTTACTAAAAATACAAAAAATTAGCCAGGCGTGGTGGCGGGCACCTATAGTCCCAGCTACTCGGGAGGCTAGGCAGGAGAATGGCGTGAACCCGGGAGGCAGAGGTTGCAGTGAGCTGAAATCATGCCACTGCATTCCAGCCTGGGTGACAGAGCAAGACTCCGTCTCAAAAAAAAAAGGGAAAAAGAAAAATTGAAAAAAAAAAAAAACCAACAACAACAGTAAATAAAAACACATGGACAGCTAATGAATTTGTCTGGTCCTCCAAATAAGAAGTTGAAACAGGAGAATCTGGGCTGATTTAAAGGCAAGTAGAACTGAGGTAGATCTAGAAGAAACCATCTAATGTGAAAGTCAAAGAGGAAAGCAATACTTAATGCAGGCAGAAGAGGAATCTGGAGGCAAGGAAGCTGAGGATGAGTGACTTGTGGTGGAAGGCAAGAAATGTGCCCCAGCAATTCAGCCAGCTGCAAAAATGACTGTTTAGCCAAAGCAGCCTTGGCGCCACACACATTACACAACAAGACCACAGGGGTGCTTTCTCTGGGGAAGCTGACAACAGTGTTTGGAGCCTGTGTTTTATGAAACTGGGTTTGCCACTGAAGACTGAAGTGGAAAAGTTAATGGTTAAAAATGTCTGGATAAGGAATACACACAAGCAGAAATCTGTGTCAACTATAAAGAAAAGCTGTACTACTGGTTTCTCCCTGTCATTTTATGCTAAATAATTTTTGGCTCTTTGGGGCCTCTTCCATTATTAGAAATGAAATTTACCACTCAATAGAGAAGTAGCTATGAAGTTAACAAGTGTAAGTTAGACAAAATCTCTGGTGTCAGAATGCATTTGGAATTCTGTGACTGATGTTCTAGGGAATTTTAAGATGTCACCAGGAAGGTAAGGGCTAAATGTAATCTTGAAGGTTATGAATAATTACAGACTAGAAATACTATCTTCTGGACAAGAAGGCTCTCTCTTACCCCTCAAAGTAACCCCTTTGAAACAATCACCACCACTATTAAAAGGGATTGTAGCTAAATTTGGACACCATTTCATAAAGCCCATATATATACCAAATAACTACCACCACCCCAGAACCTGCTTCCCCCTACCTGGGATGGTGGGGAGGTGGAAAAAGAGGTGGTACACACTTCTTGAGAGTCTTCTACAGACGGGTATATTACTCCAGTGTCCTCACCAGCAGTTCTAAAGTGAAAAGAAAGAAATAATGAATTTTATGGTGGTGGCAGTCAATTTCAGAAAGGCTATAAAAGGTGATTAGATAGAGATGGGACCTGTGCTAAGAACGGTTTCACACAGTTCGTACTGGCAAGAAAGGCATGTGGAGTCCTCAATAATTTCAAACATTCCAGAGAGTGGCACTCAGAGGTTTGACAATGTTTTGTTCTTGTTTCTCATTTTTAAGACAAGGTGTCACTCTGTCACCCAGGCTAGAGTGCTGTGGCATGTCTCACTGCAGCCTTCCCAGGCTCAAGCAATCCTCCTGCTTCAGCCTCGAGTAGCTGGGACTACAGGAATGTACCACCATGCTCAGCTAACTTAATTTTTTGTAGAGACAGGGGTCTCCCTCTGTTGCCCAGGCTGGTCTTGAATTCCTAAGCTCAAGCAATCCTCCAGCCTCAGCCTCCCAAAGTGCTAGGATTACAGGTGTGAGCCACTGCATCCAGCCTGTTTTTTAAACCCAAACATCTTACCTGACCTATTATTTGAGAGAGCATTTTCTTTTCTTTTCTTTTTTTCTAAATTGGTAGACTCACTCACACCTGTAATTCCAGCATTTTGGGAGGCCGAAGCAGGCGGATCATCTGAGGTCAGGAGCTTGAGACCAGCCTGACCAACATGGAGAAACCCCGTCTCTACTAAAAATACAAAAATTAACCGGGCGTGGTGGCGCATGCCTGTAACCCCAGCTACTCGGGAGGCTCAGGCAGGAGAACTGTTTGAACCCAAGAGGTGAAGGCTGCGGTGAGCCAAGATCATGCCACTGCACTCCAGCCTGGACAACAAGAGTGAAAATCCGTCTCAAAAAAAAAAAAAAAAATTGGTAGAAACAGTGTTTCACCACATTGCCTGGGCTGATCTCCAACTCCTGGGCTTGAGCAATCCACAGATCTCAGCTTCCCAAAGTGCCGGGATTATAGGTGTTAGCCACCATGCCTGGTCTGAGAGAGCATTTTCTTAAGCCAGGCCAGTAATGGAGCCACATCTGGGTTTTCAAAGAATTATCAGTAGTAGAGACTCCACGAAACAAGTATCTAAACCCTAAAGCCAAGCCTATTCAATTTCACAAGTCTATCACATAAAGGTACTATCCTTCCTGATATACATCTAGTCTAACCCCTGTTTTCTGAGTTCTAGACCTGGAGACATTTTATTCTGATATGAAACTAATGTGCCAGATGGTAACCTGAAAACCAATTAATTTGTCAAGGATATTCCACAAATCACTGCCACTCTTCTAAGGCTCTAAGTAACTTGTAACTGAGAAAAGTCTTTTTTTTTTTTTTTGAGAAGGAGTCTCACTCTGTAGCCCAGGCTGGAATGCAGTGGTGCAATCTCAGCTCACTGCAACCTCTGCCTCCCAGGTTCAAGCAATTCTCCTGCCTCAGCCTCCTGAGTAGCTGGGATTATAGGCATGTGCTGGCATGCCCAGCTAATTTTTGTATTTTTAGTAGAGATGGGGTTTCACCAAGAAAAGTCTTATCACTAACATCAAGATCCAAAATATCCCAAGAATTTTCTGAGACAGTCTGTATATACTAAGTCTTGGTGTACCTAAGAGGGAGCAGAAAGAAGGGAAACTGGCCCATTTGATTTCTCTCCACGTGGGGTCTCCATCAGTGGCCCCCTGCCCACTGGAGAGTGAGTGCTGAGAAAAGTGTTCCATGTGCTTGTGCAGGATGGATGCTTCTGCCCAGCTGCAGTTTGGGAGAGCACCTTTTCACATTCCTCACCTGTAATTGCAGGGGTGCATGGGAGAGGAGCTGGGATAGGGACGGTCCACAAAGTGATCAATAATAATCCCCATGATAGGTGGGGTCCTCTCAAATTGCCTGTAATACAATAAGCAGATTCCAGTATTTGTTAGAATGCCTTTCCAGCCCCCACAAAGTCCTCAGAGGGCCCCTCACCTTACATCTGTTGGCAGGCACTACCAGAGCTTTAACTATCACAATCCCTAAATATAAACCACCAATCCTACGTTCTGGACAAACTGGCTCTGGGACACTCAAATTCTCCAATCTGGCAACTGCACTCTCTCTTTATTCTTCTGAAGGTACTGCTTTCAGCAAAGCTGAATTGTAGGTTTAGTCTTAAAGTTTAGGAGAAAAAAAACTTTAACATTTTCGGAAGAGTTCTTTTGGATTCCAGGGCTCTTCCTCACCTGGTAGACATGAATGCCAAGTTAATTCTGTAAGCACAAGAAAGAGTGATGGTGCCCACAGGGGTGCCCACTGTCCCAACACGAACTGTCTGGAAGCCTAGGAGAAGAGATACATTATTAGCTTCTTTTGCAGAGAATACTGACACTGCCCCCAGACCGTCTTTCCCTGAATTATTTGGCCTATTGTGTAATCTCTGGCATTATCCACTTAGCATGTTAAGTGCAGCAGCCTTAATTTCATATGTGTGTGTGTGTGTGTGTGTATGTGCGTGTATGTGTGTGTATATATAGGTTTCTTCCCTCTCAATGTATTCTATATTGAGCCAATATTGGCAAGGGAAACAGCACTCTATTTATAGATAAAGCTACCTTCAAAGAGATAAAATAACTGTTAGTTTTAAGGCCTGAGAAAGTTCTACTAACCAGCCCTGCAAAGGATACATCACATGCTAAAAAAGACAATGAAGGAGCACTAGAATGTCACACAAACACTTCAGTTTAAGAAGTAATTGCCTTCCACCCAAGCTGCCACTCCACGGCTAAGTAAAGAGCCAAGGCCTTGCAAGTGACACTTTCAACAAAGCTTTCCTGATTTTCTTGGTTTCATTTCCAATTTTTCAAAATTCTTGTTGTTCATCAGAAACATTTAACATCCTCACTGTAGAAAATTAGGAAAATATACAGTTTTATAAAGAGTAAGAAAGAAGACTGAGTTCCTGGAACTTTGGGAAAAATTATTTGGTTACCCTGGCAGATCAGGGGTAACCTGGACCACCTACCTGCATTCTCATCTTTTCTTTACTTGTATTATGCATATTAAGATGACAATCTACATATTATAACAAGTAGAAACGAAGATCATCTCTGAAGTTAGGAGAGCTCTGAACACTACGATGTTTTTCAACCGTTGATACATACCTTCTCCTAAGCCACTCAGCTGAACTTCTCCAAAATATATCCTGTATGGAAGAAAAAATAAGAAATGTTACCTGATTCTTTACTCCTAAGGGCCTCTATAGCCAAAACACGTAGAAACAAAATAAAACAAAGCCTTCCTTACTCATCTGCTCAAATACCTCTGCTGATGGAGCATTAGTAATTCCTACTACTTCAATTAAGCTACAGGCATGGAGACGTACAGAGTGGGTTGGTTAAAAAATAAGGAAAATAAGGCCAGGCACAGTGGCTCATGCCTGTGATCCCAGCACTTCGGGAGGATCACTTGAGGCCAGGAGTTCAAGACCAGTCTGGGCAACACAGCAAGACCCTGCATTGACAAAAAATAATTTTGCCGGGTGTGATGGTGCATGCCTGGAGTACCAGATAACTGGGAGGCTGAGGTGGGAGGATCACTTAAGCCCAGGAAGTTGACGCTGCAGTGAGCCAAGATTGCACCATTGCATTCCAGCCTGGGCAAAAGGATGAGACGCTGTCTCAAAAAAAGAAATGAGGAAAATAATAATTAAGTGGAAACTGCTATTTAAGTTTCTTCTCTCTGCTACTAAAATGTATTTTAAAATTATACCTACTGAGAAATAAAGAATATATAAATAAAAGTGGCCAACAGGTCTAGGATTGCTACTAGAAGGCACTGGTTTTGTTTTGTTTTGTTTTGTTTGAGACGGAGTCTTGCTCTGTCACCCAGGCTGCAGTGCAGTGGCATGATCTCGGCTCACTGCAACCTCCAGCCTCCTGGGTTCAAGCGATTCTCCTACCTCAGCCTCCCAAGTAGCTGGGATTACAGACGCATGCCACCACGCCCGGCTGTTTTTTTGTTTGTTTGTTTTGCTTTTTGAGACTGAGTCTCACTCTGTCGCCCTGGCTGGAGTGCAGTGGTGCAATCTCGGCTCACTGCAAGCTCCGCCTCCCAGGTTCATGCCATTCTCCTGCCTCAGCCTCCCGAGCAGCTGGACTACAGGTGTCCGCCACCGCGCCCGGCTAATTTTTTGTATTTTTAGTAGAGACGGGTTTTCGCCGTGTTAGCCAGGATGGTTTCGATCTCCTGATCTCGTGATCCGCCCGTCTCAGCCTCCCAAAGTGCTGGGATTACAGGCGTGAGCCACTGCGCCCGGACCTGTTTTTTGGTTTTTTTTGAGACAGTGTCTCGCTCTGTCGCTCAGGCTGGAGTGCAATGGCACCATCTTGGCTCACTGCAACCTCCACCTCCTGGACTCAAGCGATTCTTGTGCCTCAGCCTCCCAAATGGCTGGCACTACAGGTATGCGCTACCATGCCTGGCTAATTTTTGTATTTTTGGTAGAGACAGGGTTTCGCCACATTGCCCAGGCTGGTCTTGAACTCCTGAGCTCAAGTGATACACCCGCCGTAGCCTCCCAAAGTGCTGGGATTACAGGTGCAAGCCACCATGCCTGGCCTGTTTTTCGGGTTTTTTAAAAATAATTTTTGGTAGAGACAGGGTCTAACTATTGCCCAGGCTGGTTGCAAACTCCTGGCCTCAACTGTTTTTTTTGAGACAGGGTCTCAGTGTGTTGCCCATGCTGGAGTGCAGTGGTATGACCACTGCCCACTGCAGCCTCAACCTCCTGGGCTCAAGAGATCCTCTCACCTCAGTCTCCTAAGCAGCTGGGACTACAGGCACGTGCCACCACACCCAGCTAAGTTTTTTTATTTCTAGTATAGACAGGGTCTCGGTGTGTTGCCCAGGCTGGTATCGAACTCCTGAACTCAAGCGATCCTCCCACCTCATTCTCCCAAAGTGCTGGGATTACAGGTGTGAGCCACTGCCCCTGGTCCTGGCCTCAAATTATTCTCCCACTTCAGTCTCCCAAAGTGCTGGGATCACAGGCATGAGCCACCATACCTGACCAGAATGTACTAGAGTTTGATAAGTGGTCTTTAGTTGTGGGAAGCTCTCTTTTACATATATATATATATATATATATATATAAAATTTTAAAAATAGTAGTGATGAGGTCTTGCCATGTGACCCAGGCTGGTCTGAAACTCCGGGGCTCAAGCAATCCTCCCACCTCAGCCTCCCAAAGTGCTGGGATTACAGGTGTGAGCCAACTGTGCCTGGCCATGAAGAAATCTCTAAGTAGATGGCTTAACAAAGCAGGAAATCTTTTCCACCGTGGAATAATGAACTAGGTAAGACTATTCTGAAAAAAAAAAATAAAAACATAAACACAGTGGAACCTTCCTATGATTCTCCCTGGACAGGCCAGTCTATATTAGCAAAAAGTTTGAATTCAAAATACCTAAAATCTATTTTCATATTTTTCAAGTAATATTGTTAAAATTAAATATACACATGGGTTTATTCAATAAATACTAAGCTCCAACAATGTATGAAGAAGCTTCGCCAGGCGCGGTGGCTCACGCCTGTAATCCCAGCACTTTGGGAGTCTGAGGCGGGTGGATCATGAGGTCAGGAGATCGAGACCATCCTGGCTAACATGGTGAAACCCCGTCTCTACTAAAAATACAAAAAATTAGCCGGGCGTGGTGGCGGGTGCCTGTAGTCCCAGCTACTCGGGAGGCTGAGGCAGGAGAATGGCGTGAACCTGGGAGGCGGAGCTTGCAGTGAGCCGAGATTGTGCCATTGTACTCCAGCCTGGGCAACACAGCGAGACTCCGTCTCAAAAAACAAAAAAAAAAAAAAGAAGCTTCATGGTTAGATGTTAGGAATGAAATAAGGATAAATCTGAATCCTAGGTCTTACAGACTACAGTTTTGTATGAAAGAAAAGAAATGTAGCTGGACATGGTGGCTCACGCCTGTAATCCCAGCACTCTGGGAGGCCGAGGTGGGCGGATCAATTGAGGTCAGGAGTTCAAGACCAGCCTGGCCAGCATGGTGAAACCCCATCTCTAATTAAAATACAAAAATTAGCCAGGCGTGGTGGTGCATGCCTATTAATCCCAGCTACTTGGAAGGCTGAGGCACGACAATCACTTGAACCAAGGAGGTGGAGGTTGCAGTGAGCCAAAATCGTGCCACTGCACAGCCTAGGTGAGCAAGACTCCACCTCAAAAAAAAAAAAAAAAAGAAAAGAAATGAAATGTATGTAAATATCTGAAATACAAAGCACAAAAGTACTACAGATACGACAGACAAAAGATACTAAAAAAGCAGGGATCAGCAAACCTTTCTGTAAAGGACCAAATGGTAACTATTTTAAGATTGTGGGCCGTATAGGCTATAACAAATACTCAGCTTTCTGTTGTATTGCAAAAGTAGCCATAGACAATATGTAAACAAAGGGGATGGCTGTGTCCTAAAAAAACTTTTTTTATAAAAACAAGCAGATGGTCGGCTGACCATAGTTTAGTGACTCCTGCCATAAAGTAATATAGGAACAATGTTAATAAAGTGTTGGTAAAAGAGATCTTGCTAAGTAAATACCCTTTAAGGCCTTTAACAAGAAGCTGAGACTCAGGCAGTTCACTATTCATGTAAATACTGATACAGTGCTTAAAATTTGCTAAACTTTTTCTTGGCAATGTGTATTTTTTTGAGACAGAGTCTTGCTCTGTCACCCAGGCTGGAGTGCAGTGGTGTGATCATGGCTCACTGAAGCCTTGACCTTCTGGACCCAAGCAATCCTCCCTCAGCCTCCTGAGTAGCTGGGACTACAGATGTGAACCACCACACCTGGCTAATTTTTTACATTTTTAGTAGAGACAAGGTATCACTATGTTGCCCAGGCTGGTCTCGAACTCCTGACCTCAGGTGATCCTCCTGCCTCGGCCTCCCAAAGTGCTGGGATTATAGGCGTGAGTCACTACACCTGGTCAAGACTATTCTTTAATGGTATCACGCTGTTAACCTTCTAACAACAGTATAAAAAGCAGGTGGAAAAGCCAAGTCTACCTCTGAGATCACCCACATCTCTAGATCTAAGCTACAGTTATTTGTATCCAAAAGCACTCCTAAATGATCAACATCCTGTGAGCAGCACTAGTTTGTTTGGGTTTTTTTGAGATACAGTATAGCCCTGTCACCCAGGCTGGAGTGCAGTGGTGTGATCTTGGTTCCCTGCAACCTCCGCCTCCTGGGTTCAAGTGATTCTCATGCCTCAGCCTCCCGAGTAGCTGGGATTACAGGAGCGTGCCACCCTGCCCAGCTAATTTTTTGTATTTTTAGTAGAGACAGTGTTTCGCTATGTTGTCAGGCTTGTCTCGAACTCCTAACCTCAAGTGACCACCCACCTCAGCCTCTCAAAGTGCTGGGATTACAGCCGTGCGTCCGGCCCCTGTGAGCAGTAATGATTACTCCAGAGATACCTAATAAAGGAACACTTTAAACACTGGTATGAAAAGGACTAGCAGTCCTAGGTAACTAAGCCGATGATTTTAGTAGGGTATCTTTCTAATATATCTCAATAGAAGTCTAGCAATTTTCAAATAAAACAACTTGAAACCAGAAGACTACGGAGAAGACGGCAAAAATTTATTAAAGACCTAGAAAAATAGACATGGTTAGGCTTGCTAGGATATTGCTAAGAAAGTTAAAGGAAATGACAACTATTCTCAGGTACCGGATTATTTCAACAGAACTAGATAAGTCTCTCCTCCTTTGGTCCCTCTATCTTGCTATACTATTCGTCTAAAAATCAGCTCTATACATGTAAGGCAAAGGCTTAAACCAATGGCTTATCACTAAATACAAAAGAAAGGCATCTTTGGTAGATTTGGGACCCCAGCATTCCAAGCTCTTCTCTCACACTTTGCTACATACCCTCTACTCCACCACTCTGGTTCATCTGACAATCTGAGCAGAGCTCTGACCCTGCCCTCCACTTCTGTGCCTTGCTAGCTGCTGAACTCTCCATCTGGAATAATTATTCTCCCTCACTTTTACCAGCTCAAATTCTCTTTCCCTAATAGGCTAGCTTGAATGCTACTTCCTTCATAAGAACTGCACTGTTTACCAACCAGAACAAATTTTATCTTTCTATATTCTCTCAGTACCTTTTTTTCCTGATTCTGGTTTGCAGTTTTCAAATCCTGCTTTTTAAAAGTAATTATACATGTATCAAATTGTTTTCCTCACTACATTAAACCACCTCTAATGCTGGGCCTCTGTATAGTTCTTAAGTTCTCCTGGCACAATGCTTGCACTAAAAAGGTGCTCAATAAATGTGCTGAGGTGAAATGCTCCAAGGAAAATACTCTGTTGACCCATTCTTTATATCCACAGACAACTAATTAAAAACTTAAACTGAGTTAACAGTTTGTTAGACAAAGTTTTAATTTAACCCTGGAATACAGAAAACTGTGGAATCTTCCCAGTATAGACTGTTTTTCAAAGTCTTGACTTCCAGGCCGGGTGCCGTGGCTCACACCTATAATCCCAGCACTTTGGGAGGCTGAGGCAGGCAGATCACAAGGTCAGGAGCTCGAGACCAGCCTGGCCAATATGGTGAAACCCTGTCTCTACTAAAAATACAAAAATTAGCTGAGCATGGTGGCGGGTGCCTGTAGTCCCATCTACTCGGGAGGCTAAGGCAGGAGAATCACTTGAACCCGGGAGGCAGAGGCTGCAATGGGCCAAGATCGCGCCATTGCACTCTAACCTGGGCGATGGAGCGAGACTCCGTCTCTAAATAAATAAATAAATAAAACTCTTGACTTCCTTCCCTAGCTCTAAGATGTTTATCACTAGGACCTCAACATCCATTCCACAGGAATCACGATTGTGCATATAGAAAAGGATAATAAACCTGGTGGCTTTGGAAGGGTGAGGTTCATAAGGCAGGCTGGATAGTGATCACATGAAAGCGACAGCATCAATAATCCAACAAACCAACCAACTGTCCAAAACATCATCACAGAACATCTAAATGCCAGACAATGTACAAAGTGAGGGGGTTGATGAGTGAATCAAGATGACCATCTATGCTGTTTACCTGTATAATATGACATATTCATGCCCTTGTTTCCTGGAGAGCCTATAGGCTGGTGTCACCCTAGTTATAGCAAGAAGGGACTTCAGCAGCAATGACAGTCTGTTGTACACCGTGTAGGAAACTTTGATTTCTTTATCACACCTGCCAGGCACAAAGATATGGTCAGCATTCTTCTATTTAGCGCTGGAGCTACACAAGACCAAATTTATTATTAAGACATGTTCTGACTAACCAGAGAACTCTAATTACACCTTTATCAACAGATTACTGAGGTAAGCCAATGTTTTACTTTCTCATGTACTAGACACAGGCAAATGAGCACCAAAAGGCACCCAATATATTTTTTCTAGCTTCAAAGTGGTTATTTTTTTTTTAGAAATAAAGCAGCACATCTGAAAACATATAAATAAATAAATACTGCAATTATATACACTGAAGGTGCAAACATGTACTATCCTATGAGCTGTCTATCTCGATAATCTAACAGAAGTCTGCAGAAAAGTCAGCTTGGCTCTAAAATTTTGGGTCATAACCTGGCAATTGCATTTATTCAATAAAGAAAATTAATGTCCACCACATATACTTATCACTAAGATTTTTCTTTTGATGTGTTGATGTTTCCTCAATTTTCCTATATACTCTTGTTGAAAACTGAAGCTTCAGGCAAGAGATAAGCTAATCTGCCTTGAAAGAAGAAAATGGGGAAAGGAAATAACATGCATTTCCAATCCATGACCCATACAGTCTGTAAAAAGGAGCAGGGAGGGGAAATCTTATTGGATGGCTGCCACACAGAAAACAGACAAAACAGAGTAGTCATATTACAAGAGCTCGCAAGGGATTTAATCAGAGAACTAGCTGTACTCTGGGAAAACAACAAAGCCTTTTCAGCTTTTTCTGCTGCTCCTTTCCCTGTAGTATCTGAGTCTCTCTGGACTGATGTTCCCTCTGAAGGTCATCTCTGTGTCCAGGCTGGAAGCCAAGGATGAAGCAAATTGTAGCAAAGACCTATTGGCTTTGTTAAGTGGTCAGAATGCCCTCCCTGACTCTGAAAACAAAGCCCTGCTTTTCACATGATGTCATCTACTTTATCCTCAGCAACCACAACCAAGGACCCTAAGACGCAGCACTTACTTTTCATTCATTTCAAGACACCATATTTCCAGCTCCATGGAATCTCCCTGTAGAAAGGACAAATTTAAAATATTTGTTTAAAAAATTTTTAATTTCAAAGCATTACAGTCACTATAAAAATATTAAAAGGTATAGATAAGCAAAAAAAAAAGAATAGATATCAACTTATAATCGAACAAGCCTCTTCTCTAAATAAAAGGGCAATCACAGTCTATATGCTATTTTGATGACTTGTTTTTTCTTAATAAATACGTCATGGAATTTTCCTTATAATTAAAAATTCTAAATCATTTAAAATGGTTCCACAGTATCCCACCATATGACTATCATTTTATCCAACCAGTCCTCCAATTCTTGGACATAAAGGTTGTTTCTCTCTCTCTCTTTTTTTTTTTTTTTTTTTTTTAAAGACAGAGTCTCACTCTGTCGCCCAGGCTGGAGTGCAGTGGTGCAATCTGGGCTCACTGCAAGCTCCGCCTCCCGGGTTCACGCCATTCTCCTGTCTCAGCCTCCTAAATAGCTGGGACTACAGGCGCCTGCCATCACAGCCAGCTAATTTTTTGTATTTTTAGTAGAGACGGGGTTTCACATGTTAGCCAGGATGATCTGGATCTCCTGACCTGGTGATCTGCCTGCCTTGGCCTCCCAAAGTGCTGGGATTACAGGCGTAAGCCACTGCGCCCGGCCAAGGTTGTTTCTTTATTCTTTTTTGGGGGTATCTTCATCTTAGTGTGAACATAAAGGTTGTTTCTAATTTTCATTACTGCAAAAATTGTGATAAACAACCTTGAGACTAAAACTTCTCCCACAAACTCAATTAATTTCTTTGGGAAAATTTTCAGAATTACAATTGCTGGGCCAGGCATGGTGGCTCACGCCTGTAATCCCAGCACTTTGGGAGTTGTACTAAAAATACAAAAATTAGCTGGGCGTGGTAGCGGGTGCCTGTAGTCCCAGCTACTCAGGAAGCTGAGACAAGAGAATCGCTTGAACCCAGGAGGGGAAGGTTGCAGTGAGCCAAGATCGTGCCACTGCACTCCAGCCTGGGCAACAGAGCAGGAAAAAAAAGTGCTGGGGGGGGTGGGGTTAAGTAATTTGGCTAAAGTCACTCAGCTGGGATTGAACTTGGCTCTGTGTAGCTCCAAATTCTATTTACCTTTCATTATACCATACAGCCTTATAATCTATCAGTGAAAATACATTGAAACAGTATCTGCATCAATCCTAATGTGAAATAAGGCAAGCAAAAACATTTTTTAAAACTCACAATACAGGCTGGGCAAAGTGGCTCACTCCTATAATCCCGGCACTTTTGGAGTGTGAGGCAGGAGGATCAGTTGAGGCCAGGAGTTTGAAGCTGCAGTGAGCTATAAGCAGAACTGCACTCCAGCCTGGGCAGTACAGGGAGACCCTGTCTCTACAAAATTTTTTTTTTTTTTTAAACATTAGCCATGTGTGGTGGTGCAGCATATACTCCCAGCTACTTGGAAAGGCTGAGGTGGGAGGATCCCCTGAACCTAGGAATTTGAGGCTGCAGTGAGCCATGACTGCGCCACTGCACTCCAGCCTGGGTGACAGAGTGAGACCCAGTCTCAGAACAATAGCAGGCTGGGCATGGTGGCTCAGGTCTGTAATCTTAGCACTTTGGGAGGCCCACGCAGGTGGATCACCTGAAGTCAGGAGTTCGAGACCAGCCTGGCCAACATGGTGAAACCTCGTCTCTACAAAAAATACAAAAAATAGCCAGGCATGGTGGCACGCACCTGTAATCCCAGCTACTCGGGAGGCTGAGGCACGAGAATCGCTTGAACCTGGGAGGCGGAGGTTGCAGTGAGCTGAGATCATGCCACTGCGCTCCAACCTACGCGACTCTGTCTCAAAAAAAAAAAACAAAAAAAAAAAACAAAAAAAACAAAAACCCAAAAAGCAACCACCACCACCACCCAGCAAGTCACACTCTAGAAACAAATATAAACAAAGCAGCATATGAAGTCTAAGTTAAGACTGCAGTTATATCTCCCATTAAAAGGGGGAAAGTTTCTAGAGCACGCGAGTCTTGAAGGATGAGCAGAAGTATGTCATGTGAACAAGAGGGTAAAGACCCTATACCAAGTGGTTGGAATAATAAGTTCAAAAACCACGACCCCTGTAATCCCAGCACTCTGAGAGACTGAGGCAGGCAGATCGCTTGAGCTCAGGAGTTTGAGACCAGCCTGGGCAACATGGTGAAACCCCATCTCTACAAAAAATACAAAAACTAGCTGGGCATGGTGGTGCATGCCTATAGTCTCAGCTACTCAGGAGGCTGAGGTGGGAGGACTGTTTGAGCCTAGGAGGTCGAGGCTGCAATGAGCCATGATTGTGCCACTGCACTCCAGCCTGGGTAACTGAGCAAGACCCTGTCTCAAAAAACAAAACAGGCCAGGCGCAGTAGCTCACGCCTGTAATCCCAGCACTTTAGGAGGCCGAAAGTGGGCGGATTACCTGAGGTCAGGAGTTCAACACCAGTCTGGCCAAAATAGCAAAACCCTGTCTCTACTAAAAATAAAGAAACTAGCTGGGCATGGTGGTAGGCTCCTGTAATCCAAGCCACTTGGGAGGCTAAAGCAGCAGAATCGCTTGAATCCAGGAAGCGGAGGCTGGAGTGAGTCAAGATCGTGCCACTGTACTCCAGCCTGGGCAACAAGAGTGAAACTCTGTCTCAAAAACAAAAACAAAAACAAAAAACAAAAAACAGGGTGGGTGCAGTGGCTCACCCTTGTAATCCCAGCACTTTGGGAGGCCAATGCGGGCGGATCACAAGGTCAGGAATTCGAGATCAGCCTGACTTAACATGGCGAAACCTTGTCTCTACTAAAAATACAAAAATTAGCCAGGCATGGTGGCATGTACCTGTAATCCCAGCTACTCAGGAGGCTGAGGCAGGAGAATCACTTGAACCTGGGAGGCAGAGGTTGCAGTGAGCCGAGATCGCTCCACTGCACTCCAGCCTGGGCGACAGATCGAGACTCAGTCTCAAAAAAACAAAACAAAACAAACAAACAAAAAAGAACAAAAAAAACTATGACCCCCTCAGAGAATGATAAGAATATCAGAGAGGAAAGGGGCAGGAATAAGACTGAGAAATGAACTGGACTCAGAGTGTGAGGAGCCTTCAGTGCTAAATGAAGACACCAACCTGGCCATAGCCTTACCTCAGAAGTCTTAAGTGAAATCTCCACACACATGGACCTCCCGACTGCAGGCAGCTGTCCTGCCAGTGCCTTCTTTGCTTCATGTGTAACCTCTGGGATGTCTTTGATTGCTAAGTTGAACTGGAAAACAAAAGGGACTTTTGCATGAAACACTCACAGGAACATTATGGAAAAAGAAATTAGTGTATGCTGGGTAATGCAAGTATTGCTGTGGCTGATTAAGGAAGACAATTCATTCACTTCTCCCTTCCCCATAAGGGATAATCCTGCATCAAAGCCCCAAATCTCAAGTTGAAAAAGGTAATTATCATTACAAAAATTAGCTAAGACACAATTTTTATCTTACAAGGACTAAGCTTTTCATCTATCACAGCAGAAAGTTAAGAACCAAATAAATTCAGGATTAACATACAATAAGAACAACCTTTTCAAGTAAATGGATCAAATGGAATTAGATATTTTACTTTTATAATACTATAAATGGTATTACTTATTATTGCACTTGAGAACTTTACACATTCCTTGTGACAAACACTACAGTATACACCTTAGTAAATAATAGAATTTTACCCAATCTGAACCCGTTGGAGAAGATGATGAACGAGTGCAAATCTTTTCACCAAGCCGAGCCTGGACAATCACTTGGACAGTCTAAAGAAAAAAAAAACACAAAAGAAATCCTAAAATGATGAAAAGTCTTAGACTAATCTGGCTCCCGATCAGGGTTAAAATCCTCCCAATACAGAGTTTAAAAGATGCCAATTAATCATAAGTATACTTTGGGAAACAGTATAATTTTAATTTTTGAGAACAGAAAAAACACCACATACAAAAAATAACTTTATAAACATTCCTGAGGGTACAGTGTCAACCAATGAAAGGAATTACAGGTTGAGGCTTGGAAACTGTAATATTCTCATATGGCAGAAGGAAAGCTGAGCATGGTGGCTATGATGTTCATAAAGAAACGTGTCCAACTGTGGTTTTAAATATTCCCTGCCACAAACTTATAACACCATGGTAGATTTAAAACAAAAATTCCACAATTATTCATATCATTTGGCCCATATGGCAAAAGTCTTCCACATAATTTTACAACTAAAATCAACTACATGGATTGTTCTAGCATGGCAATGGTTGAGAGGAGTGACATAGGTAGAAATGATTTTTAGATTTAGGAAAATATGGCATTCAAAATTCAATTTTAATTCCTCATTTACCAGGAAGGGAAGAATATATAAAAGTTGAACATTTCAGGATTACTTGAAACTTAAGGAAAGATGTCCAAAATGCTGCCCATTCCAGCTGATGGTCTTTGTTCCCACCCAAAGGGAACATACTGTGCCAATAACCTGGCATAACAGTTTGACATTTCTGCAAACAGACTTGCAAAAAAAAAAAAAATTTTTTTTTTGAACAAGTAGCTGTGGAAAATTGGAAGCTACATTTTAGCTACACCCCCAATACCGCCCCCATACCTCACAGTTTGGTTGACAACAGACAGAAGTATCCCTTAAAATGGGCAAGCTGCAAGCTGTTATGCTACTTTCCAAAGAGAGTTGTTCGCAAAAGGGAGAAGCACGGAAGTTATTTCTAACAGTTCTAGGCTCAAGAGAATGGACACATTACCTTGAGGGCAAAAAATTTAATAAACTTGTCCAGGTCCTTTCTGTCCTGGGAATTGAGATCAGTTTCCATTGCCTATAGGAATCTAAAAAAAAAAAGTGAAAAAAATATGACTAATATCTTTAAAAAGGCATTGATACATCAAAGCATACAGAGATGGTATTGTCTACTAGCCTAGGAATAATCATGTGGGAGTGGGAGGAAAAAAATTTCCTTTAACTAAAGATACCAAAGTGAAAAATACTGAGATACTATCTCTTGAGGAAAACAGATTCCACACTGAGCTACATCTAGGAACCTAAAAAATGAATGAGAACATTTTACCTGATTCTGAAACTTTGAGCTTTAATTATCCATTCAAAATTATTTCATCATCCAGCAGATTCAGGACTAAATTTTAATGAGACATAAACTTTGCTGAACACACATTAGTTAATTTATATTCCTTCAAAGGCCACTAAATCAATTTAACTTTGGGGAGTTATGGGCTTTTGAGAATCTATTGACAAAAGCCCTTTCTCCAGAAAAAAACATACATATAGGAATGTTTGCATATAATTTCATGGGGATTCATGGATTTCATGAAACACACCATGAATGCCCTCCCTGGCTGGCCGCTATGGGTCATGCCTGTAATCCCAACACATTGGGAGGCCAAGGCAGGAGGACTGCTTGAGCCAAGGAATTTGGACCAGCTTGGGCAAGATCAACATGGTGAGACCCGGTCTCATTTAAAAAAAAAAAAAAAAAAGCCCTCCCAGGTTGAAATGATTTGAGATGATTTGAGAGAAAGAATGCATTTAGAGAGAGACGAGCATGAACAAAGAGGTATAAACAATACAGAGCAAATTAGGTTTAGAAATATTAAGTACTCCAGTTTTCTCCAGTTTTCCAAAGGATTGAGTATAGTTGGAAAATGTTAATGGACGTCCTGAGCCAGCAGATAAAATAGACTCCCGCAGCTGAGGGGTGTCATGTTTAAAACAGAACAAGATGGCCATAGCTGGGGGACCAAGTAGTCATGTACTCTTTGTTCTCAAAAACATGTATAAAAGTAGTAGAAGACCTCCCTTTTTACAATCAAGCTGTTGTTGATTGGACACGTTGTTGGAGCTGTTGATCCCAAGCTAAACTGGGCAAGAACCGCCAACCCCCAACCCCTGAACTCCCTCAATCAGCCGTTTGAAACAAATGTCTGAGAGACCTCTGGTTTTGGGCCTGGAAACTAACCAATCAGGGGTCAGCTGTATCAACCAATCAGAACTCGGCTATGCTGACCAACCAGAACTAGGCAAGTTTCAATCCTTCCTTTGCATAAACAGACCTGACTCTGAACCTAGGCACTATAAAACCTGCACCCTCCCTTTGTTCTGCCAGGTTACAAACTGTTCACTGGGATAAAGTCTCTTTCCTCCAAATTCCTTTGCAGAGAACTTTTGTTCACAGGAAGTAATACAGCTGGTTGGGGCCAGACCATGAGCATCTTGAATACAATCAGCGTCTAGAAGCCAGATCTGCACCTAGTGTGCGAGACAGGGGAGCCCACCCAAGGCTTTTGACGAGAGGAAGTGACACAATCAGAGTGGTAACAACATCCTGAATGGTGCTTTAGAAAGATAGCTTTACGGGCATAATGCAGAACACTTTTGAGTATGAAAAATGGGGAAATCAGTTAGGTCCTTGGCAATAATTAAGGATTGTGATCAAGGCATGATCTAGCATAGGCATGATTGGGTGATATTTTAAAGGAAAAGCTGAAGGCCAGGCACGGTGGCTCACGCCTGTAATCCTAGCACTTTGGGAGGCCGAGGAGGGTGGATCACCTGAGGTTAGGAGTTTGAGACCAGCCTGGCCAACATGGTGAAACCCGTCTCTACTAAAAATGCAAAAATTAGCTGGGTGTGGTGGCACACGCCTGTAATACCAGCTACTTGGGAGGCTGAGGCAAGAGAATTGCTTGAACCCAGAAGGCAGAGGTTGCAGTGGGCTGAGATTGCGCCACTGCACTCCAGCCTGGGTGGCAGAGTGAGATTCCATCCAAAAAAAAAAAAAAAAAAAACCCACAAAAATAAAAAAACAAGGAAGAGCTGATAAGATTTAATGACTGACTTAAGAAACAGGACAAAGGAGTAGCAGAGTTTTAAACATGGATAACTGAGAAGCTAGAGTTTCATTTAACAAAAACAGGGAAGCCAGACTGGGAAAAGATTTTAAGGAAAAGAATAAACAAAAGGAGAGCTGAAAGAGGAAATAATGGGTACACGTTAAATTTTTTTTTGGTCGGGCACGGTGGTGCACACCTGTAATCCCAACAGTTTAGGAGGCTGAGGCAGTTGGATCACTTGCAGGATCACAGACCAGGAGTTGGAGACCAGCCTGGACAACATGGCACAACCCGTCTCTAATCAAAATACAAAAAAATTTAGCCAGGCATGGTGGCACATGCCTGTAGTCCTAGCTACTCGGGAGGATGAGGTGGGAGAATGGCCTGAGCCCTGGAGGTCAAGGCTGCAGTGAGCCATGGGCAGTGAGCCATGGGTGCTCCACTGCACTCCAGCCTGGGCAACAGGAGTAAAAAACTCTGTCACGAAAAAAAAAAAAAATCAGGTATAACTTAGATGCACTGAAATGCACAAATCTTGGGTGTACAGGTCAATAAATATTTTTATATGTATACACCCATATAACCACAATCCAGATACAGTTATAGAACATATCCAATATTCTAGAAGGTTCCATTACACCCCTCTCAGTCTATAAATCCACCAAAAGGAAATAATTACTGATTTATATCACCACAGATTAGTTTGGGTTGTTTTGAATTTCTTACAAATATAATCAATAATACTAACTTTTTTGTGTGTGGCTTTTATTCAACATTATGTCTATAATACAATTCATCTATATTGTTGGATGTAGCAGCAGTTTATTCTTTTTCATTGCTTCATAGTACCCTATCTCATGAATATAACGTAATATTAAAAATAAATTCTAGGCCGGGCACAGTGGCTCACGCCTGTAATCCCACCACTTTGGGAGGCCGAGGCGGGTGGATCACAAGGTCAGGAGTTCAAGACCAGCCTGGCCAAGATGGTGAAACCCCGTCTCTACTAAAAATACAAAAATTAGCTGGGTGTGATGGTGGGCACCTGTAATCCCTGCTATTCAGGAGGCTGAGGCAGAGAACTGCTTGAACCCAGGAGGCAGAGGTTGCAGTGAGCCGAGATCGCACCACTGCACTCCAGCCTGGGCAATGGAGCAAGACTCCATCTTAAATAAATAAATAAAATTCTACTGATGATAAACATTTGAGTTGTTTCCTGTTTTTAGCTATCATATTCTTATATGTGTCTTTTGGTGGATGTAAACATTCACTGCTATCAGAGACAAAGTCAGGAATGTTAATGGTGGGTCACTGAGTACACGGTACGTATGTTTAGCTTAAACAGACACTGCCAGAAAGGTTTAAAGTATCTGTACCAGTTCACAGTCCAGCAGCGTTCAAGTGCTCCAGTTGCTATAAATCTATACACCACTTGGTAATACTTATTCTTTAATTTTAGCCATTCTGGTAAAGATAGTAGTATCTGGTAGTATCTCATCTAATCTGCATTTCCCTGATGACTGAAATTTCCCCTATTAGCACCTTTTCATGTGCTTATTAGCAATTTGGATATCCTATCTTATTGTTGTATTTTTTAATTTTGTGAGACAAAATCTTGCTCTGTTGCCTAGACTGGAGTGCAGTGGCACGATCGCAGCCTCAATCATCCAGGCTCAGGCAATCCTCCTGCCTCGGCCTCCGAGTAGCTGGAAACAGAGGCTCTAGCTAAGATATCTTCTTTTGTGAAGTGCTAGTTTAAGCCTTTTGCCCATTTTTACCATTGGGTTTTCTTTTCCTTACTGAAGTTTTAAACATATATTCTGGATACAAGTACTTCGTTGGATATACATACTGCAAATATCTTCTCCCAGAGGTGGCTTGCCATTCTGATGGAACCTATTTTTTATTTTTTAACAAGAGACTGAATATACTAACAGACAGTGGCTATGAAGCCATTCTTAGAAGATTAACAAGAATTCTGGACAGAAATATAATTAACCATTAATCACGCTGTACTTTGACCCACTTCCTTGTAACCATTTGCATCCCTACTGTTCTACAGACAGGCTCCCTGATGTTAGAATCATAAGACTTTTGTTTAAGAATTGCTTAAATACATGGGCACAGTGGCTCATGCCTGTAATCCCAGTACTTTGGGGGGCCAAGATGGGAGAATCACTTTAGTCCAAGAGTTTGAGACCAGCCTGGGCAACATGGTGAAACCCCATCTCTAGGAAAAAAAAATATAAAAATTAGCTGGGCATGGTAGTCCCAGCTACTCAGGAGGCTGAGACAGGAGGATTGCTTGAGCCTGGGAGGCAGAGACTGCAGTGAGCTGAGATCGTGCCACTACACTCCAACATGGGGGACAGAGCAAGACCCTGTCAAAAAAAAAAAAAAAAAAAATTGCATAAGCAGATCCTGAAGTACAGCAGAATAGCTGACACCAAACAGTTTAAAGGCCCCCCCACAGAGAAACCAAACCAGTGTAAGAATATAGCTTCTTCATCTCTCTGTGCCATGACTTTACCCTGCATACTTTGACCAATGATCTCCACACTTCAGCCCACTCTCAAACTCTTAAATTGAAACTCTACCCACAAACTCCCTGGGAGGCGGATTTGAGGGTTCCTCCTGTTTCCTGTTTTGGCAACCCTACAATTAAACCTCTTTTCTCTGCTGCAACCCAGTGTCTCCGCATACTCACTTGCTGCACGAAATGAACAATGGACCTGTTACAGTTACAGCTGGGCAATATATATATATATAAAGACAGAATTCTGACCCACAACCTGAAGCAACCAGCCCAAGAAGCCAACCTACTATCTACACTAATGAGTCAATGAAGTCAGACTATCTCTAGCAACTAGTCCAGGAAGCCAACAATAACCACTATGACAATTGGCCCAATTCACAATAGCCAAGATACAGAATCACCCTAAATGTCTATCAACGAAGATAAAGAAAATGTGGAAGCTGGGCATGGTGGCTCACGCCTATAATCCCAGCACTGTGGGAGGCCAAGGTAGGCGGATCATGAGGTCAGGAGTTCGAGACCAGCCCAGCCAACATAGTAAAACCCTGTCTCTACTAAAAATACAAAAAAGTAGCCAGACATGGTTGTGGCGCCTGCAGTCCCAGCTACTTGGGAGGCCGAGGCAGGAGAATCACTTGAACCCGGGAGGCAGAGGTTGCAGTGAGCCGAGATTGCACCACTACACTCCAGCCAGGGCAACAGAGCGAGACTCCTTCTCAAAAAAAAATAAATAAATAAATAAATAAAAATCAGCCGAGTGTGGTGGCACATGCCTGTAGTCCCAGCTACTTGGAAGGCTGAGGTGGGAGAATGGCTTGCACCTGGGAGGCGGAGGTTGCAGTGAGCCAATACCACAACATTGCACTCCAGCCTGGGTGACAGAGTGAGACTCTGTCTCAAAAAACAAACAAACAAAAAAAGAGGAATATATATATCATGGAAATTAGCCACAGAAAAAGAGTAAAATCCTGTCATTTGCAGCAACATGAATGAACCTGGAGAGCATTATGTTAGGTGAAATAAGCCAGGCATGGAAAGACAAATACTGCATGATCTCACTCGTGGAATCTAAGATGTTGTTATTAAAGTAGTAGAGAGTAGAATAGGAGTTACCAGAGGATGGGGAAGTAGGGTGTAGGTTGATGGTGAGAAATTGGTCAGCAGGTACAAGGCCACAGTTAGATAGGAGGAATAAGTTCCAGTGTTCTATATCATAGCAGAATGACTGGAGTTAACAATAATATATATTTCAAAATAGCAAGAGAGGTTTTTTTGTTTTGTTTTTTGAGACAGAGTCTCACTCTGTCACCCAGGCTGGAGTGCAATGGTGCGATCTTGGCTTACTGCAACTTCCGACTCCCGGGTTCAAGCGATTCTGGTGCCTCAGCCTCCCTGAGTAGCTGGGATTATAGGCATGCGCCACCTCGCCCAGCTGATTTTTGTATTTTTAGTAGAGACAGGGTTATGCCATGTTGGCCAGGCTGGTTTTGAACTCCTGGACTCAAGCAATTCACCTGCCTCAGCCTTCCAAAGTTCTGGGATTACAGACATGAGCCACCGTGCCCAGTCAAAAAAGAGGTTTTTAAATGTTCTCATCACAAAGAAACAATAAATGTTTAAGATGATGAATATGCTAATTATCCTGAATAGGTCACTACACAATTTAGACATGCATCAAAACACGAACCCCATAAATATGTATAATTATTATGTATCAATCATAAATTAAAAATGAAAACAAAAAACCATTGGCCCAAAAGAGCTAGGACTTAATACCCTACATTTTGGTCCCCACGTCCTCCAACTTAGGACCAACTGAAGAAAGCCAAATATGCACCTCCTAACCAATCACACAGGATGCCCTGCTTCTAGTCAGCCTGCCGCCAGCTGCCCTATGCCAGGAGCCTCCAATTAGGGAAAACTTGAAACCTTCCCTTTTTCCCCCACTATAAAGCTTTCCCACTCCTCTGTCCGCTTCTGAGTCTCTGCCAAATGCAAATGATAACAGCTGACTCTTTTGCTCTGAATAGCCTGCGCTTGTTCTCATCTGGGTGCTATTTCCATATGAAAAATAGTTTTGATGCACTTTGGGAAGCTGAGGCAGGCAGATCACTTGAGGTCAGGAATTTGCGACCATCCTGGCCAACATGGCAAAACCCTGTCTCTACCAAAAAAATACAAAAATTAGCCAGGAGTGGTGGTGTACACCTGTAATCCCAGCTGCTCGGGAGGCTTGGGCAAGAGAATCACTTGAACCCTGGAAAAACATTATTTTTTGAACATAAAAAAGTGCTTACCATCAAACGAAAGATTAATAAATTATTAAAATTCAGAGAAAAGAAAATACATTTTTGCTGATCTGCAAATCATGAAGATATTCTCCTGTATTTTCTTGTAGAAACATTTTGTTTTATTGCACCACTGCATCCCATCCTGGGAAACAGAGTGAGACTCCATCTCAAAATAGATCAATAAAAATAGCTGAGTTGTAGCTCTCAATAAACAGTATGTTGAAAGTATACAATTTAATAGGATTCAACACACTTATGTATGGTAAAACCATCACCAAAAACAAAATAGTGAACCCCTATAGTTCCCAAAAGTTTCCTCATGCCTCCCTTTAGCCACTCCTTAATACCCCTTATCCTTAGGAAACCTCTGATCCTTAATCTGCAGTTTGTAGAATTCTTTCTCAATGGCTGGGCGCAGTGGCTCACACCTGTAATCCCAGCACTTTGGGAGGCCAAGGCAGGCTAATTACAAGGTCAAGAGATCGAGACCATCCTAGCCAACATGGTGAAACCCCGTCTCTACTAAAAATACAAAAATTAGCTGAGGCGTGTTGGTGTGCGCCTGTAGTCCCCGCTACTCGGGAGGCTGAGGCAGGAGAATTAACACTCTAGCCTGGTGACAGAATGAGACTCCACCTCAAAAGAAAAAAAAAAACTGTATCAACTAAATCACATAGGCCCAGCGTGGCAGCTGACACCTGTAATCCCAGCTCTTTGGGAGGTTGAGGCAGGAGGATCGCTTGTGGCCCAAAGTTCAAGAACAATCTGAGCAACATAGTGAAACTCCATCTCTACCCCCAACAAAAAAAGGAAAAAAGATTAAATCATACAGTATATACTCTTTGCCTGGCTTTTTTTTTTTTTTTTTTTTTTTTGAGACGGAGTCTCGCCCTGTCCTCCAGGCTGGAGTGCAGTGGCATGATCTCGGCTCACTGCAAGCTCCGCTTCCTGGGTTCACGCCATTCTCCTGCCTCAGTCTCCTGAGTAGCTGGGACTACAGGTGCTTGCCACCATGCCCAGGTAATTTTTTTGTATTTTTAGTAGAGACGGGGTTTCACTGTGTTAGCCAGGATGGTCTCGATCTCCTGACCTCATGATCCACCCGCCTCTGCCTCCCAAAGTGCTGGGATTACAGGTGTGAGCTACTGCGCCTGGCCCTCCCAGGATAGGGATATCTAAACAAATTTATAGGGAGAGACAAGAAGTCAATGAAGGAGAAATAAAAGATGTGAGAGAGGAAATAATTATTGGAATACGATGCCACAGGATAGTCCACCGTGATCAAGAACAGGTTAATGGCCTAAAGCGATCCAAACTATAAATGACTTACCTACTGGAATCTATCATTTGTAGATCTGGCTGCATTTGAAACATATACCCACTTCAGACATTCCTAATTTTGGTTAAAAAGAACACTAACAACTGTGCCATTGTACTCCAGCTTGGGTGACAGAGCAAGGCCCTGTCTCACGAAGAAGAAAAACAAAGAAAGAAAGAAATGCGCTGCAGGATTATACTGCCCTTATCTTACACTAAAGGTAAGAATTGGATTATCACCATCAGATTATCTACCAATGCAATCATTATAACGGCACAATGGCTCCAATGACTTTTTGTACAACTGGTAGCATTGAAAGGATTATGTAACTACAGTTATTGAGCCAAAAAGGGTGCAGTCTCCACTAGGGAAAAAGTTATCTCCCAGGCCTATGTGTTCCCTTAGGTCCAGTTAACCAAGCAGTCAATTCATCCTCTACAAGATAAATGTATGTAAGGTTTACTTTACGCTTTGCTCTTTGCAAAATTCTTTCTTTGAGTGCTCCTATGAATACAAAGGTAAATTTGATACAAACATTAAAGAAACCTGCAATTGAACAACTTCCTTTTTTCTGCCCTTTGCTATTAACTATCCAGTTACTAAATCCTGCAACTCTTGCTATGCAATTTTTTAAAAAAGAGATGGGGGTCTCTCTATGTTGGCCAGGTTGGTATTGAACTCCTGGACTCAGGCAATCCTAATTACCCTGATTTGATCATTACACAATGTATATATTTATCAAAACATCACTGTATCCTATAAATATGTACAACAATTATTATGTCTTAATTAAAATAAAACTTTTAAAAGGCCAAGCTCGGTGGCTCACGCCTGTAATCCCAGCACTTTGGGAAGCTGAGGGCAGGGGATCACATGAGGTCAGGAGTTCGAGACCAGCCTGGCCAACATAGCAAAACCCGTCTCTACTAAAAATACAAAAATTAGCCAGGAGTGGTGCCGCAGCCTGTAATCCCAGCCACTTGGGAGGCTGAGGCACGAGAATCGCTTGAACTTGGGAGGCAGAGGCTGCCATGAGTTCAGACAGCACCCTTGCACTCCAGACTAGGAGACAGAGAGAAAAACCCCTACTTAAAAAAAAAACAAAAAAAACCTAGGCCAGGTGAGGTGACTCATGCCTGTAATCCCAGCACTTTGGGAGGCTGAGTCGGGCGGATCACAAGGTCAGGAGTTCAAGAAAAGCCTGGCCAATATGGTGAAACCCGGCCTCTACTAAAAATACAAAAAATTAGCTGGGTGTGCTGGCACACACCTGTAGTCCCAGCTACTGGGGAGGCTGAGGCAGGAGAATCATTTGAACCCAGGAGGCAGAGGTTGCAGTGAGCCGAGATCGTGCCACTGCACTCCAGCCTGGGTGACAGAGCAAGACTCCGTCTCAAAAAACAAACAAACAAAAAAACTAGGCTGGGCGCAGTGGATCACACCTGTAATCCCAGCACTTTGGGAGGATGAGGTGGGCGGATTACTTGAGGTCAGGAGTTTGAGACCAGCCTAGCCAACATGGTAAAACCCTGTCTCTACTAAAAATACAAAAATTAGCTGGGTGTGTTGGTGCATGCCTATAGTCCCAGCTACTCAGGAGGCTGAGTCAGGACTGCTTGAACCCGGGAGGCGGAGGTGCAGTGAGCTGAGATTGTGCCACTGTACTCCAGCCTGGGCGACAAAAACTCAGACTCAAAAAAAAAAAAAGAAAACTAAATTAAATTAAAAAGAAAAAAAGAATCCAATCCCAGCACTTTGGGAGGCCGAGGCCGGTGGATCACAAGATCAGGAGATCGCGACCATCCTGGCCAACATGGTGAAACCCCGTCTCTATTAAAAATGCAAAAAAACGTTAGCTGGGTGTGGCGGTGCATGCCTGTAATCCCAGCTACTGAGGAGGCTGAGACAGGAGAATCTCTTGAACCTGGGAGGTGGAGATTGCAGTGAGCTGAGATCGTGCCACTGAACTCTAGCCTGGCGATAGAGCAAGACTCCATCTCAAAAAAAAAGAAAAAAAAAATCCCAGGCAAACTCAGCTGAGAAAATAGGTTATGTGACTTCAAAAAGGCGATCAGAGGCCTGCTGACACTTTCAGCAAAGAGTCTAGTCACTGAAAGTGGCAAAAGGTGATCCTGTACCAAAGTCCAGGATTTCAATATTCAGGCTTAGGAAACTAAAAAATTGCTTTCATTTATTTGTGGTCTTAATGAAGTAAAAGAAACTAATTTTATTAATTCAATCAAGGTTTTGGGGACAACACAAGTTAAAAGAGACTGTTTATATAGCATATAAATATATTTTTTGGAAACAGGGTCTCACACCGTTACCCAGGCTGGAGTGTAGTGGCGCAATCATAGCTCACCGTAACCTGGAACTCCTGGCCTCAAGCAATCCTCCCACTTAAGCCTCTCGAGTAGCTGGGACTATAAACTCGCAACACCATGTGCAGCTAATTAAAAAAAATTTTTGGCCAGGCACGGTGGCTCACGCCTGTAATCCCAACACTTTGGGTGGCAGAGGCAGGCGGATCACCTAAGGTCAGGAATTCAAGACCAGCCTGACCAACACGGCGAAACCCCGTCTCTACTAAAAATACAAAATTAGCTGGGCGTGGTGGCGGGCGCCTGTAATCCCAGCTACTCAAGAGGCTGAGGCACAAGAATCACTTGAATACAGGGGGCGGAGGTTGCACGAGCCAAGATTGCGCCATTGCACTCCAGCCTAGGCAACAAGAGCAAAACTCCGTCTCCAAAAAAACAATAATTAAAAAATAAAATAAAATAAAATTTTTGGGGGCTGGGTGCAGTGGCTCACGCTTGTAATCCCAGCACTTTGGGAGGGTGAGGCAGGTGGATCATGAGGTCAGTTCTAGACCAGCCTGACCAACATGGTGAAGCCCCATCTCCACCAAAATATACAAAAATTAGCCAGGCATGGTGGCAGGCGCCTGTAATCCCAGCTACTTGGGAAGCTAAGGCAGGAGAATAGCTTGAACCCGAGAGGAGGAGGTTGCAGTGAGCCGAGATCCCACCACTGCACTCCAGCCTGGGCGACAGAGCAAGACCCCGTTGCCAAAAAAAAAAAAAAATATATATATATATATATATATATTTTTTTTTAATGGGGGTCTTGCTCTGTCGCCCAGGCTGGTCTCAAACTGCTTGCCTCAAGTGATCCTCCCACCTCCATCTCCCAAAGCACTGGGATTACAGTTGTGAGCCACTGTGCTAGGCCCATGATTCCAATTTTTGAGAAAGTAGAGAGAAAGAGATGTGTCAAGTAATAAGGATGTTATCTTTCCTAAAAAGATACTGTTTTGGGAAGTAAAATAGTACCAGATGGTTACCTGGTATCACCCCACACTATAAACTTCACACATCCTTCTCTACCACAGGGGCAAGTGGTTTTGTGGTTCTACTGCCAAAAGTCTATAGAGGTACCGGACCTGACAATGTATGTATTTGACTTTCTTCTCTTCAGACTTTGTAGACTACTTACTGCTACAATTCTTGTTACAGCCAAAATGACTGTCTACATTAAGGGTGGAGACTCCTTGATAGTATAGGTTTTAAGGCCACACATCAGCTGCTAGGAGACTAAGCCAAAGAAAAAGAGCTTTTAGGTTACCACTTACTTCAAATCAAGGCCACTTTACCTTTGAGCATTCTAGTCTCTCATTTACTTTGCAACTTTTCTGCAAGTTCTTCAAATGTCTTGCCTCTTTCCTGCTAATATGCTGAATATGTAAGTTCATGTGAGCTGCTTACTATCTTGTTATTAAAATTTTCTGTCCTAGGGATATAACCCAATTACTATGTATAATTTCAGATTTTCACAAAAAAATTTATGCAGTTCCCATTCATGAATAATTGATTAAATTTATCATGTCACTGTTTCTAAAATGCCTTAATCAGGTAAAAAAAAATTATACTCTATAATGTTCCCACAAATATTGCTATCCCTTTAAACTTCATCTACACTTATTGTCCTGTGACTTGATACTTATAGGTTTTCTTGTCTTAGAAGTAATCTCATTTAATTAAGACCTTTCTTCATGATAAGACAGTTGAGTAATAAAAACTATTTATTGGACTTTAAATAGCAATTTCAATTTTGCAACATCTCTGCACATCACTTTTGCAAATAGAAATTCCTAACAAATAACACTTTGAGGTTCCCAAAGTGTAAGAGAACATGCATAGACTTGTATCAGACTAAATGGTTGTTTTTGTTTTGAGACAAGGTCTTGTTCTGTCATCCAAGGTGGAGTGCAGTGATGCCATCATAGCTCACTGCAAGCCTGGACCTCCTGGGCCCAAGTGATCCTCCCATCTCAGCCTCTCAAGTAGCTGAGACCACAGGTATATGTCACTACACCCAACTAATTTTTTAATTTTTTGCAGAGACCTGTGGGGTGGGTCGGGTGTCTCCGTTTGTTCCCCAGGCTGGTCTTGAACTCCTGGCCTCAAACGATCCTCTCACCTCAGCCTCCCAAAGTGCTGGGATTATAGCTGTGAGCCATGGCACCCAGACCAGACTAAATGTTTTTGAACAATTACTGAAAAAACAAATTATCCCATTGTTAGATAATGCCCATAGATAATCGCTGACTTCCAAATGCTGGACAGAAGATTCTATCACACTACTTAAGTGCAAAAGATAATAATGAACGAATGGAAAACAACATTTAACTAGGTAAGCAAGTTCTCTACATCTTTTACTTACTTTTGTACTGAAATTCTAATTTTAAATAAAGAAATAGGCCAGCTTGGTGGTCCAAACCTATAATCCCAGCACTTTGGAAGCCGAGGTGGACAGATTACTTGAGCCAGGAGTTTGAAACTACAGTGAGCTATGATTGCACCACTGCACTCCAACTTAAGTAACAGAGTGAGACCCTGTCATTCATTAATTTACACTTACATACATACATACATATAGGGTTCTACTTAAATAGGCAGATAAGACATATTTATCTAAATTATCTTCCTAATCCTCAATTAAAAGCACAGACATAAAAAAGCTATAAATAAAACCCAAAGATAGAAGAAGAAATAACAAATCAAAGAAGTCAACGAAGTATTGGAAAATAAAAAGTGAATAGGCTGGGCATGGTGACTCACATAGGTAATCCCAACACTTTGGAAGGCCAAGGTGGGATGATCTCTTGAGCCCAGGAGTTTGAGACCAGCCTGGACAACATGGAGAGATTCTGTCTCTACAAAAAATAAAAATTAAAAAAAAAATTAGCCAGTTGTGGTGGCATGCACCTGTGGTCCCAGCTACTTGGGAGGCCAAGGCAGGAGGATCACTTGAGTCCAGGAGTTCAAGACCAGCCAGGGAACATAGTGACACCTTGTTTCTGCAAAAAAAGTAAGTAGCCGGGCATGGTGGCATGCACCTGTAGAGCCAGCTACTGGGAGGCTGAGGTAGGCAGATTGCTTGAGCTGGAAGGTCAAGGCTGCAGTGAGCTGTGATTGCACCACTCCACTGCATTCCAGACTGGGTCATAGAGGGAGACCCTGTCTCAAAAAAAAAAAAAAAAAGCCTCTAATTTCTTGCCAAGGCCAAGCATAAGTCTACCTATCAGCTTTCTGGATGTAACAAGCACAGTGAGAAATCAGGTAAATTGATTTTTACCATATTTATCTCCATTTGGCCTTTGTAACTGGTCCACTCACTCATCATGAAACACACAAGCGGTGTTTGGTATTTCTGAATCTGGAGCCTTCCCTGAACCTTAGCTACCTAGAACCTCCAGTCTGGAACCATTACAGGGTTCTTGGTTCAAATCAGTTCACTTCCTGTTCCAACTTCATTTCACTCCCAGGCTGCTGCTTCTTCTGCATTGTTAAACCAGTTAAAATTCCTCCTCTAGGTTTCCTTCTCCCAAAAATGTAGAGAATCTCTCCTTCTCAGCTTTTCCCATTCTATTCTTGCATGTTTACATCCATTTTATTCCTTTACTATAATTTTATATGGCTTAAAAAGAAATGGGGCCTGGTGGCACATACCTGTAGTCCCAGCTACTCAGGAGGCTGAGGCAGGAGAATCACTTGAGTCCAAGATGCTGTAGAGAAATATGATCATGACTGTGAATACCACTGCACAACAGCCTGGGCAACAGAGCGAGACCGCATCTCTTTAAACAGAAATTTGTGCCATATCCAATTCTGCCTGTTACTTAGTATCTTTGGGACGACACAGCCTTAGGAGACCAAAAATAAAATGAATAAATAAATAAATAAATAAACAGAACAGATATATGTAGTCACTCTGTCATGTTTAACCAGAAATTTGTAATCAGTCAAAAATTCATGATATTATGGAGCTTGTATTCTAACAAGGGGGAGCTGACAATAAAAATAATTAAAATATGTTTGAAAGTATTAAGTGCTTATTAAGATTAAGCAGGGTCGGCCAGGCATGGTGGCTCATGCCTGTAATCCCAGCATTTTGGGAGGCCGAAGCGGGTGGATCATCTGAGGTCAGGAGTTCGAGACCAGCCTGACCAACATGGAGAAACCCCGTCTCTACTAAAAATACAAAAATTAGCCGGGCGTGATGGCGGGCTCCTGGAATCCCAGCTACTTGGGAGGCTGAGGCAGGAGAATCGCTTCAACTCAGGAGGCAGAGGTTGCAGTGAGCTGAGATCATGCAATTGCACTCCAGCCTGGCAACAAGACTGAGACTCTGTCTCGGAAAAAAACAAAAACAAAAACAAAAACCTCCTTGTGAACACAAATAGATGAATCTCACATAATACAAAGTGAAAGCGCACACAAAAATACACACTATGAGTGTGACTGCATCTATACCATGCTCTAGAAAAGGTAAATGTAATCTCTTGTGACAGAAAACAGATCAGTATCAGACAGGTGCAGTGGCTCACACCGGTAATCACAGCAATTTGGGAGGCTGAGGTGGGTGGGGCATCTGAGGTCAGGAATTCAAGACCAGCCTAGCCCACATGGTGAAACCCCACCTCTACTAAAAATACAAAAATTAGCCAGGCATGGTGGCGCACATCTGTAGTTCCAGCTGCTTGGAAGGCTAAGGTGGGAGGATCTCTTGAGCCCAGGAGGAGGAGGTTGTAGTGAGCCAAGATCGCGCCACTGCACACACGCTCCAGCCTGGGTGACACAGTGAGACTCCGTCTCCAAAAAAAAAAAAAAAGAAAACAGATCAGTATTGCTTGGGGCTGGGAGTGGAGGTAGAAATGGTAGAGGGAAAAGTTAAAGTGATAGGAATTTCCATGTTTTGATTGTGGTGGTGATTATAAGACTTATGCATTTGCCAAAATTTGTGAAACTGTAAATTTATAATGGATATAATTTATTTATGTCAATTACACCTCAACAAGTACATTTTTAAAAAGGATTGCTCAGGTTGCTGTGTAGAGAAGACTGTTAGATATATATGGACCTAATCTAATATTAACAATGAACAGTTAACCAATTAATATTTCCTTGATTTATTCTAAAAATGAATCCCAAATTCAGTTTTTCTGAGTAACAATTCCTGGCATATTAACAACATTGCTTTCACATTTGTATAATGCCTACTTCTACTTACATAAAATATATAAGCAGTAACCTCAAAACTATTAAAGAAATAATAGAATGTTTTACCTGTAATTAAAAAAAAAAACTATTTGCTGACAAATATTCAACACTTTGGATGCTTAAAACGCGGGGTTTTGTTTTCAGGTTTTTTTTGAGACAGAGTCTCACTCTGTCACCCAGACTGGTATGCAGTGGCACGATCTCACTGCAATCTCCACCTGCCAGGTTCAAGTGATTCTCCTGCTTCAGCCTCCCGAGTAGCTGAGACCAGAGGCACATGCCACCACACCAGCTTATTTTTGTATTTTTAATGGAGATGGGGTTTCACCGTGTTGGCCAAGCTGATCTAGAACTCCTGACCTCAGGTGATCTGCCCACCTCGGTCTCCCAAATGCTGGGATTACAGGCGTGAGCTACCATGCCTGGCCAAAATGCTTTTTTTCCTGCCTTTTTTTTTTTTTTTTTTTGAGACAAGGTCTCAATCCTTTGTCCAGGTTAGAGTGCAGTGGCCCGATCACAGCTCACTGCAGCCTCAACCTGCTGGACTCAGGTGATTCTCCCACTTCAGCCTCAGGAGTAGCTGGGACTACTAGCATGCCACCACACCCAGCTAATTTTTTGTATTTTTTTGTAGAGATGGGGCTTTGCCTTGTTGCCCAGGCTGGTTGTGAACTCCTGGGCTCAAGCAATCCTCCCGTCTCAGCCTCCCAGACTGCTGGGGATTGCAGGCATGAGCCACTGCGCTTGGCCTTAAAAATGCTCTTAAATTCAGGCCAGGCACGGTGGCTCACACCTGTAACCCCAGCACTCTGGGATACCGAGGCGGGCAGATCACCTGAGATCAGGAGTTCGAGACCAGCCTGATGAACATGGAGAAACCCCATCTCTATTAAAAATAAAAAAATAAAAAAATTAGCCAGGCATGGTGACACATGCCTGTAATCCCAGCTACTTGGGAGGCTGAGGCAGGAGAATCGCTTGAACCCAGGAGGCGAAGGTCGCAGTGAGCTGAGATCGCGCCATTGCACTCCAGCCTGGGCAACAAGAGCAAAACTTCTTCTCAAAAAAAGCTTTTAAACTCATGTTTATCATGCGAGAACATGTAGGTTTTGGAAGCATTAAAATTTAATTTATAATTTTACATTTCTCTGTATTTATTTATTTATTTTTTGAGACAGAGTCTTGCTCTGTCGCCCTGGATGGAGTGCAGTGGTGCAATCTCGGCTCACTGCAACCTCCGCCTCCCAAGTTCAAGTGATTCTTCTGCCTCAGCCTCCCAAGTAGCTGAAATTACAGGCACCTGCCATCATGCCCAGCTAATTTTCATATTTTTGTAGAGATAGGGTTTCATCATGTTGGCCAGACTGGACTCAAACTCCTGACCTCAGGTATCTGCCCACTGCGGCCTCCCACAGTGCTGGGATTACAGGCGTGAGCCATCACGCCCGGCCCGGGCTAATTATCTTATTTTTAGTAGAGATGAGGTTTTGCCATGTTGGCCAGGCTGGTCTCGAACTCCTGGCCTCAAGTGATCCATCCACCTCGGCTTTCCACAGTGCTGGGATTACAGGATTACCGCACCCGACCTTATTTCTTAAACTAACAGTGGAAGAGCAGATACAATCCTTTCCTGACATAGTCCTTTTTTTCTATAGCAAATGTTTACACCTTCCTCCTAACACTGTGGTTTCAAAGGGAGCTGTGCAATAAATGAAGATGGGGAAAATACTTCTTTATAGTATAATACAATAAATAAATGTAAGAATAGCAGACTTAGAAAATGACAATTTTGTAACCATTATAGGAATAACTGGTTCAAGCAAATCACCAAGGAATGCTAAAATTTCTGGGTGAAACTTTATTTACAAATGAGATATTTACACAATCTATGGGAACACAGGTTACTACTTATTAATTACAAAGAGAAACCTGGTGGATACAATCTTAACAAAGTCATCAAAGATAACATACTGATATTGGGGCTCAGAAATCAATACCCAGGCCGGGCGCAGTGGCTCACGCTTGTAATCCCAGCACTCTGGGAGGCGGAGGCGGACGGATCACCTGAGGTCAGGAGTTCGAGATCAGCCTGGCCAATATGGTGAAACCCTGTCTCTACTCAAAATAAGAAATTAGCCAGGCATGGTGGTGCGTGCCTGTAATCTCAGCAACTCGGGAGGATGAGGCAGGAGAATCATCTGAACCCAGGAGGTAGAGGCTGCAGTGAGCTGAGGTTGTGCCACTGCACTCCAGCCTGGGCACAAGAGTGAAACTCCCGTCTCAAAAAACAAAAGAGGCCAAGTGCGGTGGCTCACGCCTGTAATCCCAGTACTTTGGGAGGCCGAGGCGGGTGGATCACAAGGTCAGGAGATCAAGACCATCCTGGCTAACATGGTGAAACCCTGTCTCTACTAAAAACACAAAAAATTAGCTGGGCGTGGTGGTGGGCACCTGTAGTCCCAGCTACTTGGGAGGCTGAGGCAGGAGAATGGTGTGAACCTGGGAGACGGAGCTTGCAGTGAGCCAAGATCACATCACTGTACTCCAGCCTGGGCGACAGACTCCGTCTCAAAAACAAACAAACAAACGAAAGAAACAAAAGAAATCAATACCCCCAAATATGGCTATGCTAACCAAAGAAGCCTCAAGGTATCTCTGACACCTCACTCCATCCACACAAACCTTCTCTTCCAAAGCATACAGTAAAGCTTAAATTCCTTTATGCGCCTAAAATCCAGACCCACCTAAAGGAACAACTGTTCTTCTGTATGTTGTAACACCACAAATGTAACCACACCTAAATGGACCCTTTCACAAGATAATGTGCAGGTTAATCTCTGTTCCCTGATCCATTCATTCTCCCTAGTAATCCCCTCAGCGGAATTCCTCTTCTCCAGGTTTCCATAACCTGTTTTGCCAGAATGGTATATAACCTCTGAACCACCTGGGGGGATGGGCAATCACTCTGTGATAAATTTGTATGCCTTGGCCAGCCCAGTGACTCACGCCTATAATCTCAATACTTTAGGAGGCCGAGGCAGGAGGATAGCTTGAGCTCAGGAGTTCAAGATCAGGCTGGGTAACATTTATCTACAAAAATACAAAAAACTGGCTGGGTGTGGTGATGCTCACCTATAGTCCCAGCTACTCAGGAGGCTGATGTGGGAAGATCACTCGAACCCAGGAGGTATGGCTGCAGTGAGCTGTGATCATGTCATTGCACTCCAGCCTGGGTGACAAAGCAAAACCCTGTATCAAAAAAAAAAAAAAAAAAAAAAAAGAAAGAGCAAGCTATAGCAAAAGTACCTTAGGAAAAAAAAAATCTGTATGCCTTTTTTTCCAATTCATATGCCTTTTGTGAGTTGATTTTTCTTTTTTTTTTTTGGTAGCAACGCGATCTTGATATGTTGCCCAGGCTGGTCTGGAACTCCTGGCTTCAAGTGATCCTCCCATCTTGGCCTCCTAAAGTGTTGGGATTAGGATTACAGGTGTGAGCCACTGAACCTGGCCTTGTGAATGAGTTGATTATCTTTTGGAGACAAGGTCTCTGTTGCTCAGGCTGGAGTGCCATGATGATCATGGCTCACTGCAGCCTGGACCTCCCAGGCTCAAGCAATCCTCCCACCTCAGCTGGGACTACAGGTGCACACCACCATGCCCAGGTAATTTTTTATTTTTTTGTAAAGACAGCATCTCACTATGTTGCTCAGGCTGGTCTCAAACTCTTGCGCTCAGGCAATCCTCTCACCTCAGCCTCCCAAAGTGCTATGATTATTACAGCATGAGCAATCATGCCCAGCCAATGAGCTAATGAGCTGATTTTTTCAAGGGTGAGGGGGAACTTTCACCTTGGCCTGGACAACAATTGAAGAAACTGACTTCACATCCCTTCTGATGTGATGTATTACTTACATAGCTTTCTTGCTAAAACTGTATAACCTGAAACTAACCATGAGGAAGTGATTGGACAAGCTCAAATTGAAAGGCTGAAAATTTAATAATATAATGGGCTCGTCACTCTTCAAAAACGTCAGTGTTATAAAAGAACAAAAAAAAAAAAATCTGAAGATCCATTTTAGATTAAAGGAGAATAAAGTGTGACAACTAAATGCAAAGCTTGATGCTGGACCAGTTCCTGGATTTCTTAAAAAGTTTCTGTGAAGGACAGTACTGAAACAACTGGCAACATTTGAACCCAACTGTATACTAGGTAACAGTATTGCATCAATATTAAATTTCCTGAATTTGGCTGGTTGTGGTGGCTCACCTTTGTAATCCCAGCACTTTGGCAGGCTGAGGAGTGTAAACACTTGAGGTCAAGAGTTCGAGACCAGCCTGGCCAACATGGCGAAACCCTTTCTCTAGTAAAATACAAAAATGAGCCAGGTGTGGTGACGCATGCCTGTAGTCCCAGCTACTCAGGAGGCTGAGGCAGGAGAATCGTTTGAACCCAGGAGGTGGAGGTTGCAGGGAGCCGAGATTGCGCCACTGTACTCCAGCCTGGGTGACAGCGAGACTCCATCTCAAAAAAAAAAAAAATTCCTGAATTTGATAAAATTACATTTTGGTCCACATTCTTATTCATGAGATATAAGTAACATCTCTGAAGGGTTCAGAAAAAAAAAAAAGAATAAGAATGTGTAAATATAATGCAAAAATAATAGTTATACAATATATAGGAGAAAGAAAGTAATGTGGTAAAGAGTGAACAATGTGCAAATCTAAGGGAAGAGTACATAAAAATTCACTGTAATATTCTTCCAACTTTTCTGTAGATTTGAATTAAAAAAAATCAAATTAACAAATAAAAAAACTAGTTGCCAGCCAGGCACGGTGGCTCAGGCCTGTAATCCCAGCACTTTGGGAGGCCAAGGCGGGCAGATCATCTGAGGTCAGGAGTTCGAGACCAGCCTGGCCAACATGGTGAAACCCCATTTCTACTAAAAATACAAAAATTAGCCGGGTGTGGTGGTGCACACCTGTAATCCCAGCTACTTGGGAGGCTGAGGCAGGAGAACTGCTTGAACCCGGGAGGCAGAGGTTGCAGTGAGCCAAGACTGCGCCACTGCACTCCAGCATAGGTGACAGAGTGAGACTCTGTCTCAAAAAAACAAAAACAAAAACAAAAAAACAAAACTAGTTGCCATCATATGGTCCATAATAGAGTGGAGAAAAACTTTCACCCAGCATAAATGTCTTCTAAAATTAGGTCTCTTTCTTTATGGACGTACTTCAAATGCACTTTTTCTTTTCTTTGAGACGGGGTCTTGCTCTGTTGCCCAGACTGGAGTGCAGTGGCACAATCTCGGCTCACTGCAAACTCCACCTCCCAGGTTCGTGCCATTCTCCTGCCTCAGCCTCCAGAATAGCTGGGACCCCAGGTGCCCGCCACCACACACGGCTAATTTTTTTTTTTTGTATTTTTAGTAGAGACAGGGTTTCACCGTGTTAGCCCGGATGGTCTCCCGACCTCGTGATCCGCCCGCCTTGGCCTCCCAAAGTGCTGGGATTACAGGCATGAGCCACGGCACCCGGCCCAAATACACTTTTTCAAACAGCTAGAATGATGACTCTAGCTGTACTTCCAAGATTTCATCACAGCATATCCTTGCCTTAGAATGAAGGTGGCACTTGAACCACGGCCAGTCCACTACAGCCAAATCTAAAAGAAATATATACATACAGTGTATATAAACAAAATTGCACCCCGAAGATGACAGAGTTTTGTCACAGCTTGTGAATTCTGTTCAACAAGTGTTGGAATCTAATCTGCTTTGCCCCTAAAATAGCATTTACAAGTTTTGGATATGAAAAACAGAAGAGAGAAAAATACACATTATAAAAGCAGAACATACGTGTATCAGTTTTTGGATACTAAATGACAGCCTTGTTTCTCCCCTTTGATTCAGCAGACACCATGGATTATATTTTTTTCCCTTCAGTAGTCAGCAGTTTGAATGTACAGAGAAAATGGACTTACAAAAACTTTCCGCAGTAGTTTGTTCTTGCTTTAAAATTTTGTTTTTGGTTTAGATGATGAATGCATGAAGTAAGGGAGTGAATCAGTTTCTTGTTTATATTTTTTTCACTTTTAAACAACAAAAAATTATTTAAAATATTTTAATGCATTCTTGGCCAGGTGCGGTGGCTCACGCCTGTAATCCCAGCACTTTGGGAGACCGAGGCAGGCGGATCACGAGGTCAGGAGATCGAGACCATCTTGGCTAACATGGTGAAACCCCGTCTCTACTAAAAATATAAAAAATTAGCCAGGCATGGTAGTGGGCGCCTGTAGTCCCAGCTAGACGGGAGGCTGAGGCGGGAGAATCGCTTGAACCTGGGAGGTGGAGGTTGCAGTGAGCCAAGATTGCTTCACCGCACTCCAGTCTGGGAAACAGGGCAAATACCATCTCTAAAATAAATATATATATATATATATATATATATATATATATATATATATATATATATATGTAAATAAATAAATCTCTGAAGTGGCCTTTCATCAACAGGGTGGACTGAACTGATGCTGTCAGTTCCCCCTCCCACTACAAACACATAAAGATGTAGATAAAATGACAATAAAAATGTTCGGACACACAGCTGAACTAGAAAAATGGTAGATATTCCAGATTCCATAAAGAGTACAATCAAAGCTATAGATGTAAGGAAAATCTGATGCCAGGGAACCGAGGCCTGTGAGGGACAAGGGTTAGGTCCTTTTGACAAACACATGAGAGTAAGAATAGGGTTGGGAGATATGACCTTAACCTTATAGGTAGGTAAAAGCCCTGTACCCTGCATAAAGCCCAACAGCCAAGTGCTCCTTTCCTTGATCACAGATGCTCAAAGAAGCCTGGAGAAGCCACAAAGAGGTTTGCCATCTATCATGGCAATGTTGAGAGGTGGGCAAGTTGCTCCCAAAATATTAAAAGCACAAGTCAGAAGAGCACATAAATGTAAGATCCATAATCAAACTACCTACATGCATAAGGAAATGAAAACCCAAGAAATTAACCTAAAAATTAGTGTAGAAACACTGAAACCCCAAGAAACAGGTAGAAACAAGACTGAATAGTATTGGGAGAAGCTTTCACAGTTCTGAATCCACAGCCTGCTGCCAGTACACACCGATAACTCTTCCCCCTAACTCTGAAGTAGACAAATTCATCATTTTATAAACTACAGACTTCATGTAAAAAGAAAGTATCAACAACTCAAAATAATAAACAAATATGGCTGGGCGCGGTGGCTCACATCTGTAATTCCAGCACTTTGGGAGGCCAAGGTGGGTGTATCACGAGGTCAGGAGTTGGAGACCAGCCTGACCAACATGGAGAAATCCAGTCTCTGCTAAAAATACAAAAATTAGCCGGGCGTGGTGGCACGCACCTGTAATCCCAGTTACTCAGGAGGCTGAGGCAGGAGAATCGCTTGAACCTGGGAGGCAGAGGTTGCAGCGAGCCAAGATCACACCACTACACTCCAGCCTGGGCAACAGAGCAAGACTCCGTATCAAAAAAAAAAAGAAAAAAATGTAAAATGATTCTTAACTATTTCTTTACTATTTCTTTCACATGTATGAATCAAAAGTGAAAGCAGCATTTTCCAAAACAGCAATACTAAGTTATTACTTCTTTCATTTTATTTTTCTGCTCCACAGGAGGTTTCTATAAGTTATGACTTCTATGAATTCTTGATTTACCTTTACTTTTACTGAGGAGACCCTGTTAAGTCAACCATGCACGTTAATTGAGTTGTTTTTCTTTTTCTTGAGATGGAGTTTCACTCTTGTTGCCCAGGCTGGAATGCAATGGCATGATCTCGGCTCACAGCAACCTCTGCCTCCCCAGTTCAAGCGATTCTCTTGTCTCAGCCTCCCGAGTAGCTGGGATTACAGACATGCGCCACCACGCCCAGGTATTTTTGTATTTTTGGTAGAGACAGGGTTTCTCCATGTTGCCCAAGCTAGTCTCAAACTCCCGAACTCAGGTGATCCGCCTGCCTCAGCCTCCCAAGGTGCTGGGATTTCAGGTGTGAGCAACCGCGCCCAGCCCAATTGAGTTGTTTTTCTAAGCAGTGGTAATTCACATTCTCATCCCTTCTCTTATGACCAAGGGCATACAAAAAAATACCAGGATAAGAGAGATTGCCAGGCCTGGCGCGGTGGCTCACGCCTGTAATCCCAGCACTTTGGGAGGCCAGGGCGGGTGGATCACCTGAGGTCAGGAGTTGGAGACCAGCCTGGCCAACTCGGTGAAACCTCATCTCCACTAAAAATACAAAAACTTAGCCAGGCGTGGTGGCGGGCGCCTGTAATCCCAGCTACTTGGGAGGCTGAGGCAGGAGAATTGCTTGAACTCAGGAGGGGGAGGTTGTTGCAGTGTGCCGAGATCATGCCACTGTCCTCCAGCCTGGGCAACAAGAGTGAAACTCCATTGCAAAAAACAACAACAAAAAACACAGACAAATTGCCTATGTAACCTATATTGGTCCTCAGAGGAATTTTTTTTTTTTTTTTTTGAGACAGAGGGGCGCTGTCTCCCGGGCTGGAGTGCAATGGCGTGATCTAGGCTCACTGCAACCTCCACCTCCTGGGTTCAAGCGATTCTCCTGCCTCAGCCACCCGAGTAGGTGGGATTACAGGCGCCCAACACTACGTCCAGCTAACTTTTTGTATTTTTAGTAGAGACGGGGTTTCACCTTGTTGGCCAGGCTGGTCTTGAACTCCTGACCTCATGATTCGCCTGCCTCGGCCCCCCAAAGTGCTGGGATTACAGGTGTAAGCCACCCTGCCCGGCCCCTTCAGAGGATTTTTAATAAACTGGCCCACATTTACTCTTCAGTTAAAAGCAAGAAATCGGCCAGGAGTGGTGGCTCATGTCTGTAATCCCAGCACTTTGGGAGGCCAAGGCGGGTGGATAACCTGAGGTCGGGAGTTCAAGAACAAACAGCCTAACTAACATGGAGAAACCCCATCTTTACTAAAAATACAAAATTAGCTGGGCGTGCTGGCACATGTCTGTAATCCCAGCTACTCAGGAGGCTGAGGCAGGAGAATCGCTTGAACCCGGGAGGCAGAGGTTGCAGTGGGCCGAGTTCCCGCCACCGCACTCTAGCCTGGGCAACCAGAGTGAAACTCCGTCTCAAAAAAAAAAAAAAAAAAAAAAAAAAAAAGCAAGAAATCTACCTTCCAAGGACATTAAAAAAAAATCAGCTAATTATTTAAAATAACCTTTAAATCCCTTTAGGGACTTAAAATCCTTTTAAATATTTAAAACCCAAACTTTAGAAAGGTTTGATTCCCTCTGGGCAGCCTCCTTTGCATTCCTCCTGGCTACAGTACCTCTATTCTCTCGCAGAATATTTTCAGTTTTTATTGGTTTCCACAATTTGATAGGAAGCAATGACCAGCAACTCTATGCACTCTCCTCCACTAAGCACATGCAGGAAAAATGACGGTTTATGTAAATTCATCTTACTTAGCTCCACACCCCATGTTGGAAGTTACTTTCGAATATTCCACACCTAAAGTTCAAGTAAACTTCCTTCGAGATTAAGCTCCTGGGCCGGACTCTGTGGCTTATGCATGTAACTCCAACACTTTAGAAGGCTGAGGTGGGAGGATTCCCTGAGCCCAGGAGTTTGAGATTAAAGTTAGCTATGAAGGCGCCACTGTACTCCAGCTTGGGTAACACAGCAATACCTTATCTCTAATAATAATAATAAAAATTTTAAAATCTAAAAAACTAAAAGACTTCTCCTGAGCTGATAAATGGAGAGTTGAAAACAACAAAAAAAAAACCTCATAATTGAGCTGGAGCCACTACATGCACACATGAAAAGGACTAACAGTCATAAAACAACACACAAAATCTGGAAGCTAATTTAGTGTAAAGGAAGAGCTTGTTGTTTCTTATTATAATACATCTCCCACTAAAGGTGTCCAATAAATTCTATCACCTTAGGAGATGAGTTTTAAACTAAGTGTAATGAGAAAATAGGTAATTTTTTAAAATCTCTTTTTTCTTTTTGGCTGCGGGGTGGCCAGAGAACGAAGAAATACCAAAAGTGAAATGCTACGCTGAATTGACCAGGCTAACTGGGAACTCACTGGAAAAGTGAAAACTGGGAAGAATTAGTGATGAGCTCAAGAAGGTGCTTAGCCACTTACCCAGAGATTTATTTAATGAGAATGGATCACAGGTTTCCACAGGTCGTTCCACTGCCAGTAAGAAGACAGTCGTGAACCATGGGTCCCTTTTTTCACTAGTCAACAGTCACCCTCACCTACACGCGGAGTACATATTTGGCACTCAGCAAATCTTGATTGAATGAAAACCTACCTCACTCATATTGGCACCCAACCCCGGAGTTATGGCCCCCCAAATTACCTCCAAAACGCCTGACGACCTAACCCAAGGAGCTGAAAAAGTGGAGAGGAAAGCTCTGGGGTGGAGGGGATTCTCTGCCAAACAAGCAGGGGCCAACGGGGCCTAGACCAACTCAACTTCCCACAGAAAACTCAGGGGCCCAGGGGATTGAACCGTGGCTAATCCCTTCTACTTCCACGAAGCAGCAGCCAAGGGGCCGCAGATCCACAGCCTCCCACCCGGGGGCGCTGAGAGATCTTGGGGTATCCCCCGCAAAAGTTAGTACCTGCGAAGCTGCGGCACAAAGAGTGGTTCCGGGCTCTCATTACGGAGGCCGGGACCTGGGACCGACCAGCCGCGCCTCCTGGCTGAGGGTTCCGCGCTCCGGAGCTGCAGTGACCGTACACGTCGCCGATAGACACCTAAGGCTTCAGAAGGGTCCTGGCTCGCAGGCCCCAGACGTTTTGCTCCTAAGACTCCGCGAGTTGTCGCACCCACGTCGACTGGCGCTCTTCAGTGCTTCCCTCACTGGTTAAGCGGTCACTCCCGCCTTAAGCCCAGCAGCCGGTCGCTTCCCGGCGCCGCCATCGTTAGTGTTTGTTTTCATCCGCTTCGGTAATGGCCGGGGGGGGGGGGTGAAAGAGGGCTACGGGGGAAATCCAGATGCCTAACCTTAGTCGCACTTTCGCTACAGTACGGACGCCCTATTTATTCTTTTAGTCCTCAAAATATCCATAAAAGTTGATTTTCATTCCACGTAAGCTTTCTTCTCCAATCTTTCTAAGCTACTCAAGATAAAACAAAGACGGAAAGGCGGTGTTTGAGAGAGAGAGAGAGAGACCGTTTGGGCCGCGTGTGGAATGTGCGGAGATGAACCGCAGGTAGCCGCGGCAGCGGCAGTGAGGGCGCGGCGCGGGGCGGGCGCTGACGCGGAAGGGGCGGTGCCGCTGTTGCGCGCCGTGGCGGCCTCTGTGCAGTCGCCGGTTCCGGAGGAGGGCCCAACCCGGCTGGGTGGGTGGGAAGTGTGGCTGGTAACCTGGCAGCCGCGGAGAGGTGGGTGACGGGCCTGGGCTAACTGAGTGGCCGGCGCAATCAGACTTTGACATCCGTTTTTAGGGTGCCCTTTAAAAGTGGCAGAGTCGCTTCCCAAACCTGGTTCGGCCAGCCTCTTTTTCGCTCCCGACTTCCAATGTGTCTGGTCTTCCGTACTTCCTGGCCCTCAGGTTCACGATTTGGAGTTCTTGGAGTGAGGGAAAAGCCTTTTGTTACAGCACACAGTGTACGTCCATAAGGCTGGGTTGTGGACTTTGGTTGTTTTTTTTTTTTTTTTTTTTTTTTTTTTTTTGCCCCTTCTTTTCTTGTTAGACTGGTTTGAACACCCCAGCATCTGTCCTGTATTTGTCAGGTGAAACCAGAAGTCTTTGGATAATGAAACCCGTGACCAATTCTTACCCAAGGTGGTTATGACATATGTCAGCTGCTTCTTGGCCTATATAGTTAGAAGCCGACCTCTTTTACCTTGTGAATAATTATGTCATCACCTCCATTATTCTTTTGGTGTTCTCAATTGAAATGCCAAGCATTAAATGAGCCACAAAGATTGAATTCCCATTATCCTTGAATCAGAGCAAGCCTGTCGTGCAGCCATGAGTTAGTGGAGAAAAATCCGGAGTTGTAAGTACAGTACGTTTTGCCTCAACAAAATGGAAATTTGTAGAAAAGGAGCTGCTCCAGCCTTTGAGTCACTTTAAAGTCTTTGGTAGGTTCCTAATGTTTTTTCTTTTAACATTTACAGAGAGAAGATTATAAATGGCAGAGCCATTTAACTGTGGTTAGCTGTTGGATTCTGATACTTTCTTAAAAATACGTTCTTGCACCAACATCTTCATTGGGAACAGTTCAGAAAAAGCAAAGAGGAGAGCCAACATTCACATTTACCATGGCTATACCAATAACAGTGCTTGACTGTGACCTCTTGCTATATGGCCGTGGTCACCGGACATTGGACCGTTTTAAGCTGGATGATGTGACTGATGAATACTTGATGTCCATGTATGGGTTTCCACGGCAGTTCATTTATTACTTGGTGGAGCTCTTGGGGGCGAATCTTTCTAGGCCTACTCAGCGATCCAGGGCTATTAGCCCAGAGACACAGGTCCTTGCAGCATTGGGTTTTTATACCTCAGGTTCCTTCCAGACTCGGATGGGAGATGCCATTGGAATCAGTCAGGCGTCTATGAGTCGTTGTGTTGCCAATGTCACTGAAGCACTTGTGGAAAGGGCCTCACAGTTCATTCGCTTTCCAGCTGATGAAGCCTCCATTCAGGCTCTGAAGGATGAATTCTATGGGTTGGCAGGGATGCCAGGGGTGATGGGGGTGGTTGACTGTATCCATGTGGCCATCAAGGCACCAAATGCTGAAGACCTCTCCTATGTGAACCGAAAAGGCCTGCATTCTTTAAACTGCCTGATGGTGTGTGACATTAGAGGGACACTAATGACCGTGGAGACAAACTGGCCCGGCAGCCTACAGGACTGTGCTGTGCTGCAGCAGTCTTCCCTCAGTAGTCAGTTTGAAGCGGGTATGCACAAAGATAGCTGGCTTCTGGGTAAGTTTGCAAGTGTGAATTTTCATTTTGTTTGGAGGCATAGAAAAGTTATGTAGGCTGGGGGCGGTGGCTCACACAACCCCAGCACTTTGGGAGGCTGAGGCGGTAGATCACCTGAGGTCAAGAGCTGGAGACCAGCCTGGCCAACATGGTGAAATCTTGTCTCTACTAAAAATACAAAAATTGGGCATGGTGGCAGGCGCCTGTAGTTCCAGCTACTCGGGAGGCTGAGGCAGGACAATCGCTTGAACCCAGAAGGCAGAGGTTGCAGTGAGCCGAGATGGCGCCATTGCACCCCCACCTGGGCAACAGAGCAAAAACTCCATCTCAAAAAAAAAAAAAGAAAGAAAGAAAAGGGACCGCACGTGTAGCTCATGCCTGTTATCCTAGCACTTTGGGAGGCCGAGGCAGGCAGATCACCTGAGGTTGGGAGTTTAAGACCAGCCTGACCAACATGGAGAAACCCCGTCTATACTAAAAATACAAAATTAGCCGGGCGTAGTAGCGCATGCCTGCAATCCCAGCTACTCGGGAGGCTGAGGCAGGAGAATCGCTTGAACCCGGGAGGCGGAGGTTGCGGTTAGCCAAGATCGCGCCAGTGCACTCTAGCCTGGGCAACAAGAGCAAAACTCCATCTCAAAAAAAAGAAAAAGAAAAATTATGTAGTGGAGTAGAATGAGATATGGCAGTCTGTAGAGCTGAGTCTCAGTCCTGTCAGTTTTTTATGAGACCTCAGGTGAGAATTTTCTTAGCCTTAATTTTTAAAAAATCAACATTTAATAGACATTATTAAAACTTTAAAGCATACTGTTAGAGCCAGCACAGTGGCACGTACTAGTACAACTGGTAATTGTAATTCCAACTATCTGGGAGGCTAAGGCAAGAGGATCACTTGAGCCTGGACCTTGAGACCAGCCTGAGCAAGATAGCAAGACCCTGTCTCCAAAACAATTAAACTTTTTTTTCTTATTTTATTTTTATTTTTTTTATTTTGTGTAGAGGCAGAGTCTCACTATGTTGACCAGACTAGTCTTGAGCTCCTGGCCTCAAGCTATCCTCCCATCTGAGCCTCCCAAAGCTCTGGGAATATGGCTGTAAGCCACCACACCAACGTAAAAAAAAATTATTATTATTATTATTATTGAGACAGAGTTTTGCTCTTTTTGCCCAGGCTGGAGTGCAATGGTGCGATCTTGGCTCACTGCAACCTCCGCCTCCCAGGTTCAAGCAATTCTGCCTCAGCCTCCTGAGTAGCTGGGATTATAGGCATGCGCCACTATGCCCAGCTAATTTTGTATTTTTAGTAGAGACGGGGTTTCACCATGTTGGTCAGGCTGCTCTCGAACTCCCAACCTCAGTTGATCTGCCCATCTCAGCCTCCCAAAGTGCTGGGATTACAGGCGTGAGCCACCATGCCCAGCCTATATATATATATATATTAATAAATGTATTTTATGTTATTTCACCCAGCTCTTCTACTCCTAAGAATTTATCTTACAGGTATATATTTATACATATGCAAAACAAAATTGCATACAAGAATTTTTATTGCAAACAATAGCTGCAGCAACAAAAACAACCTTATAAAAACAATCCTGTCTGGGTGCGGTGGCTCCTGCCCGTAATCCCAGCACTTTGGGAAGTCAAGGTGAGAGGGTCACTTGAATCCAGGAGCTCGAGATTAGCCTGGGCAACAAAGCGAGACAATGTCTCTCAGAAAAGTAATAATAATATAAATAAGCAAACAAATAAATGAAACAATCCCCTGAAATAAAGCCAAAATACTGCTGGGTGCGGTAGCTCACGACTGTAATCCCAGCACTGTGTGAGGCCATGGAGGGTGTATCACCTGAGGTCAGGCGTTCAAGACCAGCCTGTCCAACATAGTGAAACCCCGCCTCTACTGAAAATACAAAAATTATCAGGGCATGGTGGTGCGCGCCTATAATCCCAGCTACTTGGGAGGCTGAGGTAGGAGAATCGATTGAACCTGGGAGGTGGAGGTTGCAGTGAGCCAAGATCGTGCCACTGCACTCCAGCCTGGGCAACAGAGGGAGACTCTGTCTCAAAAAAAAAAAAAAAAAAAAAGCCAACATACTTATCAGGACTGTCCAGAATTGTTTAAGTATTGTACATCCATACAATTGAGCCTTAATTTTTATCTGGCTCTGCTAATCATCTGTAAAATGATTAATCTGACACCAACCACAGTAATATCTATTGTGGGGATTAGGTAATATATATGAAAGTTACCTATGAAGTATTGTATAGATATTCAAATGTGGCCAGTTGTGGTGGCTCACGCCTATAATCTCAGCACTTCAGGAGACCAAGGCGGTGGATCACCTGAGGTCAAGAGTTGGAGTTCAAAACCAGCCTGGCCGACATGGTCAAACCCCTTCTCTACTAAAAACACAAAATTTAGCTGGACATGGTGGCGCATGCCTGTAGTCCCATCTACTTGGGAAGCTGAGGCAGGAGAATTGCTTGAGCCTGGGAGGCAGAGGTTGCAGTGAGCTGAGATCACACTACTGCACTCCAGCCTGGGCGATGGAGCAAGACTCCATCTCAAAAAAAAAAAAAAAAAAAAAAAAAAATCCGGGTGTGGTGGCTCATGCCTATAATCCCAGCACTTTTGGAGGCCAAGGCAAGCGGATCACCTGATGTCAGGAGTTCAAGACCAGCCTGGCCAACGTGGTGAAACCCCTTATCTACTAAAAATACAAAAAATTAGCTGGGCGTGGTGGCAGGCACCTATAATCTCAGCTACTTGGGAGGCTGAGGCAGGCGAATTGCTTGAACCCGGGAGGCAGAGGTTGCAGTGAGTCGAGATCGCACCATTGCACTCCAGCCTGGGCAACAAGAACGAAACTCTGTCTCAAAAAAAAAAAAAAAAAATTATTTTTGCATTGTTGATTGTCACTGTGATATCTGCATAAAAATGATAGTAGACAATGCATGTACACAATTCTTATTGTAGCAACTCACTTCACAGATCTGCCCGAGTTCCATTGGAAAGACTGGCTTACTGTTATGAGTAGAACAAGAATCTATTCAACATTCAGCAGTGTGAACCAAGGTGACTGTACAGCTCTGAGGAGTGCAGTTAGCAGTGATAAAACCCTTGAATCCAGCAGCTTAGTTTTTTGTTTTTTGGGTTTGTTTTTTTTTTAATGTGCTACTTTTATATGAGCATCAGGACAAGGGTTATCTTGTATACAACATATAAGAGATGAAAGCTACGTTAAGGATTAGAAGACTTCTCTAACTTTTGTTTTTTTGAGATTGGGTCTTGTTATGTTGCCCAGGCTGGTCTCAAGCAATCCTCTGGCCTCAGCCCAGGCTCATAATACCAGTAGCTGGTATCACAGACATACACCACCACACCCAGCTAATCACTACCACTAATCATATCTGCACTGCACATGCTCATTGCACAGTGCTTGTTGTGAGTTGATGCTCAGGAAATACTTCTCTTTAACATGTTTACTAGCACTTTAAAGAGAAACCTCCTGTGTTCCAAGTGGGCAAAGACTACACTGATGGGTGTAGAGCTGCCAGGGTACCACGTGTAATATCCTGGAGCTTACTGAGTTTCTTGATTGTTGCTTCTCCGTACTATTTTTAGTGCACCACCTTCTTGCTACTCTACTGGACCTTTATCTTAAACACACCTTTTGCCTATTTTGAGCTTTCAAATTTTATTTTCATACAACTCACACCAAGAAGTGTGGGAAAGTAGATTTTGCAATTGTTTCATCTGGCCATTTCTTCTGTAGCTGTGGGAGTACTTGGGTTCCAAGCTGATTTCTTATGAATCTCTTCACTTTGGTTCCCCCCACCTTTTTTTTTTTTTTGTCACGGGGTCTCACTCTGTCACCCAGGCTGGAGTGCAGTGGTGTGATTATGACTCACTGCAGCCTTGACCTCCTGGGCTCAATTGATCCTCCTACCTCAGCCTACCGAGTAGCTGGGACTACAGATGCACACCACCATGCTGGGCTAATTTTTGTATTTTTGGTAAAGCTGGCGTTTTGTCATGCTGCCCAGGCTGGTCTCGAACCCCTAGGCTCAAGCAGTTAGCCCACCTTGTACTCCCAAATTGCTGGAATTACAGGCATGAGCTACTGCACCCTGCCCGGTTCCCTAACTATTAAGCCAGCTAAAACTTAGCCCTTAAAATTTGACAGGCAATATTGTAAGCATTTTGCATCAATTATATCACTTAATGCTTATAAAAACTCTTTAAGAGTTAAATAATAGCCGGGCACGGTGGCTCACGCCTGTAATCCCAGCACTTTGGGAGGCCGAGGTGGGCGGATCACGAGGTCAGGAGATCCAGACCATCCTGGCTAACACAGTGAAACCTCATCTCTACTAAAAATACAAAACATAAGCCAGGCGTGGTGGCAGGCGCCTGTAGTCCCAGCTACTCCGGAGGCTGAGGCAGGAGAATGGCGTGAACCCGGGAGGTGGAGTTTGCAGTGAGCCGAGATCACGCCACTGCACTCCAGCCTGGGAGACAGAGCAAGACTCTGTCTCAAAAAAAAAAAAAAAAAAAAAGAGTTAAATAATAATAATATTAACATTTTTACAAAAGAGGAGACTGAGGCACATAACATTTAAGTCGCTTGTGTTTCAGTGTTTAAATCAGATCATAGGACGAATTACTTTATTTGGCAAATATTCCTGGTAAGGACTTCTTTTTCTTCCCACCTTGGGATCCAAGATTCAGTTGGAATTATGGCTTTAAAGTAGTTTTTTACATTGTTTATAGTAAATAGTTGAAAATTAGTAAAAATTCTGATAAATAACTTTTCTGATGCCCCTCTCTACAGAAAGAGTAGGAGTGGGAAAAATGGATACTGTAGCAACATTTAACGAATGTTTATTTATTTATTTATTTTTTGAGACGGAGTCTCGCTCTGTCGCCCAGCTGGAGTGCAGTGGTGCGATCTCGGCTCACTGCAAGCTCCGCCTCCCGGGTTCACAGCACTCTCCTGCCTCAGCCTCCGGAGTAGCTGGGACTATAGGCGCCCGCCACCACGCCCAGCTAATTTTTTGTATTTTTAGTAGAGATGGGGTTTCACTGTGTTAGCCAGGATGGCCTCCATCTCCTGACCTCTTGATCCGCCCGCCTTGGCCTCCCAAAGTGCTGGGATTACAGGCGTGAGCCCACCGCGCCTGGCCTTTTTATTATTTTATATATATATATATATATTATATACATACACACACATGTATTTTTGAAACAGGGTCTCACTCTGTCACCCACGCTGGAGTGCACTGGCATGATCACAACTTATTGAAGCCTTGACCTCCTGGGCTCAATTGATCCTCCCACATCAGTCTACCGAGTAGTTGGGACCATAGGTGCCTGCCATCATGCCTGGCTAATTTTGTTTTAAATTTTTTGGCTGGGCGCTGTGACTCATGCCTGTAATCCCAGCACTTTGGGAGGCCAAAGCGGGTGGATCACCTGAGGTCAGGAGTTTGAGACCAGCCTGGCCAACATGGTGAAACCTCATCTCTACAAAAAATACAAAAATTACCCAGGCATGGTGGTGGGCACTTGTAGTCCTAGCTATTCAGGAGGCTGAGGCAGGAGAATCACTTGAACCTGGGAGGTGGAGGTTGCAGTGAGCCGAGATTGCACCATTGCACTCTAGCCTGGGCAACAGAGTGAGACTTACTCTCAAAAAAAAAAAAAAAAAAAATTCTTTTATTTATTTATTTTTTTTTTTGTAGAGTCTGGGTCTCACTGTGTTGCCCAGGCAGGTCTCAAACTCCTGAGCTCAGCCAGTCCACCTCAGCCTCCCAAAGTGCTGGGATTACAGGTATGAGCCACTGTGCCTGGTCAGCAAGTGTTTATTAAAGCTAGTTTTGGTGTGAGGCATGAAGAAATCTTGGAATATACCTGTGGAAGTTGAAGATGTGGAAACTGATTTCCTCAGGCCGGGCGTGGTGGCTCACGTCTGTGGATCACTTGAGGTCAGGACTTCCAGACCAGCTGGTCAACATGCTGAAACCCTGTCTCTACTAAATATACAAAAATTACCCAGGCACGGTGGCGTGAGCCTGTGATTCCAGCTACTCAGGAGGCTGATGCAGGAGAATTGCTTGATCCTGGTAGGTGGAGGTTGCAGTGGGCGGAGATCCTGCCACTGCATTCCAACCTGGATGACAGAGTGAGACTCCATCTTAAAAAAAAAAAGAAAAGTGGCTCACGCCTGTGATCCCAGCACTTTGGGAGGCCAAGGCAGGTGGATAACGAGGTCAGAGGTTCAAGACAAGCCTGGCCAAGATGGTGAAACCCCATCTCTACTAAAAATACAAAAATTAGCCTGGTGCTAATTTTAGCCAGGTGCTAAATCCCAGCACTTTTGGAGGCCAAGGCGGGCACATCACCTGAGGTCAGAAGTTTGAGACCAGCCTGGCCAAGATGGTGAAATCCCATCTCTTCTAAAAATATAAAAATTAGCCAGGTGTGGTGGCAGGCGCCTGTAATCCCAGCTACTCGGGAGGCTGAGGCAGGAGAATCGCTTGAACCTGGGAGGCGGAGGTTGCAGTGAGCTGAGATCACGCCATTGCACTCTAGCCTGGGGGACAAGAGCGAGACTTTGCCTCAAAAAAAAAAAAAGAAAAAAAAAATTTGTCAGGTGCGGTGGCTCAAGCCTGTAATCCCAGCACTTTGGGAGGCCGAGGCAGGCAGATCACCTGAGGTCAGGAGTTCAAGATTAGCCTGGCCAACATGGTGAAACCCTGTCTCTACTAAAAATACAAAATTAGCCGGGCCTGGTGGCGCATGCCTGTAATCCCAGCTACTCGAGTGGCTGAGGCAGGAGAATTGCTTGAACCCAGGAGGCGGAGGTTGTAGTGAACCAAGATTCTGTGACTGTACTCCAGACTGGGCTGGAGACTGTATCTCCAAAAAAAAAAAAAAATTTTTTTTTTAATTGCCAGGCATGGTGGCGTGTGCCTGTAGTCCCAGCTTACTCAGGAGGCTGACCTGGGAGGATCACTTGAGCCTAGGAGTTCAAGGCTGCAGTGAGCTACGATCGTGCTATTGCACTCCAGTCTGGGCAACAGAGAGATACCCTAAATCATTCATATGAATAGACAGATTTGGAAAACACTAGTCTCTAAAGGTTGTGTGGACAGTGGGAGTAATTATGGGAAGATTGGCAGGATTATAAGGAATGACAAGATGTTAAAAGAGAGAATAGATGGCTAATTGTATTTTTGTTGTTGTTGTTGTTGTTGTTGTTTGAGATGGAGTTTCGCTCTTGTTGCCCAGGCTGTGGTGCAATGGGGCGATCTCAGCTCACTGCAACCTGTGCCTCCTGGGTTCAAGCAATTCTCCTGCCTCAGCCTCCTGAGTAGCTGAAATTACAGGTGCCTGCCACCATGCCCAGCTAATTTTTGTATTTTAGTAGAGACGGGGCTTCACCACGTTGGTCAGGCTGGTCTCAAACTCCCAACCTCAGGTGATCCACCCACTGTGGCCTCCCAAAGTGCTGGGATTACAGGCATGAAGCCCTGCACCTGGCCGCCTAATTGTATTTTAAGAAACAACCCTTAGGTTTGAGGAACAGTTCTAGATTTGTCAAACCTAGAACTAGCTGTGAGCCTCTGGCCTTTTTTTTTTTTTTTTTTGCATTATTTTTCCTACGATATTATCCATTCCTGTCCTCATTCTCATCTGTCCCTTCAGAATGCATTATCTAAATTCCCCTCTAAATATACCTATTCCTGCAAACAATTCAGCCTCAGTTCTTATTTCTTTAGCTCTTGGCCTAGTCCTATTAAGCAGCTTTGGGTAAGATCTGCCAAAATGTCTTGTGGATGACTGATCATATAAGCAATTGTAATCTGTTTAGCAATTCTGATCCTAATCCCCTCTTGAGTGTCTGTTTTCCAGTAGTGCTTGGTTTATAACCATTTAGTGAGGGTAGAGCAATTTTACAAAAGGTCTCCTTTAGCTTTTCCTGTATATCTCCTCCATTTAAGACTCATACCATTTCTTAGAGAAACTTTAACAAGGATCATTTAGCATCTCCAGTTTTCAGTATTCATCTTACTTATTTTATTCTCTTTTACAGCATTATATTCTTGTTTTATTATGCTCTTGTTTTAGTATTCTGAGTCTGAAATTAGCATTTAGTGACTAGGTCTTTCCTTTGCCTAACATATCAAAGGATGACGAACATATACTTTGATCTTCTCATTTGAAAAATAAGTTCAATATCTAACCTAGCAGAGTTGGGATTGCATAATAAGAGATAATCTTTTTTTTTTTTTTTTTTTTGAGACAGTCTCACCCTGTCGCCTTGGCTGGAGTGCAGTGGCGTGATCTCGGCTCACTGCATCCTCTACCTCCCAGGTTCAAACAGTTTTCTACCTCAGCCTCCTGTAGCTGGGGCTACAGGCACGCACCACCATGCCTGGCTAATTTTTGTATTTTTAGTAGAGATGGGGTTTTGCTGTGTTGACCAGACTGGTCTCAAACTCCTGACCTCAGGTGATCCGCCTGCCTTAGCCTCTCAAAGTGCTGGGATTACAGGTGTGAGCCACCGTGCCCAGCCTGATAATCTTTAAAAAGTACCAGCTGGGTGTGGTGGTCACACCTGTAATGTCAGCACCTTGGGAGGTGAAGCAGGTGGGAGTTCCTCCTGAAGCGGGAGGAATGCTTGAGGCCAGGAGTTCAGGGTCAGCCTAGCAACATAACAAGACCCTGTCTCTACAAAAAGTTTAAAAATTAGCTGGGTGTTGTGGCATGTGCCTGTAATCCCAGCTACTCAGGAGGGTGTGTTGGGAGGATTGCTTGAGCTCAGGAGTTTGAGGTTGCAGTGAGCTATGATCATACCACTGCACTTCAGCGTGGGCAACAGAGTGAGACTCTGTCTCAAAAAACAAAACTAAAGTAAAGTAAATAAATATTGAAAATAAAGTTAGGCCAGGCATGGTGGCTCACGATTGTAATCCCAGCACTTTGGGAGGCCAAAGGGAGCGGATCATCTGAGGTTGGGAGTTTGAGACCAGCCTGGCCAACATGGTGAAATCCCCATCTCTACTAAAAATACCAAAATTAGCCAGTCATGGTGGTACATGCCTGTAGTCCCAGCTACTCAGGAGACTGAGGTAGGAGAATAGCTTCAACCCGGGAGGCAGAGGTTGCAGTGAGCCGAGATTGCACCACTGCACTCCAGCCTGGGCGACAGAGTGAGGCTCCGTCTCAAAAAAAAAAAAAGTACCAGCACAGTACATGCTACATAGTAGGTGTTCAATGAGTCATGGATATTATTTTTCATTATTATTTATAGCATCAGTTTCTTAAATTCATTATTTAGTAGGGTTATGTTCAATAAAAAGAAAAGGTTATGGCCGGGCGTGGTGTCTCACGCCTGTAATCCCAGCACTTTGGGAAGCCGAAGGGGGTGGATCGCATGAGGTCAGGAGTTTGAGACCAGCCTGGCCAGCATGGTGAAACCCCATCTCTACTAAAAATACAAAAATTAGCTGGGCGTGGTGGCAGGTGCCTGTAATCCCAGCTACTTGGTAAGGTGAGGCAGGAGAATTGCTTGAAACTGTGAGGCGGAGGTTGCAGTGAGCCGAGATCATGCTACTGCACTTCAGCCTGGGCAGAGTGAGACTCTCAAAAAAACAAACAAACAAACAAAAAACTGGGTGCGGTGGCTCATGCCTGGAATCCCAGCCCTTTGGGAGGCCGAGGTGGGTGGATCATGAAGTCAGGAGATCGTGACCAGCCTGGCCAACATGGTGAAACCCCGTCTCTACTAAAAACACAAAAAATTAGCCGGGCGTGGTGGCGTGTGCCTGTAGTCCCAGCTACTCAGGAGGCTGAGACAGGAGAATTGCTTAAACCTGGGAGGTGGAGGTTGCAGTGAGCTGAGATTGCACCACTGCACTCCAGCCTGGGCAACAGAGCAGACTGTCAAAAAAAAAAAAAAAAAAAAAAAGGTTATACCTGGGAGGGGAAAAGTCAGCTAAATAGTAAATTTGAAAATTTTGTGAGACTTCTTAGATATTTACAGTTAATCCAGAAATGTAAGCTCCTGCTCGGCGCTGTAATTCCAGGGCTTTGGGAGGTCGAGGTGGGTGGATTGTTTGGGCACGGGACTTAAGAGACCAGCCTGGGTAACATAGTGAAACCTCCTCTCTAGAAAACATTAAAAATTTTGCCAGGCATGGTGGCGCATGCCTGTGGTCCCAGATATTCGGGAGGCTGAGGTAGGAGGCTGGAAGGTTGAGGCTGCAGCGAACTGTTATCACTCCACTGCATTCCAGCCTGGGTGACAGAGCAAAACTCTGTCTCCAAAAAAATAAATGTAAGCGCCTAAAAGAAATGAGCCCTGTATGTTGGGAACAGTGCCTACCACTGTCTGAACAGTCCAGAACTATTTACTGAAATTGATGGTGGGGCAGGAACACAGTGGTATGCAAACTGGTACTCCAGGGCCTATTTGTCTCTCAAATTTCTAAGAGGTTTTGCCTCTGTGCGGGACATCTCATCTGCCAGATGTAGTGACAGTGAGTCAGGACAAGAAAGCATTATACTAACATTGTGCTGTTGGATCAGGGCATTGCACCCCAGTTTTTTGTTGTTGTTGTTTTGTTAGCACTTCCTGGGATCATTTGATAAAGAAGTCACTTAAGGAGAATGCCTTGTGTGTATTTTTTTAATTGACTTCTGAATTCATTTCCTTATCACCAACTATTACTATTTGCATGATTATATGTATGCTCTCTTTGTTCATGTGAAATTCTTCCTCTTACAAAGGCATGGTTCTAGTAATTGTGATATATAGGAAGGCAGAACACCTGAGTTCTGATCTCTGCCATAAGTGCTCGGACTTTTATCTTATTCTTCTTAGCACTGGGAGAATAAATTACTGTAGTCCATGAAATCCCCTGAAATCCCTTGGTAGTGCTTTTAGACTTGAAATTTTGAGGGTAAAGTTAAGACTTCCCCTCACAAGTGTTTTGGGATCTCTTGGCAGAATTCTCTTTTTTCCTGTTTCATTCTTGCTCTGTAGAGATTTTGAAGATTGGCATGCTATTTGATTTTATTTGGTTTTATTAAGCCTTTTATTAATAACAATATCTCTGAATTAGGAAAATGCAGGAATTTTATTTTATTTGAGATGGAGTTTCGCGCTTGTCGCCCAGGTTGGAGTGCAATGGCGTGATCTTGGCTCACTGCAATCTCCGCCTCCCACGTTGGTCAGGCTGGTCTTGAACTCCGGGCCTCAGTTGGTGATCCACCCGCCTCAGCCTCCCAAAGTGCTGTCATTACAGGCGTGAGTCACCATGCCCGGCCAAATGCAGGAATTTTATTTCCTCCAGTGCCTTCACCTCCTTCCTACATTCTTTCATATTTGGCTTCCTTTAGGTGCCAGCGTTTTTATGTGTCGATTTTTACCAACGACATTCTCAGCCAGAACTCGTGTCTTTCTGCTCCTGGCATTGGCATGATTTCTTTTTACCATAGCATTTTCCGCTTGGTTTTTCTAGTGTGCTTTGGCGCCAGAGGCTGTTGTATTTTCTTGTCCATTGTCAGTATATGTTTTCTGAATTTCACTTCCTGTTTCTATTCCACTTATAGTCATTTATGATTTATTTGGGCCTTCCCCACAGGTGACAGTTCCTTCTTTCTTCGAACCTGGCTCATGACCCCACTTCACATTCCTGAAACTCCAGCAGAATATCGCTATAACATGGCCCATTCTGCAACTCACAGTGTGATTGAGAAGACTTTCCGAACCCTCTGCTCCCGATTCCGCTGCCTGGATGGATCCAAGGGGGCACTGCAGTACTCACCAGAGAAATCCAGCCATATCATCTTGGCCTGTTGTGTCCTCCACAACATCTCCCTGGAGCATGGGATGGATGTTTGGTCCTCTCCAATGACAGGACCCATGGAACAGCCCCCGGAAGAGGAGTATGAGCACATGGAGTCCCTGGACTTAGAGGCTGACCGTATTCGTCAGGAGCTAATGCTCACTCATTTTAGCTAATGTAGAAGGTGGAGAGGAGGGATACTTCCCAGGAGTTGTGACAGACTTTCCTCCTCATCACCTTTTACACAGTTCCATCATCTAGCATGACTGAGTATACAGATACTTGTCATAAACTGACATTTAATATGTGTGTTTTGGTAAGGTTGGGGCTATGCCAGAATATCTTGATTCATTTGCATATGCATTAATTAAACTGAAACCAAGACAGCGGCTCCCTACTATCCAGTGAACTCTAGGTTGAGTACCACTAATTTGAAAGCTCAGTGGTTGCAAACATTTATGACTGTGCCTACAAAGTCATAGTAAAGGTCAGGAGTTCAAGACAAGACCAGCCTGGCCAACATGGTGAAACCCCGTCTCTACTAAAAATACAAAAATTAGCGGCCGGGTGCGGTGGCTCACGCCTGTAATCCCAGCACTTTGGGAGGCCGAGGCGGGCGGATCACCTGAGTTCAGGAGTTAAGACCAGCCTGGGCAACATGGCAAGACCCTGTCTCTACTAAAAATACAAAAAAATTAGCTGGGCGTGGTGACAGGTGCCTGTAATCCCAGCTACTCGGTAGGCTGAGGCAGGAGAATCACTTGAACCAGGGAGGCGGAGGTTGTGGTGAGCCGAGATCGTGCCATTGCACTCCAGCCTAGGCAAGAAGAGCGAAACTCCGTCTCAAAAAAAAAAAAAAAAAAAAATTAGCCGGGCGTGGTGGTACATGCCTGAAATCCCAGCTACTCGGGATGCTGAGGCAGGAGAATCGCTTGAACCTGGGAGTCGGAGGTTGCACTGAGCCAAGATCATGCCACTGCACTCCAGCCTGAGTGACAGAGCAAGGCTTTCTCCAAAAAAACAAACAAACAAACAAAAAAAAAACTCATAGTAAAGGGGAAAACAGCATATAGTCAAAACACTTTTTTGGTTTCAATTATCTGCAGATTTCAGATGAAAACAGTATTTACATAGGCCGGGTGTGGTGGCTTACGCCTATAATCCCATAATCCCAGCACGTTGGGAGGCCGAGGTGGGCAGATCACCTGAGGTCGGGAGTTCGACACCAGCCTGACCAAGCCTGAGCAACATGGTGAAACCCCGTCTCTACTAAAAAATACAAAAATTATCCGGGCGTGGTGGCACGCGCCTGTAATCCCAGCTACTCAGGAGGCTGAGGCAGGAGAATCACTTGAACACAGGAAGCAGAGGTTGCAGCGAGCCGAGATTGTGCCATCGCACTCCAGCCTGGGCAACCGAGCGAGACTCTGTCTCAAAAAAAAAAAAGAAAGAAAACAATATTTACTTGTTCTGGATTATTTGGGTGGTATTTTAGTTTTTCTACTTTGCTGCCTATATAGGCATAATCTGAGGCAAATGTGAAGAGAGAATTTCAGTTGGGGAATGATCTTCTGACATTAGTAAATGGCTACTAATCTCAGTTTGCAGCTTTGTGCTTTTAAGAGGATGTTAAAGACAGTCAGAAACCTCCATCTTTAGCCTGTCTGCAATAATTGGACTGTGACTTGGACCTAGATCCTAGGGAGAACATCTGGACTCCAGTTTCCTATTTCCAACCCTGACTCGGAGTTAGAGGCTAAATGGGTTTGAGAACCCAATCAGCTTAAAAAAGGCAATTCGAATATAGATAAAATAGCAAGCTTATGCTTTACAGGCGTTCTAAGGACTGAGAGAGATTGATGAGCAATGCAGATTCACCCAGGTTCAGACACCTCACATTCAACTAGATCACATTTCTTATAATTGTGATGTTAGAAAGTCTGGTCATTCTGTTTTGAAATTCGTTGTACAAAAGGAAGATTCAGGGAATAAAGAAGGCATGTGAAAGTATTACAAAGGAGAGGTAATAGGAATATAATTTCTTGGCTTGAAATGAATTCTGGTGCTAGACCTTGGATATGCAGAGTGATGGACAGAATTTCCTAAGAAATAAATAATCCCCTAGCAAGTCTTGTTCTAAAATTACACTGATATAAAAATAACCTGATTAGAATAATGAAAGTGTGAATTAGGTTCACACATTGGTGCCTTTGCTGGGACAAAAAAGAGACTTTCCTGAGGGTTGTCTTGTTCCAGTTTCTCAGCCACTCACCATGTGATACCTCTGACTTGTCCTCTTGGATCATTTCCTACCTCTTGCCTTTGGCAGTGTTAATCTGGTGATTTTCAAAGTAAAGAAATGAACAGCTGATGACAGAAGAAATTTGGAAATAAATTGAGGGTGACTCATCCTCAAGATTAAAAACAATTATGGATTATTATCTGCTGTTTTATTTCTACTCCAAATGCTATTCACCATCATTATCCTGCTCTATAAAGAGTGGGTCCATTTGGCAGAAGATTGTGCTTAATATGCACAGGGATGTCATTGAGGTGGGAATGGACAACGAAGAGTTGGCTAGAAACATTAACTCTATTCATTGTGCAACAGAGGTGCCCGGTTAACATTTTTTTCTTTGTAAAGTTCAACTTGTTTCCCTCATAAGGCAATGTTTTAATTCTTAAGGTCTTTCCTTTTTAAGTCTTCTAAGATGGGTATTTTCCCCATAAAGTTTTGGTTCTGTTTGGTAGATCGCATCAGGAAAGGGTTACTGCCCAACATGTATCATAAGTGGCAAGGTGAAGTGTGATCATGGAAAATGCCTTGCATTTTAGCCTTGTATAACTATATTTAAGGAAAATTGGAGTTTTTCACAACTTAACTCACTAGATGGTGACATAAAAGACTGAGTGGGATGGACAGTCTTGGAGAGATTTCAAAAGCAATTTCAAGTCTGTTTACTTGCACACCAAAGATAATCTAAGTGCTGAGCTGGCTGAACATTGGCTGACAGTGTTTTTCCCTGGGAGCATTTTATTTTCTAATAATCCCACAGGGAAACTCTTCAGATCTACACCTTTAACCTCCTTTCAACCTGTGGTTTTGCAGGCCAGGATTTTTTTTTTTCTTTTGTCATTGGTTAGTTATTTCCCCAAAATGATGGAGGGGAAGGATCAGGGTCTGTACTTCCAAATTGCCAAGGGTGTCCTCACAGGGGCTTTTTATAAGCGTCTGAGAAAGCTGCTCCCTTTGTGGTCCTTAGTGTGGATTTATAGCTTTTTTCTGGCATGGTTTTGGGAAAGAGTCAAGGATTTTGTCTGTCTTACGTAAGCCTCATTTTCCCATAGATAACTCCATCTGGCCAGCATAGTAGTTTTCCAGATTTACCCTTAGATGTTTCAAGGCAGTAAGGTCTCAGGATATATCAAGGGAAAACAATATTGGGTGATCACCAATTTACCAATTCCAGATTATACAAAAGAGGGACCATAAACATATTCTTGGTTTAAGTTAACTGAATAGGGATGAAGCTGTTTTCCTGATCCTAGGACTGTGAAGGATCTAGACCAAGTTAATCTAACTTAGGGATAAAAAACAAGACACAATTTTAGTGGAGTCATGTAGTGAAGACATAGAAGAAGTGGGTAACGGTGAAAGAGGCTAGACAGATCATAGATATAATAAGATTTTATCTGTATCTGAAACAAACGGAAAATAGCCCAAAGACTGAGCTTCGTAGTTACTTTCCCTGGCAGTGGAGGGGAAGTTAGAAGGAGGACAAGAAAATAAGAAATGAAAGGGTTTTTGTGCATACACATGTCCTCAGGGCCCATTTTGCTCTCTAGATCCTGCCAAGATTTTCCAAAATTGTTGTGGGTATGAGAAATCACAGATTCAGGATTAAGACTTTGTTGATTATGTGGAAAGGAAGGAAAAATACTAGCTGAAGGCTGGGGACATGCTAGTTTCCCAACACATAAAATTAATAGACTTTTTTTTTAATCACACAGAAATCCTTGTTCTAAAAAAAACCTTTTTTTTTTTTTTTTTGAGACAGGGTCTTGCTCTGTTGCCAAGGCTAGAGCAGTACAGTGGAGTGATCTCGGCTTACTGCAGCCTCCACCTTCCAGGCTCAAGTGATCCTCTGACGTCAGTCTTCCGAGTAGCTGGGACTACAGGCACACACCACCATACCCAGTTAATTCTTTTTTTTTTTTTTTGTAGCAATGGGGTTTTGCTAAGTTGCCCAACCTGGTCTCGAAATCCTGGATTCAATTGATCTGCCTGCCTTGGCCTCCTAAAAGTGCTGGGATTGCATGCCCCTGTGCCCGGCCCTGAATTTTTTTTTTTTTTTTTTTTTTTTTTTTTGAGATGGAGTCTCACTCTGTCACCCAGGCTGGAGTGCAGTGGCACGATCTCGGCTCACTGCAACCTCCGCCTCCCTGGTTCAAGCTATTCTCCTGCCTCAGCTTCCCGGGTAGCTAGGATTACAGGCACGTGCCACTGTGCCCAGCTTATTTTTGTATTTTTAGTAGAGACAGGGTTTCACCATGTTGGCCAGGATGGTCTCGATCTCCTGACCTTGTGATCCGTCCGCCTCGGCCTCTTAAAGTGCTGGGATTACAGGCGTGAGCCACTGCACCCGGCCCTGAATTTTTTTAAATTAACTTTTGTAGAGACAGGGTCTCACTCTGTCACCCAGGCTGGAGTGCAGTGGTGTGATTGTAGCTTATTACAGCCTTGAACTCTTGGGCTCAAGTGATCCTCCCACCTCAGCCTCCCAAGTAGCTAGGACTAGAAGTGTACACTACCATGCCTGGCTAATTTTTTTTTGGTACAGACAGGGTCTGACTATGTTGCTCAGGCTGGTCTTGAATTCCTGGCCTCAAGCAATCCTCCTGCCTTGGCCTCTCGAAGCGCTCTGAGATTATAGGGATTACAGGCATAAAGTACCGTGCCCAGCCTAAACTTTTTTTTTAACATGACTACAGGCTGGGCACAGTGGCTCACGCCTGTAATCCCAGCACTTTGGGAGGCCGAGGTAGGCAGATCACAAGGTCAAGAGATCGAGACCATCCTGGCCAACATGGTGAAACCCCGTCTCTACTAAAAGTACAAAAATTAGCTGGGCATGGTGGCGGGCGCCTGTCATCCCAGTTACTAGGGAGGCTGAGGCAGGAGAATCACTTAAACCTGGGAGGCAGAGATTGCAGTGAGCTGAGATCCTGTCATTGCAACTCCAGCAACAAGAGCAAAACTCCAAAAAAAAAAAAAGAGAAAAAAAAATGACTACAACTGAAGGCCTCTTGTGATTGTAAAGTAGAAGAAATTAGATCTCTGGATACTGAACAGGAGAAAGGAGATTAGACTTTGAAATCATAAATTAGCAAATTTCAAAAAGGGGCCTCCCTGTTTGCCCAGCAAAACATTAAGGATCTATTATTCTGTTGACATGTTAACTTTCTCTAATCTTTATGCTGTCTTTTACAGATGGGCTGATTTCTTTGTCATTCTAGAGCCTTAAAATATTCATACATTTTGATCTATTGATAAATTTCATCACTGGAGATTTATCTTATAGAAATAATTCCAAAGAAGGGAGAGCCTTCTATCATTCTACGGCTAGCAGTTCCCTGCTGTTCTGGGCTCTCTCTCCTTCCCTGGGCTGCTCCTACGTCACTATACTACTACCTTTACCATTCCATCATCAAGTGTATACATTACCCCACAGCACAAAAAGAACCGGCTAGAAAAGAACAGAACAGAATTGCAATGGCAGAATTGACAACTGGCTTACCATTTCAGCTGTTCAAGGCCTGACTGGTCTTCCTGCACTTCCTAGTAAGATGACTCACGGTACCATTACAGAATTATCTCACGCTAGGGTCAAACCTGATTTCTACCACCGAGTGTGTGGTAGAGGCATGTTTCTCAGAACCCAGAGCCAAGATAAGGAACAGTCTCCAATTCCCTGTTCTCTCCCCTCCCTCCTTCACCCTTCATTCCAGGCAAGTCTCCTAGGCAAGTGTGTCCCATCCTCATCCTCTTTTTTTTTTTTTTTTTTTTTTGAGGCAGGGTTTCACTGTCTCTGTTGCCCAGACTGGAGTACAGTGGTGTGATCATGACACACTGCAGACTCGACCTCCTGGGCTCAGGTGAGCCTCCTGCCCCAGCCTCCTGAACATCTGGGATTGCCAGTGTATGCCACCACTCCCTGCTAATTAAAAAAATTTTTTTGTTTTTTAGAGACAGGTTCTCACTATGTTGCCCAGGCTGGTCTCAAACTCCTGGACTTAACCTATCCTCCCGCCCTGGACTTCCAAAGTGCTGAGAGTACAGGTGTGAGCTGCCACACCTGACCTCTTGTTGGTTTAGTCTTTCCAAAGTTTTTTCCATGTGATTGACAGGGGCAAGGTCCATGCTTAAGAGTGAACTGTCCCAGATTTCCCATGGCTGTCACAGTTTTAACACTCAAAGTCCCATGTTCAGGGAAACTCCTCAGTCCTGGGCAAAACTAAGACTGGTTATCCTACTTCAGGGAAGCACCATCCTACCTCAGGGGAGTGGCTCCATGAGGAGAGTCCTACCAGAATTCAGTGATCAACAGTAAACACCATAATGAGTTCTTGAGTCTTAACATCAATATGAGGAACATCAGGGGTACAGCCCAGGATGATCTTCACTTCTGCTGGCCTTGTTTCTTTTTTACAGTTTTTCCTCTAGTGTGAGGAGATTCCCGCAAGGTTGATGGTTTCAACTCCTGATCTCTTGTGATCCACTCTTCAGTCTAAATAAACATTTCCATAAGAACATGCAGTAGTTTGCTGTCAAACTGAAGCTTAAATCCATATATATACATACATATTTGAAAAGAACAGTTCTCTAAAGGAAATTTATCTGTAAAGGTGCAACTCTGCCCATAGAATAAGCCACCCTTTCCATGGTCTCACAAAGCAGTCTAGACTCAGCGTTGCAAATATTTTCATTTTCAGATGATGATTTTAGATAAATCTTTGCCGAACTTTCAGGTGTTTTACTCAAAAGTCTCCAGCTTTTGAAAAAAGGAAAATGTCTAGAGCAGTGAAATTAGTTTTTTTTACTGCAATCAAGGTTTCAAAACAATGTAGTTGGCCGGGCGCAGTGGCTCAAGCCTGTAATCCCAGGACTTCGGGAAGCCGAGGTGGGTGGATCACGAGGTCAGGAGATCGAGACCATCCTGGCTAACACGGTGAAACCCCGTCTCTACTAAAAATACAAAAAAATTAGCCGGGCGTGGCCGGGCGCAGTGGCTCACCCCTGTAATCCCAGCACTTTGGGAGGCCGAGGCGGGCGGATCACAAGGTCAGAAGATCGAGACCACGGTGAAACCCCATCCCTACTAAAAATACAAAAAATTAACTGGGCGTGGTGGCGGACGCCTGTAGTCCCAGCTACTCGGGAGGCTGAGGCGGGAGAATGGCGTGAACCCGGGAGGCGGAGCTTGCAGTGAGTCGAGATCATGCCACTGCACTCCAGCCTGGGTGACAGAGCGAGAATCCTCAAAAAAAAAAAAAGCCGGGCGTGGTGGCGGGCGCATGTAGTCCCAGCTACTCGGGAGGCTGAGGCGGGAGAATGGCGTGAACACAGGAGCCAGAGGTTGCAGTGAGCCAAGATCGCTCCACTGCACTCCAGCCTGGGCGACAGAGCGAGAGTCCGTCTCAAAAAACAAAGAAACAAAAACAATGTAGTTATCTGAGTAAAATTTGAATGAGGGCTATAGCTATGCTCCACAAGCCTCTCCAAGAAGGAGAGTTTTCTTTCTTTCTTTTTTTTTTTTTTTGTAGTCCCGAGTAGCTGGGACTACAGGCTCCTGCCACCACGCTTGGCTAATTTTTTGTATTTTTAGTAGAGACGGGGTTCACCGCATTAGCCAGGATGGTCTCAATCTCCTGACCTCATGAACCGCCCGCCTCGGCCTCCCAAAGTGCTGGGATTACAGGCGTGAGCCACCGCGCCCGGCCTGGGCAGTATTTTCAAAGACTTAGAGGAGATTTTTGTAAAGTGCCAATACATTATTTAAAAAAGGCTAATACTGTAAGGATGTGCTCTTTGAGTTTAATTAAAGTCTTCAAAGGCTGGGACTTTTTTTTTTTTTTTTTTTTTTTTTTTTTTTTTTTTTTTTTTTTTTTTAGACGGAGTCTTGCTGTGTCGCCCAGGCTGGAGTGCAGTGGCACGATCTCTGCTCACTGCAACCTCCGCCTCCTGGGTTCAAGCGATTCTCCTGCCTCAGCCTCCCGAAAAGCTGGGATAACAGGCACCCGCCACCACGACCGGCTAATTTTTGTATTTTTAGTAGAGACGGGGTTTCACCATCTTGACCAGGCTGGTCTCAAACTCCTGACCTCGTGATCCACCTGCCTCGGCCTCCCAAAGTCCTGGGCTTACAGGCGTGAGCCACTGCGCCCGGCATTTAAAAAAAAAAAAATTTAAGATAGGGTCTTGCTCCATAGATCAGGCTGGAGTGCAATGGTGTGATCATGGCTCATCGCAGCCTCCACCTCCCGGGCTCAGGATATCCTTTCATCTTAGCTTCCCGAGTAGCTGGGCCTACAGGCGGGAGCCACCAGGCCCGGCTAACTTTTTGTATTTATTTATTTTTTTTTTATAGAGACTGGAGTCTCACCATGTTGCCCAGGCTGGTCTTGAACTCCAGGGCTCAAAGCAATCCACCAGCCTCGTCTCCTAAAGTGCTGGAATTATGGACGTGAGCCGCTGCGCCCGACAAACTGGGACTATCTTGTTTCCTTTTTACACCCTTCCTCTCTGAGTAGTGGGGAAGGGTGTAAACCTCCCTAGGAGCAGGTAAGGTAGACTATGATTGCTCACAATTGGTAACCATACTTGCAGTGATCTTTGTGATTTATTGAATCACATCTAGGATGTACATATTAATCCATATTTGTGCTGAGCATATTCATTTATCAACTAAGAGACTACAGAAAAAAGCCATTGTTGTGGTGATGAAAATGTCAACACTTTATCAGGTTCTGAACCCAAAGAGACTTTTGCTTATTATGTAAGAAGCACACCTGTGGCTCTAGGCCTTTGGAAGAAAATAAAAGAGAAAAGCAATCCGTGTGCTTTTTTTCCCCCTGCCTTAAGGTCAGGCTACATAATTCTGGGTTTTCCCAGCTTCTCTTGGTCATGCTTTGTGGGGACTAAACTGGAGCTTTTACGTAGACTGTTCATTTTGTTCCTCAGCTTGAATTCTCTCTCGTTTTCTGTCTCTATGATTTTTAATTCCCCTCACTGCTCTGTTAGGAAACTAAGGGTCAAATGAGGTTAACTAATTTGCTCAATTGGGATAAAGAGTGTTGGGAGTCCATAGAACAGTTGGGGGACTATAGTTACACAACAAGTGTTATTGCGCTATGATTTGATCTTCAACACATTCACGAGAAACTCCAGTTCTCTAAAGAACTTTAACAGCCGGCGACCCACAGAAAATGGCAGAAGTGCAGGCTCTTTTTTAACCCGTGGCTTATGATCTGGGTTTGTTTATTTACGCCTCAGACAGGAGCCGGACCTTGAGTAGGAGTTGAGCTGTTTTTCGGCGCTCGGCTGTGGTTCCTTGAACGATTGCTTGGGCGTTCCTCCTTTGATGTCTGGGGCGTTCTTGTATTCGGTGATCTTTTGCGCCGTCTTCTTGCTTGATGTCTCCTGAGCGGCGGCGGCGCCGGGTCGAGGGCTGAGTTGTCCGCGAGGCCCCGCGCTCAAGCCGCCTTCTCCTGCCGGTCGGTAGAACGGACCCCTTCCTTTATTCCTGTCTCCTCTTTCTTTTTCCCTGTGGCTCAGCCCGTTCGCTGGACTGCAAACCGAGCTCCCGTCTGCCTTGCAGGTAGGCCCAGGAGGAGCCTGGGAGGCCCAGCCCGGCATCCTTCCGCCGCGGGGTTGAGAAGACCTTGGCGCCGGCGGGTGGGCAGGCTGGCCGGCCGCCGTGACACTGCCAGAGGAGGGGCTACCGGACTGCGTTGAGGGGCGCGGCCGGAGGGGCAGCCCGGAACCGAGGGAGAAGCCGAAAGGAGGGAGAGTTGCTGGGGCTTCCCGGTGTGGTTCTTTAGGGAGGAGATGTTGGGTCTAGGGCACCCCCAGTGTGTGGCGAAAATGGCTTTCCAGGAACCGATAGAGCTTTGCGCACTTTGACCCTCCTTCCTTTCTCCTTTTCCCCCCACCCCGAAGTCTCCGGGTGTCATGCCTCAATTGCACTGGGGACCCCTACTGAGTCCAGCCTTTGAAGGGACCTTTGAGTAGGTGGAGGCTTATGGAACAAGGCCCTCTGGCTCTTCTGAGCGAAGTGTTATGTTCTCGCCTTTTTCTGGGTGGGTAAACTGAGGCTGATGTCTGGGACGTGACTTCCCCACATATCCCCAACAGATCATTAAATTCACTGTAAGTCACTTTTTGTCGTTTACCAATTCCCTTCCCCCCACTTACCAGTCAAGTTATGAAAACAGTGAGTTATTGTTTGATCGTCTGTGATCCCAATTTTCCTAGGAATATAGACTGTTAGGAATATAGATCCTGTCACAAGAGGCTTCAGAAGTAAAGGAACCATGTGGTTTCTTGGCTGTTTTGCTTTTCAAAGTCTGTATCATTTTAACTAGTGTAGCAATGACAGTTTCTTTTTGTTTCTTGATAACCTTGTTGTCTACTTTGTTTCCTGATAACCTTGTTGTCTACTTTGTTTCCTGATAACCTTGTTGTCTACATTGTTTCCTGGTTGATTTATCCTCCTTCTCCCCAGCCTCTTTGGAAATCTTATAACTATGGTGTTTGTGGTTAGAGGTTAGAGTCTAGTAGAGGATGGTCAAGACTTTGAAGGCAAACGCTTGTCCTGTGAGGGTCTGCTTTCTGGGGAGTATCCAATGGAAACCCAAGGAGTCTGTCTCTCTTTTTTCTTTTTTTTTTTTAAGACAGGCTAGCTCTGTCGCCCAAACTGGAGTGCAGTGGCGCGATCTTGGCTCACTGCAACCTCTGCCTCCCGGGTTCAAGCGATTCCCCTGCCTCAGACTCCCGAGTAGCTGGAAGTACCGGCGCGCGCCACCACACTCGGCTAATTTTTGTATTTGTAGTAAAGACGGGGTTTCATCATGTTGGCCAGGCTGGTCTTGAACTCCTGGCCTCAAGTGATTCGTCCACGTCGGCCTCTCAAAGTGCTGGAATTACAGGCATCCACCGCGCCCGCCCAGTTTTGTTGTATTTGATTAGTAGTTTGGTCACTGCACATACAAAAGCTAAAAAAGGCTGTGTGTAGAAATCATTCAAATATTGAGATATTTAAATGAAAGGTTAACGCTTTGGGAACTCCTTTGTGGTTCCCTTTTCCTTCCCAGCTTGGAAAGTCTGGGGACTAAGTCTGTTATTTTCATCGGATTCAGTACCATGATCCTAATTTGTGTCACTTCATTCTTGGAAAAAAAAAAATTCAGCCTGTCGGGCGCAGTGGCTCACTCCTGTAATCCCAGCACTTTGGGAGGCCAAGGCAGGTGGATCACCTGAGGTCGGAAATTCGAGACCAGCCTGACTAACGTGGAGAAACCTAAAAATTCAAAATTAGCCGGGCGTGGTGGCGCATGCCTGTAATCCCAGCTACTTGGGAGGCTGAGGCAGGAGAATCACTTGAACTCGGGAGGCGGAGGTTGCGGTGAGCCGAGATCACGCCGTTGCACTCCAGCCTAGGCAACAAGAGCGAAACTCCGTCTCAAAAAAAAAAAAAAAAAAAAATCAGTCTTGAGGTCATTCTGGGTTGGATAAGTTTCCAAAGTATGTAGAATCAGTAAGAGAGCGTTTTTTTGTGTGTGTGTTTTTTGAGACGGAGTCTTGCTTTGTCCCCCAGGCTGGAGTGCAGTGGTGCGATCTCGGCTCACTGCAAACTTCTCCGCCTCCCAGGTTCAAGCAATTCTCTGCCTCAGCCTCCTGAGTAGCTGGGATTACAGGCGTCGCCACCACGCCCAGCTAATTTATTGTATTTTTAGTAGAGATGGTGTTTTACCATCTCGGCCAGGCTGGTCTTAAACCCCTGACCTCGTGATCCACCTGCCTTGGCCTCCCAAAGTGCTGGGATTACAGGTATGAGCCACCGCGCCCGGCTAAGAGAGTGGTTTTAAGGGTGCAGAGATTCAGTTCCTAGTCCTTGAGTGGAAACTGTACAAGGCCACATTCTCCCACTATTTTAGTATTCTCATGTGAGTTTTGGAAAGATTACTGTTCCTTTAATTTTTTGTGTGAGGTCAGCAAGATTTAAATGAAGGGCCCTTAATCATAAGCAATTTCCTAGTTACACGACCTCAGTGCTCCCAGAAGGGGATTAATGAAGAGCCACCAGACTATCTTTATGGAGAATCTAGATTGGGAAGTTAAGCTAAGAATGTGCATTTTTGAAAAAGTTTTTATGGTAGAAGAGAATGTATATCAGAGGAAAGAATGTAGAGAAGAAAGCAACATTGTCCACTGGGAATTGATAAGTTCTGCGTAGAATTTAGAGTTATAAGGACTATCTCATTGGCTCCTAATGAATGCTAAATAACAAATGGAAATTGCTGTGAGTGTCATGAAGCAATCTTAGGAATATTTTATTATGTTTCTGCAGGAAATAATTGGCAGAGGCTTAAGTTGAATTGAGGCCAAGAAATTTGGTGGTGTTGATGGGAGGTTACAGGGATAGAGCTTATCAACTTAATCAACTTATCTCATGCTTTGTGATAGAAGTTCATTCAGCTTTTTTTCTTTTTGTTTTTCTTTTTTTTTTTTTTTGAGATGGAGTCTCACTCTGCCGCCCAGGCTTGAGTGCAGTGGCACGATCTCAGTTCACTGCAACCTCCACTTCCCGGATTGAAGCAATTCTCCTGCCTCAGCCCTCCTTGCGTAGCTGGGATTACAGGCGTGTGCCACCATGCCCGGCTAATTTTTTGTATTTTCACTCAGCTTTTAACTTACTTGGTTAAATCTTGTGGTGTTCTGTCAATGTTAGATTGGGTTCTCTGTTGACATTTCCTTTAAAAACTGGACGGGTTCAGAATGTGACTGAATTCTGTCTTTTAGTAAGAAAGTTCTTGGAGATGATTAAAGATTTGAACTTCTAGAACTTAAGCTGGAACAGAGTTATGTATATCACTTGAAAAAGATTAGTTTTGTATATCGTTAGAAAACAATTGATTATTTTTATTAATAAAGTAGTAATTTAATTTTTTTTTTTTCCTGAAGAGATGAGGTCTCCCTATGTTGCTCAGGCTGGACTCAAAACTCCTGGGCTCAAGTAGCCCTCCCCAATAGCTGGAACTACAGGTGCATGCACCTGGCTTACATTTTTTTAAATTAATTTTTTTTTTGAGATGGAGTCTTGCTCTGTCACCAGGCTGCAGGCAGTGGCGCAATCTTGGCTCACTGCAGCCTCTGCCTCCTGGGTTCAAGTGGACTACAGGTGCGCACCACCGCACCCAGCTAATTTTTTGTATTTTAGTAGAAATGGGGTTTCACCGTGTTGGCCAGGATGGTCTCTATCTCCTGACCTTGTGATCTGCCCACCTCGGCCTCCCAAAGTGCTGGGATTACAGGCATGAGCCACCTCGCTCGGCCATACATTTTTATACTGTATAATTTTCACAATATTTTCAATATGTGTTAGGAAACTTATAAAACTTTTGTTTTGATCATGTAGCTTTATGGTGCTTATTAATATCAAATCCAAACATTTTGGTCCTCAAGCATATTGGTGAATGTTGTCTGTTTAAGTTGACAATTTTTAGACCGGGCGCGGTGGCTCACACCTGTAATCCCAGCACTTTGGGAGGCGAAGGTGGGTGGATCATGAGGTCAGGAGATTGAGACCATCCTGGCTAACACGGTGAAACCCCTTCTCTACTAAAAAATACAAAAAAAATTAGCGGGGAATGGTGGTGGGCGCCTGTAGTCCCAGTTACTTGGGAGACTGAGGCAGGAGAATGGCGTGAACCCGGTAGGCGGAGCTTGCAGTTAGCCGAGTTAGCACCACTGCACTCCAGCCTGGGCGACAGAGGGAGACTCTGTCTCAAAAAAAAAAAGTTGGCAATTTCTCTCACACTTCCAATTTATCTCACTCTTAAAGGAATAAGAGAAAATGTTTTGTTGTTAGCACAGAGAGGTGTCTTTTTCTAAGATATGCCTCAGCCTTGGTAGAGTTATTTTGGAGTGGAATCCGCATTTTTTTGCCCAGTGGTTTGGTTTACCCCAAAAAAACTTAGGTTCCTTTAATCACAGTCATTCTTGTTTCATTCTCCAATTGTTCCTCATAAACTCAGAGAGAGCTTTCAGTGTCTTAATTTCTGTTTGTATAGAAATGCTGTGGTACAGCCTGTCCTGTGGTTTGGGGTCATTTATATTTTATCTTTTCAGGCTCCCCCAAGTTAATGTGATCAATTTTTTTTTGCACAGCTAAAATTAGTTACTGATGGATAAAAATTTTATGATTAGTTATTGTCAGCATGTATTTATGTGTCCAGTAGTATGTGGCAGCCTGCCAATGTAATGTAAGGAGAAAATAGATTAAGTAATCAGGAGATCTGGGTTTAAGCCCTAGGTTTACTACCTGAGAAGTCTTGTACAAATTATTTAAGGAGGCTGTAGGGAAGGTTAATGTCCTTTATTGAGCATTTACTGTGTCATGTTCTTTACATGTGTTATTTCATTTATTACTTATAAGAGTCCTTTAGAGTAGATGTTAATTTCCCCATAGAGATACTATTTTTCCATTTTTTTGTTGAAGCCCAGTGACAGTAAATAATTTAACCAAGATCACACAGTAGGTATAGTAGAGCTGTGATTGAAATCAAAGGCTTTGAATGCTTTTCTGAGTCTGTATTTAAAGAATGGAAAAGTAAAACATCCATCATAATACTTTTTTTTTTTTTTTTTTGAGATGGAGTTTCGCTCTTGTTGCCCAATCTGGTGTGCAATGGCGCGATCTCGGCTCACTGCATCCTCCGCCTCCTGGGTTCAAGCGATTCTCCTGCCTCAGCCTCCCTGGTAGCTGGGACTACAGGCATGTGGCTGGCTAATTTTTGTACTTTTTTTTTTTAGTAGAGACGGGTTTTCACCATGTTGGTCAGGCTGGTCTCGAACTCCTGACTTCAGGTGATCCACCTGCCTTGGCCTCCCAAAGTGCTGGGAATACAGGTATGAGCCACCGTGCCCGGCCCATCATAATACTTAAGTTGATTACATTGAGAAAAAGTATGTGAAAATGCTTTAAAAGGATAAAGTACTCTTCAATTGTTAACTTCCATGCTATTTTACAACAACAATGAACAGATGTTATTTAAGTTCTTGGGCAACTTGCTACTTTCTGTTTATTTTTTTTGAGATGGAGTCTTGCTCTGTCATCCAGGCTGGAGTGCAGCTGCGCTATCTTGGCTCATTGCAACCTGCGCCTCCCAGGTTCAAGTGATTCCCCCTCCTCAGCTTCCTGAGTAGCTGGGATTACAGACACGTGCCACCAGGCCCAGCTAATTTTGTATTTTTAGTAGAGACCAGGTTTCACCATGTTGGCCAGGCTGGTCTTGAACCCCTGACCTCAAGTCATCTGCCCAACTTGGCCTGTCAAAGTTCTGTGATTACATGCATGAGCCACAGCACCCATCCTCCTTCTATTTCTTTTCTGACTTATTTTTTGTCTCTCCCTCTGCTCTTAGGGTTAATAATCTTCACTTCTCTACCTAAATTTTTTTCTTCATTGTGTGTTGTTTTGGTACCGTGTTTTTTTCTGAGGTCAGAAATATTCCCATCAGACGTTGTGGAGCTATTTCTTGATTGTGACTGTGTGTTTCAACCCTTACCTATGAAGATGTTTGTTCATCTAGCAAATATTTATTGAAGACTCATTAGATGTTGGGATACAAAGGTAGACATAGGTGTTCTTATGGTCTCCTTATGGAGTTTATTCCAGTGGGGAGTATAGGTATTTGATAAATATTGAAATTTAGACTGAAACAAGTATTCTGAAGGAAATAAACAAGGGCTGACAGAGGGAAGAAGGAGTGAGGCGAGCCCTGGGTATTTACAGGGATTAGAGTCTTCAGTCATAGCATCCTTAATCCCCTTGAAAAGTTGGAATCACGAATCATAATTGCGTAAATTTAAGTTTCCTTGCTGCCATCTAAGTCTTCAGTCTTCATTTAAGATTGATTGCTACATGTAATATGTGTCTGATATTTAATGTATGATAATACTGGGTTTTACATAGTCAAGGATAACTAGGACTTATAAATATCTAGCATGCTTGACTAATGAGTTTAATTTTTTACTTTTTTTTTGTGGCAGGGTCTCACTCTGTGGCCCAGGCTGGAGTGCAGTGGTGCAATCTTGGCTCACTGCAGCCTCCACCTCCCGGGTTCAAGCGATTCTCGTGCCTCAGCCTCCCGAGTAGCTGGGACTACAGGTGTGTGCCACCACGTCCGGCTAATTTTTGTATTTTGAGTAGAGATGGGGTTTCACCATGTTGGCCAGGCAGATCTCGAACTCCTGACTTTAGGTGATCTGCCCACCTTGGCCTCCCAACATGTTGGGATTATAGGCGGGAGCCACTGTGCCTGACCTGAAGTTGTGTTTCTTTAAAATGAGCTGAAGCAAATTTTATATTTCATGATTTCATCACTTATTTCTACTCTCTAGAATAGATCACAGGTATATATACCTATAGTATAATGAAGCATCTGAAATTTTGCTGAGTTGGAGAGGATTAATAAGCACATTTGATTTGCAGAGAAAATTGGAGTATTTTATTCTAGGCGACCACTGAAAACAGGACAGAAAAATATCTCTCCCCAGACTTTTGAATAGCAGCATAGTGGCACTGAGTCCTGGAGCCAAGCAGCCTGGTTCAAATTCCAGCACCCCTGCTTACTAGCTATACAACTTGGGCAAGTTACTTAGTCTCTCTGTGCCTCTCCTCATCTGTAAAATACCATACAGTTGTTGTAAGAACTAAATTAGTTAATATGTATAAAGCATTTAGAACAGCACTAGGTGCTGTATATGCCAGTTGTTAGTAACAATGTTATTATAACAAAATAAAGTTTTCCAAAAGAACACATGATAATGATTCTTAGATTGAAGTTTAGATGCTTTGGGAAAACTTTAATAGGGAATAGGAAGTTAAAACAGCATATTTGTCCCTCTTTCCCCACAGTACCCTTCAAAATAAAGTAAAAGGATATAGGTTCAAATCCTAGCTAGGAAAAAAAAAGTAAAAAGATGGATCTTTATTTTTAATTAAAAAATTATTTTTTTATTATTTTTTGGAGACAGTCTTGCTCTGGTGCGGTGGCACAATCTTGGCTCATTGCAGCCTCTGCCTCCTGGGTTCAAGCGATTCTTGTGCCTCAGCCTCCCGAGTAGCTGGGATTACAGGTGTGTGCCACCACACCTGGCTAATTTTTGTATTTCTTTTAGTAGAGTCAGAGTTTTGCCATGTTGGCCAGGCTTGTGTTGAACTCTGGCTTCAAGTGATCTGCCCACCTCGATCTCCCTAAGTGCTGGAATTACAGGTGTGAGCCAGTGCGTCCAGTTTTAAAAATCATTATTATTTTCGGCTGGGTGCAGTGGCTAATGCCTGTAATCCCAGCACTTTGGGAGGCTGAGGCGGGTGGATCACCTGAGGTTGGGAGTTCATGACCAGCCTGACCAACGTGGAGAAACCCTGTCTCTGCTAAAAATACAAATTAGCTGGGTGTGGTGGTGCATGCCTGTAATCTCAGCTACTCGGGAGGCTGAGGCAGGAGAATAGCTTGAACCCCGGAGGCGGAGGTTGTGGTGAGCTGAGATCATGCCATCACACTCCAGCCTGGGCAACAAGAGCGAAACTCCGTCTCAAAAGAAAAAAAAAATTATTGTTATTTTCCAATTATAAAAGTCTTTATGCCTGGTGTGGTGGCCCACACCTTTAAACCCAGCAATTTGGGAAGCTAGGAATATATATATATATATATATATATATATTTTTTTTTTTTTTTTTTTTTTTTTTTTTTTGAGATGGAGTCTTGCTCTGTCACCCAGGCTGGAGTGCAGTGGCGTGATCTCAGCTCACTGCAACCTCCGCCTCCTTGGTTCAAGCGATTCTCCTGCCTCAGCCTCCTGAGTAGCTGGGACTACAGGCGTGTGCCATCACGCCTGGCTAATTTTTGTATTTTTAGTAGAGTCGGGCTTTCACCATGTTAGCCAGGATGGTCTCGATCTCCTGACCTCGTGGTCCACCTGCCTCGGCCTCCCAAAGTGCTGGGATTACAAGTGTGAGGCACCATGCCCAGCGTTTTTTTTTTGGAATTATTTATTTATTTATTTATTTTTATTGATCATTCTTGGGTGTTTCTCGCAGAGGGGGATTTGGCAGGGTCATAGGGCAATAGTGGAGGGAAGCTCAGCAGATAAACAAGTGAACAAAGGTCTCTGGTTTTCCTAGGCAGAGGACCCTGCGGCCTTCCGCAGTGTTTGTGTCCCTGGATACTTGAGATTAGGGAGTGGTGATGACTCTTAACGAGCATGCTGCCTTCAAGCATCTGTTTAACAAAGCACATCTTGCACCGCCCTTAATCCATTTAACCCTGAGTGGACACAGCACATGTTTCAGAGAGCACAGAGAGCACAGTCGCCCAGGCTGGAGTGCAGTGAGTGGTGTGATCTCAGCAACCTCTACCTCCCAGGTTCAAGCGTTTCTCCTGCCTCAGCCTCCTGAGTAGCTGGGTTTATAAGCACCCACCACCTCATCCAGCTAATTTTTGTATTTTTAGTAGAGACAGGGTTTCACCATGTTGGCCAGTCTGGTCTTGAACTCCTGACCTCAGGTGATCCACCCATCTCAGCCTCCCAAAGTGTTGGGATTACAGGTGTTAGCCACTGAGCCTGGCAACAATTTTTTAAAATTAGCTGGAAATGGTGGTGCATGCCTGTATTTCCAGCTGCTTGCGAGGCTGAGGCAGGAGGACTGCCTGAGCCTAGGAGATCAAGGCTGCAGTGAGCCAAGATCACACCACTGCACTCCATCCTGGGCATCATCATGGCAAGACCCTGTCTCAGAAAAATTAAAAAAAAAATTCTTTCTAGTGATTATAGCAGAGTGTGTATTTTTCAGTCATTCATTTGTTTTTTTTGTTTTTTTTCTTTTTATTATTATTATTATACTTCAAGTTTTAGGGTACATGTGCACAATGTGCAGGTTAGTTACATATGTATGCATGTGCCATGCTGGTGTGCTGCACCCACTAACTCGTCATTTAGCATTAGGTATATCTCCTAATGCTATCCCTCCCCCCTCCCCCCACCCCACAACAGTCCCCAGAGTGTGATGTTCCCCTTCCTGTGTCCATGTGTTCTCATTGCTCAATTCCCACCTATGAGTGAGAACATGCGGTGTTTGGTTTTTTGTCCTTGTGATAGTTTACTGAGAATGATGATTTCCAATTTCATCCATGTCCCTACAAAGGACATGAACTCATCATTTTTTATGGCTGCATAGTATTCCGTGGTGTATATGTGCCACATTTTCTTAATCCAGTCTATCATTGTTGGACATTTGGGTTGGTTCCAAGTCTTTGCTATTGTGAATAGTGCCGCAATAAACATACATGTGCATGTGTCTTTATAGCAGCATGATTTATAGTCCTTTGGGTATATACCCAGTAATAGGATGGCTGGGTGAAATGGTATTTCTAGTTCTAGATCCCTGAGGAATCGCCACACTGACTTCCACAATGGTTGAACTAGTTTACAGTCCCACCAACAGTGTAAAAGTGTTCCTATTTCTCCACATCCTCTCCAGCACCTGTTGTTTCCTGACTTTTTAATGATTGCCATTCTAACTGGTGTGAGATGGTATCTCATTATGGTTTTGATTTGCATTTCTCTGATGGCCAGTGATGGTGAGCATTTTTTCATGTGTTTTTTGGCTGCATAAATGTCTTCTTTTCAGAAGTGTCTGTTCATGTCCTTCGCCCACTTTTTGATGGGGTTGTTTTGTTGTTTTTTTTTTTTTTTTTTTTTTTTTTTGGAAATTTGTTTGAGTTCATTGTAGATTCTGGATATTAGCCCTTTGTCAGATGAGTAGGTTGTGAAAATTTTCTCCCATTTTGTAGGTTGCCTGTTCACTCTGATGGTAGTTTCTTTTGCTGTGCAGAAGCTCTTTAGTTTAATTAGATCCCATTTGTCAATTTTGGCTTTTGTTGCCATTGCTTTTGGTGTTTTAGACATGAAGTCCTTTCCCATGCCTATGTCCTGAATGGTAATGCCTAGGTTTTCTTCTAGCGTTTTTATGGTTTTAGGTCTAACGTTTAAGTCTTTAATCCATCTTGAATTAATTTTTGTATAAGGTGTAAGGAAGGGATCCAGTTTCAGCTTTCTACATATGGCTAGCCAGTTTTCCCAGCACCATTTATTAAATAGGGAATCCTTTCCCCATTGCTTGTTTTTCTCAGGTTTGTCGAAGATCAGATAGTTGTAGATATGCGGCATTATTTCTGAGGGCTCTGTTCTGTTCCATTGATCAATATCTCTGTTTTGGTACCAGTACCATGCTGTTTTGGTTACTGTAGCCTTGTAGTATAGTTTGAAGTCAGGTAGCGTGATGCCTCCAGCTTTGTTCTTTTGGCTTAGGATTGACTTGGCGACAGTCATTCATTTGATAAATGTTTGTTGCATGTGTATTCCTTCAGTAGGCAGTGAGGATACCATAATGCTGTGTATTATGTACTATGGCTTTTTTTTTTTTGAGTTATGAAATATCCCTGTGAGGCCTTTTACAACTATTTCTTGATTGTGATTCTGCATCTCAATTCGTACCTTTTCAGACTTTTGTTTATCTAGCAAATATTGGTTCTGATCAGAACCAGTCCTTATTGAATGCTTTGTGCCAGGTACTGTAGTAAGCGCTTTGCATTGATTCTTTTCATTCCAACTAACAACCTTATGACGTAAGTACTCTTATTCTTCTCATTTTATTGATGTAGCAGTTGTGGCACAGAGAAATTAAGCAATTTGCCCAAGGTATATAGCTAGCAAATGGCAGAACCAGGATTCGCGTCCAAACAACCTGGCTCCACATTCCCCTGCTCTTAACCTCTAAGTTATACTGATTCTTAACTACTAAACACTTTAAAACACTAGGTCAATATAGTGAGACTAGAGTGGAAAAATAGATGTCCATGCCTGTATGGAGATTATAGTCCAGAGGAAAGAGAGACAGTAAACAAATAATTATACCAATAAACATATAATTGCAGTGTGTGCCAAACCTATGACAGAAGAATAAAAAGAGATTATAGTAGGGGAACCTGAATTAAACTGGAGGTTTGAGAAATATTTTTCTGAAGAAGTGATACTTAAGCAGAGACTAGAAGGATAGAAAGGGAAGGGAATAGCATGTATGAAATTCTCAGGATGGGAGAGAACTTGACACATTTGAGAAACTGGAAGAAGGTTGATATGGTTGGAATACAGTGAACAGTAGGGGATGGAGGAAAGAGGCATAGAATGAGGATAGAGACTTAGGCAGGACTATGTCAAGGCTTTCGAATTTTTTTTTTTTTTTTTTTTGAGACAGGGTCTCTGTTCCCCAGGCTAGCATGCAGTGGTGTGATCACAGCTCACTGTAGTCTTGACCTTCTAGGCTCAAGGATCCTCCCACCTCGGCTTCCCAAGTAGCTGGGACTACAGGCACCCACCACCATGCCTAGGTAATTTTTGATTATTTGTAGAGACAAAGCCTCACTATGTTGCCTAGGCTGATCTCAAACTCCTGGACTCAAGAGCTCCTTCCCCACCTTGGCCTCTCATAGTGGTGAAATTACAGGCATGAACTACCACACCCAGCAAGGCTTTTGGATTTTTTTTTTTTTTTTTTTTTTTTGATGGAGTTTTGCTCTGTAGCCCAGGCTGGAGTGCAGTGGTGTGGTCTTGGCTCAGTGCGATTTCTGCCTCCTGGGTTCAAGCGATTCTCCTGCCTCAGCCTCCTGAGTAGCTGGCACTACAGGCACGTGCCACCACATGTGGGTAATTATTTATTTGTGTATTTATTTATGTATTTATTTATTTATTTTTTGAGAGGAAGTCTCGCACTGTCACCCAGGCAGGAGTGCAGTGGTGCGATCTCGGCTTGCTGCAAGCTCTGCCTCCGGGCTCACGTCATTCTCCTGCCTTAGCCTCCCAAGTAGCTGGGACTACAGGCGCCTACCACCACACCAGGCTAATTTTTTGTATTTTTAGTAGAGACGGGGTTTCATGTGTTAGCCAGGATGGTCTCGATCTCCTGACTTCGTGATCTGCCTGCCTTGGCCTCCCAAAGTGCTGGGATTACAGGTGTGAGCCACTGCGCCTGGCCTAATTTTTTCATTTTTAGTAGCGACAGGGTTTCACCATGTTGGCCAGGCTGGTCTTGAACTTCTGACCTCAGGTGATATACCTGCTTTGGCCTCCCAAAGTCCCGGGATTACAGGTGTGAGCCACCGTACCTGGCCAGCTTTTGGATTTTTATCCTGAGTATAATTAGAAGATTTTGAAGGTTTTAAGCATGAGTATCATGACCTTATATATGATTTTAAAACGTTACTCTGGGGCCGGGCGCGGTGGCTCATGCTTGTAATCCTAGCACTTTGGGAGGCTGAGGCGGGTGGATTGCTTGAGCTCAGGAGTTTGAGACCAGCATGGGTGACATGGTAAGATCCCATCTCTACAAAAAGTACAAAAAAATTAGCTGGGTGCGGTGGCTCACACCTGTGCTTACAGCTACTCAAGAGGCTAAGGTGGGAGGATCATCTGATCTGCGGAGGTTGAGACTGCAGTTAGCTTAAACCATGATACTGCACTCCAGGCCGGGTGACAGAGCAAGGCTCTGTCTCCAAAACAACAATAACAACAGCAACACCCCATTACTGTGGGTACATTGTGGGGAGGGGTTTGGAAAGAGAAGAAATCGGGGAAGTATGGTTAGGAAGTATTGCAGTGGTCCAGGCAAAAGGCGATGATGGTTTGGATTAGACTGTAGGCAGTGGAGATAGAAGTAGAAAGATTCAGTAGATATTTTAGAATTAGGACAGGCAAGACTTAATGGATTGGATGTGTGGGAAGAAGAAGGTGTCAAGTATGATTCCAGATTTTTGGCCTGAGCATCTGGGTAGATGAAGGTGGTGTTTCTGAGATGGAAACATTGGAGGAGGAGCAGATTTGGATTAGAGTTGGGGAGTGGAATGAAGACCTCAGTTTTAGTCATGCTAATTGTGAGATGCCTGTGAAAACATACAAGTGCAGATATCAAGTAAGTAGTCTTTAGGCTGATTCACAAAAGTAGCGCTGGAGAGAAATCTGGATGGTATTAGTATATAGATGGTATTTACAACCAAGGGAAATGGATGAGATCTCCTAGAGAACAAGTATAGAGTAGGAGGAGAAGACCACACTCCAAGGAATTCAAGAGAAAATGTAAGAGCTTGTTATTAGAGAAACCAACATAGGAACATATTTCAGGAAGGGAGTAATCACTGTACATTGTTGGATTTGTCAGCACAGAGATCATTGATGATTATAGCAAGAACAATATTGGAGGAAAGTAGGGCCAGAAGCTAAATTGAATTGGGTTTAAGGCATGGGAAGGGACGAAGTGGAGATGGTCTGTGTATTTTGATTATTGACATGTGTAGGCTGGGCGTGGTGACTCACGCCTGTAATCCCAGCACTTTGGGAGGCTGAGGCAGGTAGATCACATGAGGTCAGGAGTTCAAGACCAGCCTGGCCAACATGGCAAAACCCTGTCTCTACTAAAAATACTAAAGTTAGCCAGGCGTGGTGGTGCACACCTGTAATCCCAGCTCCTCAGGAGGCTGAGGCAGGAGAATCACTTGAACTGGGGAGGCGGGGGATATAGTGAGCTGATATCATGTCACTGCACTCCAGCCTGGGTGACAGAACAAGAATCCATCTCAAAACAAAACAAAACAAAACATGTCTGTTTCCTCATAAGAAGTATACTCTAAGACAGTAAGATCCGTGAAGATAGGAGCTGTACCTTTCCATTTTTTGTATTCTTGGCTGCTTAGCTTGGTATCTTGCCAGGATGTTGTATTAAGAGAGAAAAGGGTGAGGGTATGAAGATATTTGCAAAATGGTGAGAGTAATGATTCTCTGGCCTTTTTATGTTGGCCTTAAGGGTTTATCTACTTTTTATGTACTTACTTACTTAATTTATTTATTTATTGAGATGGAGTTTTGCTCTTGTTGCCCAGGCTGGAGTGCAATGGCGTGATCTCGGCTCACCACAACCTCTGCCTCCCGGGTTCAAGTGATTCTTCTGCCTCAGCCTCCCGAGTAGCTGGGATTACAGGCATGCACCACCACACACGGCTAATTTTGTATTTTTATTAGAGATGGGGTTTCTCCATGTTGGTCAGGCTGGTCTCGAACTCCTGACCTCAGGTGATACTCCTGCCTCAGCCTCCCAAAGTGCTGGGATTACAGGCGTGAGCCACCATGCCCGGCCCTTTTTATGTACTTTTAAAATTTGCTATGTTTAGCCTTTCTTTTTTCACCTCCCTACTGAATGGTTCTTTGTATTTTGGTATTACTGGCTTTTAAAGTTCATTCCTTATCTTTTTTTTTTTTTTTTTTTTATTGCTTTCTTGTGGTCATTGTTGCTATAGCTAATTAGCTGAGGTGCTTGGTTAACCTCTTTATTCATTCACTTGTTTATTGGCTCTTATTTCTATGTACTGAATGTATAATTGTGACAAAGCTCAAAGCTCTATACTTTTTTTTTTTTTTTTTTTTTTTTTTGAGACTGAGTCTCTCTGTCGCCCAGGCTGGAGTGCATGCAGTGGTGCAATCTCGGCTCACTGCAAGCTCCACCTCCCGGGTTCACACCATTCTCCTGCCTCAGCCTCCTGAGTAGCTGGGACTACAGACGCCCGCCACCATGCCTGGCTAATTTTTTCTATTTTTAGTAGAGAGGGTTTCACCGTGTTAGCCAGGATGGTCTCGATCTCCTGACCTCGTGATCCGCCCACCTCGGCCTCCCAAAGTGCTGGGATTACAGGCGTGAACCACTGTGCCCCGCCATTGTTTTCTATTAATAGTTTGTGATTTATATACTTTGCCCAGAGTCTAATTAGCCATATTTATATGATAATAATAAACATTTTGGCTACAGTCCTACCTAGATTTTTTTTTTTTTAGATGGAGTCTTGCTCTGTCGCCCAGGCTAGAGTGCAGTGGTGCGATCTTGGCTCACTGCAACTTCTGCCTCCCAGGTTCAAGCAACTCTGTTGCCTCAGCCTCCCAAGTAGCTGGGATTACAAGCGCACATGACCACGCCTGGCTAATTTTTGTATTTTTAGTGGAGACAGGGTTTCTCCATGTTGACCCAGCTGGTCTCGAACTCCTGAGCTCAGGTGATCCACCCGCCTCGGCTTCCTAAGGTGCTGGGATTACAGGTGTGAGCCACCACGTCCGGCCCTACCTGGAATTTTATATGGTAACTTTCCTGGGAAATGCTTATATGGACATTGTCCTTTTTAGTTCTCCTAGCATTCTTTTATTTGTTTATTTGAGACACACTTTCTTCCAGGCTAGACTACAGTGGTGATTGTAGTTCACTGTAGCCTTGAACTCAAGCTTTCCTCCTGCTTTAGCCTCCCAAGTAGCTGGATTACAGGTACAAACCACCACACTCAGCTTCTAGCGTTTTTGTTTTGTTTCGTTTTGTTTTTGAGATGGAGTTTTACTCTTGTTGCCCAGGCTGGAGTGCAGTGGTGCTATATCGGCTCACTGCAACCTCCTCCTCCTGGGTTCAAGTGATTCTCCTGCCTCAGCCTCCTGACTAGCTGGGATTATAGGCATGCACCACGATGCCCGGCACATTTTGTACTTTTAGTAGAGACAGGGTTTCTCCATATTGGTCAGGCTGGTCTCAAACTCCCGACCTCAGGTGATCTGCCCGCCTCGGCCTCCCAAAGTGCTGGCATTATAGGCATGAGCCACCGCGCCTGGCTGAATTTTTTTTCTTTTTTCTTTTTTTTTTAGAATAAGGATTTACTGAACTGAAATTCACTTCACGTAAATTTAGCCATCTTAAAATGAACAATTCAGTGGCATTTAAGTACATTCACAATGTTCTGCAACCTCTTTAGTTTCAAAACATTACCATCTCTGCAAAGTAAAACCCCTTACCAGTTAAGCAGTTTGTCCTTATTCTGCCCTTCCTCCAGCCCCTGATAACCATCAATCTGCATTCTGTCTCTGTGGATTGATTTATTCTGGATATTTCATGTAAATGGCATCATACAATATGTGATCTTTTGTGTCTGGCTTCTTTGACTTAGCGTAATGTTTTGGAGGTTTATTTATCTCCATTGGAATATTTATCAGTACTTCATACCTTTTCATGACTGAATAATATTCCATTGTGTGTATACATCACATTTGTTTATCCATTCATCCATTGAAGAACATTTGGGCTGTTTCTGCCTTCTGCTCTTGTGAATAGTGTTGCTTTGAACATGCATGTGCATTGGCTTATTTTCAGTTATTTTAGGAATATACCTAGGTAGGAATGGAATTGCAGGTCCTATGATAATATATTAATGATCTTCTGACATGTTAGAGATCAAAGCCAACATCTGCAGCTTCTCCAGAGTATGTGATTTCAGAGTTGTTGGCTGGGCTTAGATTGGGACTCAGAATCTCTTTCCTGTATGAAGAACTGAGTTCTAACATACTGGTTTTATTATTTGCATTTTACTGATGGGATAATTGAAGCACAGCATCTGCATGGTTTTAACTTCCTATCATCTTCAGAGCAAGTCAGTGATGGAATTAGGAATTTAAGACTCTTAATCATGTTCTTTGTCTAAGGTGACCCATATAAAGCCATGTTGCATTTACATGAAGCTATTTGAAATGGGCTTCCTATATTTTATAATCTCTTGGAGGGATATTGTTCAGGTGGTGTTAAGCAGATGTTCTCTTTCCATAGAGGACAGGACAAGAGGGAATGTGTTTTAATTGCAACATAAAGGATGTAGATTACATGTTAGAAAGAACTTCCTGACTACAAGATACTGAAATGTTGTTACCGAGGGATATTATGAAGTATCTTCTCCAAAGACTATCTTTCTGGGATCATTCAGGTGTGAGCTTGTTTAGAAATGAGGGAGGTGACAGAGATGACTTGCTGAGGTCCCTGATAACCCTGGGACATAATTGTTTGATGGTTAATCAAAGCAATATGTCTGGCTGGGCACAGTGACTCATGCCCATAATCCCAGGACTTTGGGAGTCTGAGGCGGGAGGATCTCTTGAGCCCAGGAGTTCGAGACCTGCCTTGGCAACATACGGAGACCCCGTCTACAAAACAACAGCAACACCAATGTCTCTGGCATTTTCATGAGTATATTTTCACTTTTCTCACAAAGCAGTAATCAATAGAGAGCAGGTGAATTGCTCAGGGTTCCTGGTAAAATACTAGATTAGTATTCTAAATCTTTTTGGATTTCACATCCATACTCAGGGATGTCTTCCTTATCTTAAATGACTCTTTTCTTAGCTGTGTAATCTACTGTTATGATTCTTCCTGAATCATAGTGATCAAAGCCAACATCTGCAGCTTCCATAGAGTGTGTGATTTGAGAGTTGACTGGGCTTAGATTGGGACCGGCAATCTCTTTCCTATAAAAATAGCTTTGGTCCCTGGTTATACATGAAGAAATGGGAACATGTTATTAATAATAGACCACGGCAATGGATTCTTAATTCTTTAGGCAAGAGCCAGTTTAAAATTGCTCAGGTGAGGGTGCACATGACATAGATGTATTTTTGGTTTGTGGTGCCTGGAAAAATAGAAGCCTGGCTGGGCACGGAGGCTCACGCCTATAATCCCAGCACTTTGGGATGCCGTGGCAGGCAGATCACGAGGTCAGGAGTTCGAGACCAGCCTGGCCAATATGGTGAAACCCCATCTCTACTAAAAATACAAAAATTAGTTGGGCGTGGTGGCGTGCACTTGTATTCCCAGCTGCTTGCGAGGCTGAGGCAGAAGAATTGCTTGAACCCAGGAGGCGGAGGTTGCAGTGAGCCGAGATCATACCATTGTACTCCAGCCTGGGTGACGGAGTGAGACTCTGTCTCAAAAAAAAAAAAAAAAAAAAAAGGAAAGAAAAAAACAAATTTCTGTTGTTTATAAGCTACCTAGTTTTTTTTTTTTTTAGACAGAGTTTTGCTCTTGTTGCCCAGGCTAGAGTGCAATGGTGCTCTCTCAGCTCACCACAACCTCCACCTTCCGGGTTCAAGCTATGCTCCTGCCTCAGACTCCTGAGTAGTTGGGATTACAGGCACGTGCCACCACGCTGGGATAATTTTGTGTTTTTAGTAGAGATGGGATTACACCATGTTGGTCAGGCCGATCTCGAACTCCTGACCTCAGGTGATACACCTGCCTCAGCCTCCCAAAGTGCCGGGATTACAGGTGTGAGCCATCATGCCTGAGTGGTTTTTGGTATTTTGTTAAAGCAGCCCAAAAGGACTAAGAGGGAGTTACTGATACCACTGGTACTTTTAATGAAGGATTTATTAGGTTTGTTTATGCTAGTTGAACTATGGGAGCATTTACTTGTTCACTTCTCTGCTGCCAAGAATATCTTCAGATATATTTATTGAGCTTTCTTGAATTGGCAACAACTATTAACACTGTAGATAAAGAGGAAGGAAACTAACTTTTGAATGTGAACCGTGTATAGGGAGTTTTACATTTATTCTTCCATGTAATATTTGTAACAAACCTGTAAAGGATGAGAGAAAGTGAAACATTGTTTGAAAAAGTGAAACATTGTTTTTTGTCAAAGGTTATACAGCTGGCAAATGGTAGAGCTGAGATGGAGAAAGCAGAGTCTTCAGTTTTAAACCAGTATTTTTCAAAGTATTCTTTGGAGGTGCCCAAGAGTTGGCCATGAGAGTAAGGATGAGCTTTAGTTCTCTCAACCTTGCTTAAGCCAGAGCAGCTCAACTTTGACCTGCTTTACATTTTGGTGTTTTCACATAAGATTTCCTTTAGAAAAAGGATTCTGCAAACTTTCGCAACCTACTCATCTGACAAAGGGCTAATATCCAGAATCTACAATGAACTCAAACAAATTTACAAGAAAAAAACAAACAACCCCATCAAAAAGTGGGCGAAGGACATGAACAGACACTTCTGAAAAGAAGACATTTATGCAGCCAAAAAACACATGAAAAAATGCTCATCATCACTGGCCATCAGAGGAATGCAAATCAAAACCACAATGAGATACCATCTCACACCAGTTAGAATGGCAATCATTAAAAAGTCAGGAAACAACAGGTGCTGGAGAGGATGTGGAGAAATAGGAACACTTTTACACTGTTGGTGGGACTGTAAACTAGTTCAACCATTGTGGAAGTCAGTGTGGCGATTCCTCAGGGATCTAGAACTAGAAATACCATTTCACCCAGCCATCCTATTACTGGGTATATACCCAAAGGACTATAAATCATGCTGCTATAAAGACACATGCACATGTATGTTTATTGCGGCACTATTCACAATAGCAAAGACTTGGAACCAACCCAAATGTCCAACAATGATAGACTGGATTAAGAAAATGTGGCACATATACACCACGGAATACTATGCAGCCATAAAAAATGATGAGTTCATGTCCTTTGTAGGGACATGGATGAAATTGGAAATCATCATTCTCAGTAAACTATCGCAAGAACAAAAAACCAAACACCGCATATTCTCACTCATAGGTGGGAATTGAACAATGAGATCACATGGACACAGGAAGGGGAATATCACACTCTGGGGACTGTGGTGGGGTGGGGGGAGGGGGAGGGATAGCATTGGGAGGTATACCTAATGCTAGATGATGAGTTAGTGGGTGCAGCGCACCAGCATGGCACATGTATACATATGTAACTAACCTGCACAATATGCACATGTACCCTAAAACTTAAAGTATAATAAAAAAAAAAAAAAAGAAAAAGGATTCTGCTTCTTTAAAAAGAGAAACCCTGGAAGACCACTCATTTGAGGAATCATAAAAGAAAATTAGCTAAACCAATCTAAAGATTGAAAAGATGGCTAAATTACATAACTGCCAGTCTGGAAATTATGTCAAAGTTTGAAGTGACTTGATAACACAGCCACATGTGCAGTGCAGTTATTCTGCCCTTAGGGAGTGTGGTACAGCAGGAAAAATGCATGGACTGAGTTTTTTTTTTTTTGTTTTGTTTTTCTGAGACAGAGTCTCACTCTGTCGCCCAGGCTGGAGTGTAGTGGCTTGATCTCGGCTCACTGCAACCTCTGCCCTCCGGGTTCCAGCGATTCTCTGCCTCAGCCTCCTGAGTAGCTGGGATTACAGGTGCGTGCCACCACACCTGGCTAATTTTTGTATTTTGAGTAGAGACAGAGTTTCACCATGTTGGCGAGGCTGGTCTTGAACTCCTGACCTCAGGTGATCAGCCCACCTCAGTCTCCCAAAGTGCTAGGATTACAGGCATGAGCCACCATGCCTGGCCAGAATCCTTTTTTTTTTTTTTGAGACAGAGTTTTGCTCTTGTTGCCCAGGCTAGAGTGCAATGGCGCGATCTTGGCTCAGTCCAACCTCCACCTCCCAGGTTCAAGCGATTCGCCTGCCTCAGCCTCCTGCAGCCTCCCGAGTAGCTGGGATTACAGGCGTCCACCACCACACCCGGCTAATTTTTTTTATTTTTAGTAGAGACGGAGTTTCACCAGGTTGGGCAGGCTGGTCTTGAACTCCTGATCTCAGGTGATCCACTTCAGCCTCCCAAAGTGCTGTGATTACAGGCGTGAGCCACCATACCCAGCTCAGAATACTTATTTTTAAATCTGGTGACCACAAATGTACAGTGGGGGGATGATAACACCTACCTTTCAAGAGTTGTTGTAAGGATCAGAAATAACATGTAAAGTGCCTGGTTCAGAGTAAACACCCCAAAATACTAGCTGATTGTCAAGATGATGATGATAATGCTGACAATTTTTCAGTGGGTATTGACAGTTCCCTCCAATGCCTAAGAGCTTCTGCCATATCAAAGATAGGCAGTTCTTTACCTACTGTATGCACCTCATGGTGGGTGCTTAGTGTGCTCGTTTTTGATGAAGTTCGTTTTTAAACTGCTATGATTATTTACTCATGGATGTATCTATGATTGATTAAATGAGAAAACTTGGACTTCATTAAATTTATTGTTACTGGATTTAAAGCAGCAGCAGTGCAAAGAAACCCTATACAGTGAGTTAAGAGCCCTGGGTTTATGTCTAGAGATGCCCTTAGTGAGTCTTATAACAATGGACAAGTGAATCTAACTTTTTTTTTTTGAGATGGAATCTCGCTCTATCACCAGGCTGGAGTGCAGTTGCACGATCTCTGCTCCCTGCAACCTCCGCCTCCCGGGTTTAAGCGATTCTCCTGCCTTAGCCTCCCGAGTAGCTGGGATTACAGGCTGGCGCCACCACGCCCAGCAAATTTTTGTATTTTCGGTAGAGACGGCATTTCATCATGTTGGCCAGGATGGTCTCGATCTCTTGACCTTGTGATCCACCCACCTCGGCCTCGCAAAGTCCTGGGATTATAGGCGTGAGCTACCACGCCTGGCTGTGAATCTAACTTTTTAAGATATTGATTGATTGGGCAGGGCGCAGTGGCTTAAGCCTGTAATCTCAGCACTTTGGGAGGCTGAGGCAGGCGGATCACGAGGTCAGGAGTTCAAGACCAGCCTGACCAACATGGTGAAACCCTGTCTCTACTAAAAACACAAAAATTAGCTGGGCGTGGTGGTGCGCTCCTGTAGTCCCAGCTACTCAGGAGGCTGAGGCAGGAGAATCTCTTGAACCTGGGAGGTGGAGGTTGCATTGAGCTGAGATCACGCCACTGCACTCCAGCCTGGGGCGACAGAGGGACACTTTGTCTCAAAAAAAAAAAAAAAAAAAGATTGATTGATTGAGACACGGACTCATTCTGTCACCTAGGCTAGAGTGCAGTGACACAAACCATGGCTTACTGCAGCCTTGACCTTCCAGGCTAAAGTGGTCTTCCTGCCTCAGCCTCCTGAGTAGCTGGGACTACAGGTATGTGCCACCATGGCTGGCTAATTTTTGTATTTTTTGTAGAGATGGGGTTTTGCCAGATTGCCCAGGCTGGTCTCGGACTTTAGGGCTCAAACACTCCTTCTGCTTTGCCTCCCAAACCACTGGGATTACAGAAGTGAACCACTGTAATATGGCTACTTTTCAAGATTTTATGTTCAAAATGATCCCTAAGTCACTTTTAACTCTGTATATCCATGATTTGACAAAAAAGTTAAAGATACTTTATTTTCATTGCTAGAATTTCTAAAAATTACAGGGTTATTTTTGGAGAAGGAGCTTTGTGCTGACTTGAGCTGGCAAACTTCTGTCATACTTACTGAGTGATTTGTATAGAAGAACACTGGGGACCTTTTGCCCAGGCATAAGAATTGGTATTTGTCATTTATAGAATATCAGCGGAATTGAAGCCAGAACCATTGTAAGGAGGCAAATGTGAGAGATTATCTGTTGCTTTTGGGAAGATAGCTGGAGTTTTCAAACCATGCCACTTTGTACTTCCTTGAGGGTAACACTTGCCACATTTCAGTACAGTGGTTATGGTTACAGTATATTGCAGTTGTAGTCTCCCCACAAGCTCTCAGAGGTTAGAGGCCTTTTTTGTTCATTTATTTTTTTTCCAGTTCTCTATCCCTTTCTTGGAGTAGGGCTTGCTGCATCGTGTAGTCTTCCAAAAGTATGCTAAATGGACAAAAATAGTTGAACCAAGATCAGCAGATGTATTTAGAAAATGACTTGTGCCTACATGCTTGTTAACTGTCTTGAATTTTTTCTGTTGTCATGTGTTAATATAGAAAAACCTGATAAAGGGAAAAAACCCAGTGTTGTATCATTAACCTACAGTTTATCTCTTACTGGCTTAAAAAAAAATATTAACAGCAATCAAATTACTGTTCAATGGGGGGGCAAGTAACATCACGTTGAGCTAGGGTTTTGTCTGTAAAATGGGAGTGGAGTGGGAGGAGACTTTAGAGATGGGGTATATAAGGCATTGGCACTTAATAGTGGTCATACCTCGTATTACAAATGAATGTTTTTAAAATGATCAGCAATATACTTCACATTTCTACCTGAAGAAGGAATGTAATTTTGGAGAAGCTTATACATGGGAGAATTATCTCCACTTGTCATTTTCTGCTGAAAAGATATAATTTCGTACTTCTCCCTCTGGGCCCACAGGATAGTTCCATGGAGGAGACTTAGAGTGGGGATGGGCTCCTAGAGTAGCTGCAGAAGACCTTGCTTTTTTTTTTTTTTTTTTTTTTTTTTTGAGACATGGTCTCACTGTGTTGCCCAGGCTGGAGTTCAATGGTGCGATCTCTGCTCACTGCAACCTCTGGCTCCCAGGTTCAAGCGATTCTTCTGCCTCAGCCTCCCAAGTAGCTGGGATTACAGGCATGCACCACCATGCCCAGCTATTTTTTTATATTTTTAGTAGCGACAGGATTTCACCATGTTGGCCAGGCTGGTCTTGAACTCCTGACCTCAGGTGATCCCCTGCTTTGGCCTCCCAAAGTGCTGGGATTACAGGCGTGAGCCACCGTGCCTGGCCTTTATTATTTATTTATTTTGAGACGAAGTCTCACTCTGTCACCCAGGCTGGAGTGCAGTGGTGCGATCTTGGCTCACTGCAACCTCCGCCTTCTGGGTTCAAGTGATTCTCCTGCCTCAGCCTCCTGAGTAGCTGGGATTACCTGTGCATACCAACACACCTGGCTAATTTTGTATTTTTAGTAGAGATGGGATTTCTCTCATGACCAGCCATGTTGGCTGGTCATTTCTCAACATGACTAGCCATGTTGGCCAGGCTGGTCTCGAACTGCTGACCTCAAGTGATACACCCACCTTAGCCTCCCAAAGTGCCGGGATTACAAATATCCATGAGCCACTATGCTCAGGCAGACCTTGCATTTTTGCAGATCTCTTTGGAATGCTATTTCTATAGTACACAGACTCTACTCTCACTGAATATGGCTAACTCAGCTATCCTACATTAGCATGGTAAACATCTGCTAGGTTTGCCCCAGTCAGAAAGTATTCTGTACCTGCCATCTTGCTTGGCACTTTATATATATATATATATATATATATTTTTTTTTTTTTAATCTCTCAGTGATATAGTGATAATAGGTGAAAAAGGTAGGCTGCAGGGTAATGTGTGTTATATATGATCCCATTTTGGTACAGGAAACAAAAACTATTATATGCATACATGTTTGTATGAACTATGAGTTTATAAGGTTATCTCAAGAGGGTAGGGTTGGAGGGTTACTTTTTTTTTTTTTTTTTTTGAGATTCCCTCTTGTCGCCCAGGCTAGAGTGTGGTATATATAATCCCATTTTGATTCAGGAAGCAAAACCTATTATATGCATACATGTTTGTATGAAGTATGAGTTTATAAGGTTATCTCAAGAAGGTAGGGTCGGCTGGGCATGGTGGCTCACAACTATAATCCTAGCACTTTGGGAGGCCAAGGCAGGTGGATCGCCTGAGGTTAAGAGTTCAAGACCAGCCTGGCCAACATGGCAAAACCCTGTCTCTACTAAAAATACAAAAATTAGCTGGTCTTGGTCGCACATGCCTGTAGTCTCAGCAACTTGGGAGACTGAGGCAGGAGAATCGATTGAACCTGGGAGGCGGAGGTTGCAGTGAGCTGAGATGGCGCCACTGCTCTCCAGCCTGGGCAACAGAACAAGACTGTCTCAAAAAAAAAAAAAAAAAAAAAAAGGTAGGGTTGAGGGTTCCTTTTTTTTTTTTTGAGATGGAGTTTTGCTCTTGTTGCCCAAGCTGGAGTGCAATGGTGAGGTCTCGGCTCACTGCAATCTCTGCCTCCCAGGTTGAAGCGATTCTCTTGCCTCAGCCTCCTGAGTAGCTGGGATTACAGGCATGTGCCACCACGCCCGGCTTATTTTATATCTTTTTAGTAGAGATGGGGTGTCTCTGTTGGTCAGGCTGGTCTCAAACTCCTGACCTCAGGTGATCCACCCACCTTGGCCTCCCAAAGTGGTGGGATTACAGGCATGAGCTGTTGCACCTGGCCACTTTTTTTTTGTTTTTTGTTTTTTGTTTTTTGTTTTTGAGTTTCTCTCTTGTCACCCAAGCTGGAGTGCAATGGCATGATCTCAGCTCACTGCAACCTCTGCCTCCTGGGTTCAAGCAATTCTTCTCCCTCAGCCTTCTGAGTAGCTGGAATTACAGGCGCCTGCCACCACTCCCGGCTAATTTTTGTATTTTTAGTAGAGACGGGGTTTCACCACGTTGGCCAGGCTGGTCTTGCACTCTTGACCTCAGGAGATCTTCCTGCCTCGGCCACCCAGAGTGCTGGGATTACAGGTGTGTGCCACTGCGGCATCCAGCTGGATTTTATTTTATTTTATTTTTTTAAGACAGAGTCTCACTCTGTCTCCCAGGCTGGAGTGCAGCGGCAGGATCTCAGCTTACTGCAACCTCCACCTCCAGGGCTCAAGTGATTCTTGTGCCTCAGCCTGCCAAGTATCTGGAATTACAGGCATGTGCCACCACACCTGGGTAATTTTTGTATTTTTAGTAGAGATGGGGTTTCACCAGGTTGGCCAGGCTGGTTTCAGACCCCTGATGTCAAGTGATCCGCCTGCCTCGGCCTCTCAAATGCTGGGATTACAGGTGTGAGCCACCGCGCCCAGCCCCAGCTAGGTTTTTCAAGTATAGTTTGGCACACGGCAGGCTAGGGAATGGGTGCTGCTGATTGGTTTGGGGTTGCAATCATAGGCACATGTGAAATGGTCCTTATGTACTGAGTCTGCTTCTGGCTAGGGGCTACAGAGGAATCGCTGGTTGGGGTGGGGTCATCTTGTCATCAGAAGTGCAAAAGTCTGAAAAGACATCTTAAAAGGCTGGGCACGGTGGCTCACGCCTGTAATCCCAGCACTTTGGGAGGCTGAGGCGGGCGAATCACTTGAGGCCAGGAGTTCGAGACCGGCTTGGCCAACATGGCGAAACCCCATCTCTACTAAAAATATGAAAATTAATGTGGTGGTGCCTGCATGTACTCCCAGCTATTTGAAAGGTTGAGCCAGAGGACTGCTTGAACTCGGGTGGTGGAGAATGCATTGAGCCAAGATGGCGCCACTGCACTCCCACCTGGGAGACAGAGCAAGACTCTGTCTCAAAAAATAAATAAGGCCGTGCTTGGTGGCTCATGCCTGTAATCCCAGCACTTTGGGAGGCTGAGGTGGGTGGATCTCCAGAGGTCAGGAGTTCGAGACCAGTCTGGCCAAAATGGTGAAACCACGTTTCTACTAAAAATACAAAAATTAACTGGGTGTTGTGGTGTGCACCTGTAATTCCAGCTGCTCGGGAGGCTGAGGCATGAGAATAGCTTGAATCCGGAAAGCGGAGGCTGCAGTAAGTCGAGATGGGACCACTGCACTCCAGTCTGGGCTACAGAGCAAGACTCTGTCTCAAACAAACAAACAAACAAACAAACACTACTTAATATGCTTACATTTTTATTTATTTTAATTTTATTTATTTTCTTGAGACAGGGCTCACTCTGTTGCCCATGCCAGAGTGCAGTGGTGCGATCTCTGATCACTGCACCCTCCGCCTCCTGGGTTCATATTCTTACATTTTAGCAGAGTTCAGGCCCCTCTCATAATCCTAAACTTGGGGCCTTTTATTAGTTTTACAATGGCGGTTTAGTTTTAAGAAGGGCTATTATCATTTAAACTGTAAACTAAATTTCTCCCAAAGTTAGCTTGTCCTACGCACAGGAATGACCAAGGGCAGTTAAAGGCAAGATGGATTGGTTAGGTCAGATCTTTTTCACTGTCATGCTTTTCTTACTGTTACAATTTTTGCAAAGGGAGTTTCACAGTGGATAAAGTTGCAATGAAGCTTTGCCCAGAAGATCCAGGGAGAATGCCTTCAGGGGTTAGGTAGCTCAATCCTCACCCCCCGGGTCCCGTCTGTAATCTTTCAACCATTAATGTCTCTCTTTGTCATTTTAAGAATGTTGTATAAATGGAATTATATAGAATGTAACCATTTGGATTGGCCTTTTTCACTCAGCATAATTCTCTTGAGATTCATCCAAGTTATATTATCAATAGCTCCACTCTTTTTTTTTTTTCTTGAGATGTAGTCTCGCTGTGTCACCCAGGCTGGAGTGCCGTGGCTCAATCTCGGCTCACTGCAACCTCTGCCTCCTGGGTTCAAGCGATTCTCCTGCCTCAGCCGCCCCGGTAGCTGGGACTACAGGTGCCCGCCACCATGGCCAGCTAGTTTTTGTATTTTTAGTAGAGACGGGTTTCACCGTGTTGGGCAGACCAGTCTCGAACTCCTGACCTCAGGTGATCCACCCTCCTCAGCCTCCCAGAGTGCTGGGATTAAAGGTGTGAGCTAGCGCCCTGACCAATTCCACTCTTTTTAATTGCTACACAGTATTTCATGGTTTGGATGTACTGTAGTTTGTTTAATCCTTTACCCATTGAAAGACATCTGGCTGGGCATGGTGGCTCACACCTGTGTTCCCAGCACTTTGGGAGGCTGAGGCTGGCAGATTGCTTTGAGACCAGCCTGGGCAATCTGTCTTTACGAAAAATACAAAAAAAATTAGCCGATGTGATGGCACACACCTGTGGGCGCAGCTACTTGGGTGGCTGAGGTGGGAGGATCACTTGAGCCTGGGAGGTGGAGGGTGCAGTGAGCAAAGATTGGTCATGCTACCCACTCCAGCCTGGGCGACAGAGGGAGACCCCTTCTGAAAAAAAAAATCTGAATTTTTATAAATTTTTTGGCTACTATGAATAAAACTGCTGTTAACATTTTTATACACGTTTTTTTTTGAGACATGATCTGGCTCTGAGCCCAGGTTGGAGTATGGTGGCGTGATCTCAGTTCATTGCAACCTCCGCCTCTCAGGCTGAAGTGATCCTGCCACCTCTGCCTCCTAAGTAACTGGGACCGCAGGTACATGCCACCACACCCGGCTAATTTTTTTGGTTTATGTAGAGACAGGGTTTTGCCATGTTGCCCAGGCTGGTCTTGAACTCTTGGGCTCAAGCAATCTGCCCACCTCACCTTCCCAAAGTGCTGGGATTATAGGTGTGAGCCACTGCACCCAGCTGATAACAAGTTTTTGTCTGAACATAAGTTATCATTTTTCTGGATAAATGCCCAAGCATGCAGTTGCTGATTCATGTGATGTATATTGATTTTTTTAATTTAAAAAAAAAGGAAAACAGAAGTAAAATGACAAATTATGTGGTTCTTTTTCCTTTTCGTTTTTTTTTTAGAGGGAATTTTTCTCTGTCTCCCAGGCTTGGAGTGCAATGGCATAATCTCGGCTCATTGCAACCTTCGCCTCCTGGGCTCAAGTGATTTCTCCCACCTCAGCCTCCTGAGTAACTGGAACTACAGGCGAATGCCACCATGCCCAGCTAATTTTTATATTTTTTTGTAGAGATGAGGTTTTGCCATGATGCCCAGGCTGGTCTCGAACCTTGGACTCAAGTGATCTTCAAGCCTTGGCCTCCTAAAGTGGTGGGATTACAGGCATGAGCCTTTGCACCTGGCCATGATTTATTTGTAGAGTACTCACACTCTACATTCTTGGTGCACATAACTTATTTACCGTGATTTCTGGTGCTTTGCTGTAGATATCGAAGAAATAATAATGTATAGTTTTCCTTGTCTCATCTGATGATCTGTGTATATATTACAAATACTAATTAATATTCATAGCCCACTAGGAGGCAAATAATAGTTAACCTCCAGTGAGGTTCGCTCCTTCTTTAGATAGATAGGTTGAGGCATGGATATTATAGAATTTGTCCAAGGTTATAGCATGAGTCACTGTGTTCTGACTCAGATTCATTCAGATTTACTAATTCTTTCTCCCTCTCCTCATCTCTTGAATCAGCTCTTTCTAATTATGACTTTCTAGGTGTGAGGACATGAAGAGAGCTTTTTTTTTTCTTTTTCTGTATTTTATAGAAGCAGTATTGTATAATGGTTAGAGCACTATACAATACTGCTCATTTGGCAACAGATTTGATTTTGAATCTCTCCTTCACTTAGGTAAATCATTTAGCCTCTTTATGCCTGGTTTTCTGATCTGTGAAATGGGAATAACAGTACCCATCTTCATAGTATCATTGTGAGGAAAAAGTGAGATAAAGTGTTTAGCACTACCAAGTGTGTAGCAAATGTTCAATGAATATTAGATAATATGTTGCTTTAAGTGTATATATATGTGTTATATTCTATCACTTGTCTTTATCAGTTCATATGTAATTGGATACATACTGGGATTTCTCTTTTTTTTTTTTTTAATACTGGGATTTTTCTGCCATGTACTTAAGAAGGCTTTAAGATTGCTCTTACGTTTTTTTTTTTTTTTTTTTTGAGACGGAGTTTTGCTCTTGTTGCCCAGAGTGGAGTGCAATGGCGCCATCTCGGCTCACTGCAACCTCTGCCTCCTGGGTTGAAGCGATTCTCCTGCCTCAGCCTCCCAAGTAGTTGGGATTACAGGCATGCGCCACCATGCCTGGCTAATTTTGTATTTTTAGTAGAGACGGGGTTTCTCCATGTTGGTCAGGCTGGTCTCAAACTCCTGACTTCAGGTGATCCACACACCCCAGCCTCCCAAAGTGCTGAGATTACAGATGTGAGCCACCACGCCTGGCCTTTTTTTTTTTTTTTTTTTTGAGACAGTCTCGCTTTGTTGCCAGACTAGCCTGGAGTACAGTGGTGTGATCTTGGCTCACTGCAACTACCGTCTCCTAGGTTCAAGTGAATTCTCCTGTCTCGGCCTCCCGAGTTGCTGGGATTACAGGTGTGCACCACTATACCCAGCTAATTTTCATATTTTTAGTAGAGACGGGGTTTCACTACATTGGCCAGGCTGGTCTCAAACTCCTGACTTCAAGTGATCTGGCCGCCTCTGTTTCCTAAAGTTCTGGAATTACAGGCATGAGCCACTGCACCTGGCTGATGGTTTCTTTTAAAGAAATGAGGTTTCTCATCAGGGTGCCGTGTGGCTCATGCCTGTAATCCCAGCACTTTGGGAGGCTGAGGTGGGAGGATTCCTTGAGCCCAGGAGTTTGAGAACAGCCTGGGCACATAGTGAAACCTTGTCTCTACAAAAAATAAAGAAAATTACTGGGGCGTAGTTATATACACCTGTAGTCCCAGCTTCTGGGGAGGCCGAGATGGGAAGATCACTTACTCCTGGGAAGTCAAGTCTGCAGTTCAGTTGAGATCCTGCCACTACACTTCAGCCTGGTTGACAAAAACAAACAAAAAAAAGAGATGAGGTCTATGTTCTCTATGTTGCAGGCTGGTCTTGAACTCCTGGCCTCAAGCAGTTCTCCTCCATTAGCCTCCTGAGTTAGCTGGGTTACAGGTGTGATCTACCTTGCTTGACTCTCAAATGTTATGTATAATTATTTAAGAATAGGAAGCAGGCCAGGCACGGTAGTTTCAGCACATTGGGATGGCAAGGCAGGCAGATCACCTGAGGTCAGGAGTTTGAGACCAGCTTGGCTAACATGGTGAAACCCTGTTTCCACTAAAAATATAAAAAATTAGGTGTGGTGGCATGTGCCTGTAATCCCAGCTACTCAGGAGGCTGAGGTAGAAGAATCGCTTGAACCTGGGAGGCGGAGATTGCAGTGAGTCGAGATCATGCCATTGCACTCCAGCGTGGGCAACAAGAGTGAAACTCCTTCTCAAAAAAAAAAAAAAGAACCAATGTTGCATTATATTTATTATACTATTAATTTATAGGAAAAATTTAAGTTTCTCTTGAATTCATATTTTCTCAGGCTCATATTCATAGAAAAATAGAAAGTGATCCTAAACTATTGATTTATCCCTTTAATCTGCTCCCCCACCCGCAAACATAACACATATAGTAGAACCCTTCTCAATAAGTGTCTCCACTATCCACTTGGGACTTAGGCCCAAAACTTAGGAATCACTCTTCATTTCTCTCTCACACCTCAAATACAATGCATCTGTAATTCCCTTAGCTGTTTCTCCAAAATATATTCTGAGTATGACTATTCATCTCTTATATTGCTATAACCCTGGCCCAAATTCCCATCATCTTGTCATTTCCTTAGCTAAAATCCTCTAATAGTAACCCATTACACTTAATAAAATCCAAATTTTATCATGGTCTGCTAGTACCAACCTGTCTTTATTCTCTTCCTTGTTAGTGGTGCTCCAGCCATGTTGGCCTTATTTCCGGCCTTCACATGCGCTAAGCTTACCTGTTAGGGACCTTAGTACTTGGTACTCCTCATCCTCCTTGAAATATTTTTTTCACCTGCCTCTTTTCTCAAGGTTTCTATTTCAAGATGCCAGTCTTAACTCAAATGTCATCTCAGAGAGGCTTTCTCTGGCCACCCCAGGTAAAAGGGTGTGTTGTTTTCTTTCACCTGCCATATTTTCTTTCTAGCCTTTTTCAGTACTTGAAAGTATTGTTAATATTTAATTATATAAAAATCACATAAGCTTTTGGGGGGCAAGAATGTTCTTCTTTACTATAGTATCCTCAGTGCCTAGAACAGTGCCAACATAATACCTGCTTAATCAATGCTTGTTGGTTATTTATCAGTGCTTTTACATCCTTCCCCATCTTTAAGTGTTCTTTATTTGGAAAGTTGGGGAAATGGAATCCAGCTTCTACTCAGATTTAAATAACTAGGTTCTTAAATCTAATGCCTTCTTTTGATTGGCTAAGAAATGTGATTGGCATGGTAGGGTGGCATGTCGGCCTTTTAGCATAAGAACTCTGTGTTTAATAATTTGACTTCTTTTCTTGAAGCCTCGAGGGAAATTTTTTCTTTCCCTATTTTAGTCAGCCAAGAACCTGACCTGGGCTGACTATAAGATTGGAAAACACTGAACACAGTATCTACTAAGCCAAGCAAGGACTGGGAGTGTAGCTCTGGTACTATCTGAAGGAAAAGCCTGAATTCAAATCCTGCTTTGGCTCCAGACTCATCTGTGAATCTAGATGAATTTCTTAACCTCTTCCAGGTTTTGTTTTTCTTATTTGTCTGATGAGTAATCACATCTGTCCTAGGACTTGTGAAGATTCCTGGGTTAATGTTCTCAAAGCTTTTTTTTTTTTCTGACAATATTCTTTCCTTTTTTTTTTGAGATGGAGTCTCACTTTGTTACCTAGGCTGGAGTGCAATGGCATGATCTCGGCTCACTGCAACTTCCACCTCCTAGGTTCAAGCGATTCTCCTGCCTCAGCCTTCCGAGTAGCTGGGATTACAGGCGCGTGACACCACGCCCAGCTAATTTTTGTATTTTTAGTAGAGACAGGGTTTCACCGTGTTGGCCAGGCTAGTCTCGAACTCCTGACCTCAGGTGATCCACCTGCCTTGGCCTCTTAAAGTGCTGGGATTACAGGTGTGAGCTACTGCGCCTGGCCCAACAATATTCTTGCTGTAGCTCCAGGGGTTTCCAGGAAGAATTGGGGGCAATGTGGTGCTCCCAGGAAGGAGTTGGATTCTTTCTCAAAGACTATGCAGAGAATAGAAAGATGTGATCCTTTATGATTTGAAATCGGCCCTACTCCAGCCTCCTGATATTGTTGGTGGATGAAAGGTATATTGTTGCCAAAGTCATTAGGTCTGTTTGAGGCAGCTGGTTTCAGTTTCCGTTTCTGGGGTTAAGCTGTTTTGCCTCTGAAATTTCTTCCATCAGAAGCTACTCTTTTTTTGTTGCTTGCTAATAGGAAATCTTTTGCCATTTCTGTACATTTAAGAGTAGCCTTCTTGGTCTTCTTGATTCTTTTGATAGCTTGAAACCAAAAAATTGAGCTTCAGTTTCTTCTTGGTTTAGTGCTTTCCTCCTTGTTCTTCCTTCCGTTTTTAGGAGTTCTTGTGTTCTCAGCACACTGTTTTCTCCAGAATAATTTGCAGATAAAACTTCCGTTTCTTTTTTCTTCATCCTTCTGAGGTAAGTGGGAGTAAGGAAAATTGTCAGTCTCAAATTTGGGTCTTATTGCTTTCTATTTCCGGTTTTGATCACACTTTGTTTTGAGCACAAGCTTTCCCGTGTTTCAGACATTAGGCAGCATCATTGTGAGTTACTTTAGAAAGCTCTAGTAAGCAAAATCTGTAGCAGGAAAGCTGGTGCTTCACTTCTCCCCCCTTATTATAGTTACAGTAATTAGAATTTACTCAGTTTTGTATCTTCAAAACATTTTGTAAAATTGTTAGCCCATTTGTGATATATCCTATACAGAGGTCGGTCTTATTTTGAGTTTATATATAAAAAACTAATGCTGCTGCCTGTGTGCAGTAGAGGTGCAGGTTCTGTCTGTTGACAGTTTATTTCTGGGATTTTGGCTTCTTATAAAGAAAGGGACTGTGTATAATTTTAATTGATTGATCTTAGTTCTGTTGAATTATTTGTTTTCAATTTGTCAGGTGGTTAATTAGAGATAATGTAATCTGTGGCTTTTTATAATCACTGTAGTTTCCTTTGCAATCTTTCTCTTAGAACTGTAGGTGCGAGACTTCTTTGTGTGAACTTCTGTTTATCACATACTCTGGTTATTGTTCTATCTTGAGTTTTACTTTGAAAAGTAATAATCTTGTCTTGAAATTTTATAACCCATTTCCCCTAAGATTCTCCAAGGATTTTATTCCTTTAAGATAGAAGGAAGGTATTATTACTTTCAGTTTACATATTGGAGGAAAACTTGAAATTCAGCGAGGATATGATTTGTCCAAGATTATATAACAAGCCAGCGATAAAAATCAGTTATTAAAGCTTCTTACCTCTTAGTCTTATCTTTATTTATTAAATCACTGATTCTTGTTATAAACTTGACTGATACTCCTATATCCCCAGATTGCAGGATCAGCTTTCTTAGGGAGTAAATTAGGATGAAGGTTTTGTATTTAGTATTCTCAAGCTCGAAAGGTGTAATATCCCATATTCTCATCTCTGCTATCAGAATATCCACTGTCTCTGTACTTTGTTCTTAATATTCTGTGTTTCAAATAGGAGGATTAAAAAAATTTTACTGCCATTTTTGAGGTTATTTTTCTTTCTTCTTCCCTACTTATAGTTGAGGTAGTGATGGATTAGTCCTTTGCTTACTCTCTTGCCTGGCCCTCTCGTGATCAATGACATGTGCGTAATGAAATGACTGGCTGAAATTAGGTTGGTAATGGTGCAAAGCCTTGTCTTTACTTTTCTTTTCTTTCTTTTTTTTTTTGAGACAGGGTCTCACTCTGTCATCCAGGCGGAGTACAGTGGCGTGATCTCGGCTCACTGCAACCTCTGCCTCCCGAGTTCAAGCAATTCTCCCACCTCAGTCTCCCGAGTAGCTGGGATTACAGGGGCGTGCCACCACGCCCATCTAATTTTTGCATTTTTAGTAGAGACGGGGTTTCACCATGTTGGCCAGGCTGGTCTCGAACTCCTGACCTCAGGTGATCCACCCGACTCAGCCTCCCAAAGTGCTGGATTACAGGAGTGAGCCACTGCACCCGGCTTAGGTTTTTCTTTTTAAGGTATTTGACTTGTAGAAATTGAATTTATGACTTTGAACTCATAACCACCACACTTTTTAAAACTCTAGATGTTGCTGTTTATGATAGTTTTGGGTTCATTTGGGATCTTTTCACAACTCTGAATATAAGTAAATACACATACTCATGCTCTTCTACGCTAGACATTGTGCTAGGTACTGGGACTATGACAGACATGTTTTTTGCCCTCACAGAGTTTATAATCTACTTAGGAAGAACGAGTCCTAAGAAAGGATCACCAGTGTGATAAAATAAATTTATTTTGAGATATCTTTGGTTACCTAAATTTATTAATTTCCATATTTTCAGAAAAACTTCTTGTTAGAGTATTGAGCAGATAGTGGGTTTTCTGTAGAAAATTCTTGATATTTGTCAGCTAGATATTAGTAGATACTAGGTAGGTAGTGGTTTTTTTTTTTTTTTTTTTTTTTTTTGAGAGGGAGTCTGGCTGTGTCGCCCAGGCTGGATTGCAGTAGTGGGATCTCAGCTCATTGCAACCTCCACCTCCCGGGTTCAAGCGATTCTCCTACCTCAGCCTCCTGAGTAGCTGGGATTACAGGCATGTGCCACCATGCCCAGCTAATTTTGGTATTTTTAGTAGAGCTGGGGTTTCACTGTTTTGATCAGGCTGGTCTCGCACTCCTGACCTCGTGATCTGCCTGCCTCGGCCTCCCAAAGTGCTGGGATTACAGGTGTGAGCGACTGCGCCCGGTGATATTAGGTTAGTAGTGTTTTAGTTATCTATTGATGTACAAAAACCACCACAAAATTGGTGGCTTAAAACAATAAAGATTTATTTTGTCTCATAATTACTCAGGTTAGGAATTTGGGCAGGACTTGTCTGGATGGTCCTTCTCCCCTGTGTAACATCAGTTGTGCTTTGTGCGTCTGCTTTCAGCTGGTGGTTGGGCTAGGTTAGAAGGTCTAAGAAGGTTTCACTCATTTGCTTGGTATCTTGATAGTCTTCCACGTGGCTTCTCTCTCTCCACATGGTATCTTATCATGCAGGTCCTCTCTGAGTCTTGCTCAGTCGCCCAGGCTGGAGTGTAGTGGCACAAGCTGGGCTTACTGCAACCCCCACCTCCTGGGTTCAAGTGATTCTCTTGCCTCGGCCTCTCCAGTAGCTGTTAGTACAGGCATGCATCACCATGCCGGGCTATGTTTGTTTGTTTTTTGAGTCAGGGCCTTGCTCTGTCACCCAGGCTGGAGTGTGGTGGCATGATCAGGGCTCACTGCAGCCTCGACCTCCTGGGCTCAGGCTATCCTCCCACCTCAGCCTTCCGAGTAGCTGGAACCACAGGCACATGCCACCATGCCTAGCTAATTTTAAACAATTTTTGTAGAGACAGGGGTCTCACTATGTTGACCAGGCTGATCTTGAATTCCTGGACTCAAACAATCCTCCCACCTCAACCTCCCAGGGCAGGGATTACAGGTGTGAGCCACTGTGCCTGGCTGGTTTTATTTTTTGTTTTTAAAAAGGTGACAGTGGTAAGATCTTTTATATGAAATGGTTTGGAGACCTCTACAGTGGACGGTCTCATTTTGCCTAGAAGAATTTGTTTTAAATTTAATTTGTCTGACTGTTTACAGGGCTTTGTGGCCTAAACTTTTTATTTTTAGAAATTAAATATTGTGTGTTCTTATTACCATTTTCTTTCTTTCTTTTTTTTTTTTTTTTTGAGATGGAGTCTCACTCTCTCCCCCAGGCTGGAGTGCAGTGGCGTGATCTCGGCTCACTGCAACCTCTGTGTCCCAGGTTTAAGTGATTCTCCTGCCTCAGCCTCCTGAGTAGCTGGGACTACAGGCACATGTCACCATGCCTGGCTAATTTTTTTTTTTTTTTGAGATGGAGTTTCGCTCTTGTTGCCCAGGCTGGAGTACAATGGCACGATCTCTGCTCACCACAACTTCCACCTCCCGGGTTCAAGGGATTCTCCTGCCTCAGCCTCCTAAGTAGCTGGGATTGCAGGCATGCACCACCATGCCTGGCTAATTTTGTATTTTTAATAGAGACAGGGTTTCTCCATGTTGGTCAGGCTGGTCTTGAACTCCTGACCTCAGGTGATCCACCCGCCTCAGCCTCCCAAGGTGCTGGGATTACAGGCATGAGCCACCGCAACCAGCCCTTATTACCATTTTCATACTAATTCTTCATTACAGAATGAAGCTATTATTCTACTATAAGCATTTTTCATATGGTAAATATTTTGATCCTTGTGGTAGCCCTGTGATATACATACTATCAATAGTCACATTTTATGGATGAGGAAACTAAGGTACAGTCAGGTTAAGTAACTATTCCTAGAAATCAAGATACCATCATATACCAGGAAAAGGATGGAGCTGGAATTCAATCAACCATTCTGACTGCGGGGCCCATATATATGACTATACATATTGACTGTAATTTGGATGTTATGGATAATAACAATAAAATAAATATCACTCATGACTTCTCCATCTAGAGTTAACCAGTTAGCACTTTGCCATATCCTTGGATATCTTTTGCACACAATAGATACACAATTCAGGGAATAGTTGGAGTTTTTCTGCTTCTAGGTGTGTTTGCCTTCGGGAATGTGTTGTTTACTGTTCTAAATTTATGATGTTTTTCCCCACATTCTCTGTACCCCTGTAAATTCAGTCTAGTGTAAGAGTCACACAAGAGCTGTATGGAGTCAGGTGTGGGTGCTGGCTTGTGGTGCTTACAGTTTGAACTTTGGTTCTATATGATGTTACTTGAAGTATCCTGAAATGGCCGTAGGAAAGTCCTATTAATAAAAACAAAGCTGCCAGTCGTAGAAAACCCTGTGTATTTCCATCCATATGGAGTTTCCAAAGAGTACTGGGGCAGTTTTAGGCTTCTAATTAAAAGCCTGAAATTTTGTAGTTAATTTTCCATTTGGGTGAACTTTACTTATGCAAGTGGTCTTAGAATTAGTATTTAAAGGATTTTTTAAAAAATAATTATATCCTTGGGTTAAATCAAGTTATGGAATATATGTCAGTATTACATGGTTGGTTTGACTCTTAGACTTTGCCCACATGGGCATAGTGAAGTGGAAGAGAGATGCAGTTACTCAAATAAATAAGGAGATTGGACTCCATTTTAACAGCTTCTTGCAGGTCTATAGGTTTCTGAATCACACTCCTAAATGCAATAGGAAGGGGAAGATTTGGGGTATGAATTATTAGTCAGGTTTTAGATACAGCTATAAATTGTTGGTTCTGGTTTTTAATTCACTTTACTAAACTATGTAGAGGGAGCCCAAATCACAATGAATTATTTTTGCCACATAAACATACTTTATTTTCTCCCTGAGCACTTTTTACTTTGTTTTCTGGTAACAGCCTTTGACATAATTCTTAGAAATCTGCTACTCTTGGGAATTGTGGTGTCTCTGGGGTTTCAGTTGGCCCTATTGTTTGGTGAGGGAAACCATAGTGAACCTCAGAGAGGATTCAATAGTAATAAAAACAACAGAAACAAGATTCATATTTCCACAGCTGTTTTCTTATTTGGAGTCTCATAACAACCCTATGAAGCAGACATTGTGATCATGTTTTACAGAGGAGGAAACGAAGCCTCAAAGAGGTTAAGTATCCCCAAAGTCGTATAGCTAGAAGGTGGAGTAAAATTCCTGGCATAAGATAATCAGATTGCACAAGGAACCTCTAAATCTAACTTCTAATTCCCACTGGGTTGTGGCATACTCTCTAGATGGTTTTTATGAGTAGTTGTTAAATATAATTGTCTCTTAGAATTAAATAGAGAAAATCTGGAAAGGTGATTGCCTTCTCACCTTTGGAGAGTACTCAGTCATGTTATTGGGAGTGGGAGTATGTGTGTGTGGAAATGGGATGGAATCTTGGCATTTGTCTTTTTGTTTGTTTGTTTGTTTTTTTAAGACAGGGTCTCACTCTATTACCTGGGCTGAAGAGTGCAGCGGTGCAATCATGGCTCACTGTAGTCTTGACCTCCTGGACTCAAGCAACCTTCCCACCTTGGCCTCCCACCATGCCTGACCGGCATTTGTCTTATGTACATATCCTAGCCATGTCTTTTGCTTCTACTTGGATAAGCTTTTGGTGATTGAGAATTGATTTTGGGGACTGTGTGACGGTATCACAAAGACTATTGTTGGTAACCTTTGTCTCAGTCTGCTTTACTTTAAGGGACAGATTGGGAAACTTGTTTCTTCTTCCTTTTTAAAAGAGGAATGAAAAACACAATTGACTGGCATTTTCTCCTCATCAGCAGCCCTGTGTGACTTCAGTTTGACTTAGCTCCCTTTGTTCTTTACAGGGAACAGAGTAAAATCTCTTCTCAGGTGGCTGGTAAGAGCATATCAGGAGAGAAGTCCCTTATCCTTTTAAAGCAACAGCAAATATTTTTCTTCAGATGAAAGAGAGATTGTGTAATTGTTTTACTCCCTCTGACTTCTTCCCATCAGTAAAGCTTTCTCTTGTTTGAGCTGTTAGTGTGTTTAGGTCCCTGGAAATTGATAGAAATGTTGTTTGGTAATCCTGATCCTTTGATTTTTTTCTTGGTATTGATATTTGTAGCTACTCTTTCCCCTTTCTGAATCCTGTAGGAATCTGAGGTTGCATCACAGTTTTCTGAGTCATACAGTACTTGTGACCTGTATTTTATTGTTCCTCTTGAGTAACAGGAGGTCGGAAGGTCGGTTTTTTTTATTTTTTATTTTTAGGAATTGGACTGCTGCTGTTTCCACCACACCTTGTAAGATTATAAATGGTTTAAGTGTATTTCTTTGAAAGTGCCTTTATATTGCACTGTTAAGACAAAGGACTCTCAAGATGTTTCTTCTGAACTTTTTTATATTGGGTAAAAGAATTGCAGTAGAGGGTTAAGGTAAACTAATAGGAACTGTATTTTTGGCACTTTCCTGGTTAGTAATTAATCACTTATGTGGCAGTTTGACCGAAGGGCTACCCTGGGTTCAGGTCTAGATTTCTGATCCTAATCTATGAGTTGTCAGGGTTACTAAGGAGATGATTTCCTTCCAGTTAGTTCATCCTTAGCCTATTCAGGAAGTTGGCCTGAAAATGTTGATATTTTCAGTACATATTTATGCACTAATAAGTGATGAGAGCTGTATCATGAGGATACAGGCTAGAATTTGTTTCTTTGTCACTCCTTAGGTAACTCTGTGCTGTGTAGGACTAGGAACTTGGTGAGTTTTTTTGTTTTTGTTTTTGTGTTTTTTTTTTGAGATGGAGTCTCACTCTGTCACCCAGGCTGAAGTACAATGGCACGGTCTCAGCTCACTGAAAGTTCCACCTTCCAGGTCCAAGCGATTCTCCCAACTTAGCTTCCCAAGTAGCTGGGACTACAGGCATGAGCTACCACGCCTGGCTAATTTTTGTATTTTTAGTAGAGACAGGGTTTCACTATGTTGGCCAGGCTGGTCTCGAACTTCTGACCTTGTGATCTGCCCGCCTTGGCCTCCCAAAGTGCTGGGATTACAGGTGTGAGCCACTGCACCTGGCCAAACTTGGTGTTTTCTTGCTGTGAAATCTTTCTGACTTTTACATCTTAGTACTCCAGTGAGAGAACTCCTTCAACACAGGCTGTTAATGTTTTTTTCTGTCTGTATTTGGATACATCTGGTTGTGTACTCTTTAGATTGCAGCCTTTTGTGAAATGTAAAGAGCCAATTATTGTTTGGCTTTTTACAATAAATAGTTATTACTTTTTAAAAAAGTGAATGGTGGCCGGGCGTGGTGGCTCACGCTTGTAATCCCAGCACTTTGGGAGGCTGAGGCGGGTGGATCACCTGAGGTCAGGAGTTCGAGACCAGCCTGACCAATATGGTGAAACCCTATCTCTACTAAAAATACAAAAATTAGCCGGGTGTGGTGGCAGGCGCCTGTAGTCCCAGCTACTCGGGAGGCTGAAACAGAATTACCTGAACCCAGGAGGCAGAGGTTGCAGTGAGCCGAGATCGCCCCACTGCACTGCAGCCTGGGTGACGGAGCGAGACTCTGTCTCAAAAAAGAAAAAAAGTGAGTGATGAGGTTTGGGCTTCTGGTAATAATAATTTTTAAAATTAAAAAGTGAAAAAAAAATAGAAACTTGCCTATTAAAATTATTAAATCACCAATAATGCCACTACTGAGAGACAACCATGGTTAGTATTTATTGTATTTCTTTTGTATCCTTTTTCTCCTAATATTTTTTAAACAAAGTTGGGATTAATACTGCATATAGAATTTTGTGTTCTTTTTTCACTTAACATGTACTTACCGCATAATTTAATTTTTTTTTTTTTTTTTTGAGACAGAATCTCGCTCTGTTGCCCAGGCTGGAGTGCAATGGCACGGCTCACTGCAACCTCCGCCTCCCGGGTTCAAGTGATTCTCCCGCCTCAGCCCCCTGAGTAGCTGGGATTACAGGCGCGTACCATCACGCCTAGCTAACTTTTGTATTTTTAGTAGAGACGGGGTTTCACCATGTTGGCCAGGATGGTCTCGATCTCTTGAACTTGTTACCACCCACCTCAGCCTCCCAAAGTGCTGGGATTACAGGTGTGAGCTACCGTGCCTGGCCTTTTTTTTTTTTTTTTTTTTTTTTTTTTTTTTTTTTTGAGATGGAGTCTCACTCTGTCACTCAAGCTGGAGTGCAGTGGTGCCATCTTGGCTCACTACAGCCTCAGCCTCCTGGGTTCAAGCAATTCTCGTGCCTCAGCCTCCCAAGTAGCTGGGATTACAGGTGTGCACCACCACGCCCGGCTAATTTTTGTATTTTCAGTAGAGATGGGGTTTCGCCATGTTGGCCAGGCTAATACCGAATTCCTGACCTCAAGTGATCTGCCTGCCTCGGCCTTCCAAAGTGCTGGGATTATAGGCGTGAGCCACCATGCCTGGCCTCATTTAATATTTAATTTAATTTATTTTTTTGATTAATTAATTGGTTAATTTTTTTTTGGAGATGGAGTTTCACTCTGTCACCCAGGCCGGAGTGCAGTGGTGCGATCTTGGCTCACTACAACCTCCGCCTCCTGGGTTCAAGCGATTCTCCAGCCTCAGCCTCCCAAGTAGCTGGGATTACTGGTGCCTGCCACCACGCCTGGCTAATTTTTGTATTTTTAGTAGAGATGGGGTTTCACCATGTTGACCAGGCTGGTCTCGAACTCCTGACCTCAGGTGATCCGTCTGCCTTGGCCTCCCAAAGTGCTGAGATTACAGGCATGAGCCACTGCACCTGGCCTAATTTTTGTCTTTTTAGTAGAGTAAATTTTGTATTTTTAGTAGAGTAGGTTTTGCCATGTTGGCCAGGCTGGTCTCAAACTCCTGACCTCAGGTGATCCGCCCACCTTGGCCTCCCAAAGTTCTGGGATTACAGGCGTGAGCCATCGCGCCTGGTGTCGTTTAATATTTTAAAGAAAATTTTTGATAAAGATAACAGATTTACCTTTTTCAAAAACTAAAATTTCAGCACCTAGTGCAGTGGTTTGCACCAGCCTGGGCAACATAGCGAGACCCCATCTTTAAAATAATTTTAAAAGTTAGCTACTCTGGAGGCTGAGGCAGGAGGATTGCTTGAGCCCAGCACTTTGAGGCTGCAGTGAGCCATGATTGCACCATCGCACTCCAGCCTGGGTGATAGAGTGATACCCTGTTTCTTTAAAAAATAAAAATAAAGTCCCCACAAACTAACTAAAATTCCATTTCAAAAACACTGACAGGTATTAATCCATTTTTGTTTCCATTTATCTAGTCCCTCCAGTCCCCAGCGTGTTACCATTAGTTTTTCTTCTTATTCAAAGGTAGCTTTACTCGATATATTGTTTTGTACCTTGCTTTTTTTCTCTCGACAATATATTTTGGACATCTATTCTTTTTTTTTTTTTTTTTTTGAGGCGGAGTCTCACTCCGTCGCCCAGGCTGGAGTGCAGTGGCGCGATCTTGGCTCACTGCAAGCTCTGCCTCTCGGGTTCATGCCATTCTCCTGCCTCAGCCTCCTGAGTAGCTGGGACTACAGTCTCCTGCCACCACGTCTGGCTATTTTTTTTTTTTTTTTTTGTATTTTTAGTAGAGACGCGGTTTCACTGTGTTAGCCAGGATGGTCTCGATCTCCTGACCTCGCGATCCGCCCGTCTCGGCCTCCCAAAGTGCTGGGATTACAGGCGTGAGCCACTGCGCCTGGCCTGGACATCTGTTCTTATCAGTAGCCAGAGAATCTTCCTTGCCATAGATTAGTCATCCAGTACCCTTTAGATGGACACTTGGTTATCCTCAGTTTTTGCTATTGTAAGCAATAAGACAGAAGTAGTAACTACTCTGCACCAATTTTTAAGGGAAATTTATTATTTGTACAAGAAAGCCAGCTAATACATGTAGAAATAATGATAGAATTAGAAAATGAATATTTTCAGCATCTCCCCCCATTAAAAAAGTACAAGAGAGAATCATCAATGAATGCTAACCCATTAAGTAAAAAGTTGAGAAGTAATAGGATATTTACATGATGCCAAATAATTGCCACAGATTGCTAATTGTAAAGGGGGAGATATTCCTTTATAAAGAGAGGTCTGGCTCTTAACAACCTCAACCAAGTAATCATCTTTCTACAAATGATCACTAATGATGGTACAGTCTGAAAATATGTGCCACCTGATGTACTCCACCTTGAGGTATATAGGCACATCAACTGTGACGCACTGTCACCAAAAACATTTAAACTAATGAAGGTTTTAGACCTAACCTGCTGTTTACAGGAAATAAAGGTATAGAGAGGCAAGCTAAATGCTACTATGAGGAAACAATCAGTTGAGTCTAGGATGTAAGGCATTCTAACAAGTCAACTCTCCTGATCTTTTAGAAAAGCTAGTGTCGGCTGGGTGCAGTAGCTCACACCTGTAATCCCAGCACTTTGGGAGGCTGAGGCGGGTGGATCACCTGAGGTCAGGAGTTCAAGACCAGCCTGGCCAACATGGCAAAACCTGGTCTTTACTAAAAATACAAAAATTAGCTGGGTGTGGTGGCAGGTGCCTGTAATCCCAGCTACTCCGGAGGCTGAGGCAGGAGAATTGCATGAACCCAGGAGGCAGAGGTTGCAGTGAGCCGAGATTGCGCTGTTGCACTCCAACTGGGGCCACAGAGTGAGACTCTGTCCCCCACCCCCCCCAAAAAAGAAAGAAAAGCTAGTGTCACAAATAAATGAAAACATAAACAAAACAAAACATGGAGGCCATTCTAGGATAAAGGAGACTAAAGAGACATAAACGTCCAAAGTCGTTGCTTGAGTTTTGATTAGAGTCTGGATTTTTTTTAAGTCAACCATAAATGAAATTTTTTGGACAATGGGGAAAATTCGAATGATAATTGAAGTATTAGATGATAATTGGTATAGTATTGTTATTGTGGTTATGAGGCAGAACATCCTTCTTCCTAGGAGTTGCATAATGAATTAAATATGCAGGGTTAAAGTGTCTTGATACCTACTGAAATAATTCCAAAATTATACAAAAAAAACACCAACCTCAATGTAACCATATCTCTATCCATGGAGATAGATGAGGCAAATTTGGCAAAATATTGACAATTCTTGAGTCTAGGTGGAGAATAGTGTATGTTTATTGTACCATTCTTTCAACTTTCCTATATTTTTTAAAACATTCATAGTGGAGCTAAAGAAACAATGTCACAGTGGATAACACTGTATATATGTAGATATTCTTTTGAAATACCATTTTATCAGGCTTACATAGTCCATTGTATAGACCACAATTTGTTCTTTAATCATTACACTTGTGTGTATTGTGCTGCTAGTTGCCATTTTAGTAGAATTTTAATTTCTGATGAAGTTTTCTCCTTGTAAGTCTTGTGGTAGATGAGAAAAGGAGCCTGATTTTTTTTTTTCCTTCCCTTTCCTTCTCTGTCCTCTACCCTGGATCTTTAGTGGAGAAGAGAAAGAGAAAATGAGTGAGAAAGGTACTCCTAAATAATCTTTTTTTTTTTGAGATGGAGTCTTGCTCTGTCGCCCAGGCACTGGAGTGCAATGGCACTATCTCAGCTCTCTGCAACTTCTGCGTCCTGGGTTCAAGCAATTCTCCTGCTTCAGTCTGATGAGTAGCTGGGATTACAGGTGCCTGCCACCACACCCGGCTAATTTTTGTATTTTAGTAGAGACGGGGTTTCACCATGTTGGCCAGGCTGTCTCAAACTCCTGACCTCAAGCAATCCAATCTCCTTGGCTTCCCAAAGTTCGGGGATTACAGGCGTGAGCCACTGTGCTTGGCCTGATCCTTTCTTTAGCTACAAGGTTGAGCTATGGAGAATATGAGAGTATGAAATATTTTTGGAAGAAAAATTCTGGGAGGAAGGGTCTTTTCTGAGAAAGTGTCATTAAATAGGAAAAGTATAATTTCCCTTTTGAGCTAGAATTGTATTTGCAATTAGAAGCTTCTCGTTGCAGAAGTCGTTCTTTGACATTATTCTTTGTTCCTTAAGATTTCCATGAGGACAACTTACAAGGACCTGTATGGCCTCATTTTAGCTGCTTCAGTGTGTTGGAGCTGTTACTTGCTCCTTCATTTCCTGGGCCTGGTGTGACAGTGGCTACTGAGCGCCATGAAGGTTGTCCCAGAAAAGAATGCTGTCCGGATACTCTGGGGGCGAGAACGGGGTGCTCGGGCCATGGGAGCTCAGCGGCTTCTGCAGGAGCTGGTAGAAGATAAAACCCGGTGGATGAAATGGGAGGGCAAGGTAAGGAAAATGGCTATATTTCACATAGGATTTGTGCTGGTGATGGTAGAATGAGACCTTAGAATGGGTTAACAGCAGAGAGTTGGGATATATTTATCTTGTGTGGGAGAGTTGACATATCTGACTTAGGGAGTTGTTTGTAAATTTGAAAGAACTAATGTGCTAGAAATATCTTTTTCCTTTAGAGCTAGACAGTTTTCCTGAAGGTAATTTAGGTTTATCTCTCTCAATTTGTAGCTTGATCATTGTCTCCAGTTTTTAAGCCTACACTGTGAATGCTAATCTAGAATGGTTAATGTGCTTTTGAGATACGGTGAACCATGGTCTACAAATCATGTATTTTAACTTTTTTTTTTTTTTTGTCTCCCAGAGAGTAGAACTGCCGGATAGTCCACGCTCTACCTTCTTATTGGCCTTCAGCCCAGACAGGTACTCAGTATTTATCTATAACTTAAGATTTGTGATAACAGTGCTTTCTGTATATTTGGCCTGGCTTGATCTTCCAAGTCAGTCCCTAAAGTCTCTCTGAAGTACTGTATGAACAGCACTTTGGCCCCGTGTCGGAAAGGGAAAGAAAGTAGATGAGCAGTGCTAACCTGAAAAATCATGAGAACAAGCAAAGGAAACTGAGAGGATCAAAACTTGGAAAGTTTCTCAATAACAATCATTTGCCTGTGTGATACAGCTCACCAGTGGTATGATGGTTTTTCCAGTGGGAAAAAATATTTTCCGAATGTGGCATGTGTCATTTGGGGACAGTGTGGACAAGCCAAAAGCTTTTAAAGATCAGAATATTTCTGTTTGTAGATATACTGCCTAACATACAAAGCTTAGTTTCTTTCATGTTGGGATTGGCAGGTAGCATCAATATTCTATGTCGTCCAAAGTTGATAAGATTGGTTACCCTTCCACATGCTTCTGAATTCAGTTCTACTCTTTGATTTTCTAGGACTCTCTTAGCCTCCACCCATGTGAACCATAATATCTATATTACGGAGGTGAAGACTGGCAAGTGTGTTCATTCCCTGATTGGACACCGCCGTACTCCATGGTGTGTCACTTTTCATCCCACCATCTCAGGCCTTATTGCTTCTGGCTGCCTAGATGGGGAGGTTAGGATTTGGGATTTACACGTGAGTATTTCCTTAAGATACCCTTTTCTTTTGGTGTTCTAATTTTTTTTTTTTGAGACGGAGTCTCGCTCTGTTGCCCAGTGGTGTGATCTTGGCTCGCTGCAACCTCCGTCTCCCAGGTTCAAGTGATACTTCTGCTTCAGCCTCCCAAGTAGCTGGGATTACAGGCATGTGCCATCATGCCTGGCTCATTTTTGTGTTTTTAGTAGAGACGGGGATTCACTATGTTGGCCAGGCTGATCTTGAACTCCTGACCTCAAGTGGTCTGCCTGCCTCGGCCTCCCAAAGTGCTGGGATTACAGGCATGAGCCACCATGCCCGGCTTCTTTTGGTATTCTAAATGCAGAGACTTGTTTACCATTGGTTTTTTAATTCTGGAAGAGCCTAGCCAGATTCTTAGGACTACATCTGAATATATTGTTGTAGACATTGCCCACTTAATTAATAGGAAGTCTAATTCCCTGTCTTCCATTCCTTTTTTTTTTTTTTGCAATAGCTTAAGCATGCCCTGAGATTGTCTTCCATTCTTGCTAAGATGAACATCTACTTTTGCTTCCTTCAGCCCGTTGTGACATAGTACAGGAGGCTCTAAGATATGTTCAGGTTGGATTTCTGTTGTCTTAGGGCATCTTTGCCTAAGTACAGATATTCCTGTACTCCGATCATGATCATCAAAGCAAGATCCTCTTTGTCCTAGTAACTGGCTAGCGGGTTGTCTTGCACCATGTTGTGCACCGAGCTTGAGTTTTTCTCAGGCTTTGCATGGAACTGTGGGCTGGGCGCGGTGGCTCACGCCTGTATTCCTAGCACTTCAGGAGACCAAGACAGGAGGATTGCTTGAGTTCAGGAGTTTGAGACCAGCCTGGGCAGGATATTATACCAAAAATATTATACACAAAATTATATAAAATTAGCTGAGCATGGTGCCATGCGCCTGTGGTCCCAGCTACTTGGGAGGCTGAGGTGCGAGGATTGCTTGAGCCTAGGAGGCAGAGGTTGCAGTGTGCTGAGATTGTGCCACTGCACTCCAGCCTGGGTGACAGAATGAAACCCCCTGTCAAAAAAAAAAAAAAAAAAAAGAAATAGGAACTGTGTATATATGCTTAATGCTTGTAGATTGTGACTAATTTGAAGAACTGAACTGATTGTATAGTATTTATCTGATAAATTAGTGGCACTACCAGATCGCTGATCTTCTACATCTTTTTACAGAGGATGTATTTAAAGTAGTCCCTAGACATAGTCATTTTACCTTAAATGGACCTTTCTTGAAATTGACTTCCCAGTGTGCTGGTAGCTTGTAACCTGAGAATATCTGGAATTGGTTCATTCACAGGGTGGCAGTGAAAGCTGGTTCACAGATAGCAACAATGCCATTGCCTCCCTGGCTTTCCACCCTACGGCTCAGCTCCTGCTGATTGCCACTGCCAATGAGATCCACTTCTGGGACTGGAGTCGACGGGAACCCTTTGCTGTGGTGAAGACAGCTAGTGAGATGGAACGGGTCCGGTGAGTGCGCTGCCCCATCTGCATTGTCTGGCACAGGACTGACGTGATAGAGAACATTCTACTGGCTGTCACCTTGGAAGTCAGGTTGTTATCCCTGCTCAGGGCAAGTTGTCATCCTCATAGCTCCTCCTATTTTTTTTTTGAGACAGGGTGTCACTCTGTCACCCAGGGTGGAGTGCAGTGGCGCAGTCTTGTCTCACTGCGACCTCTGCCTCCTAGGTTCAAGCGATTCTCGTGCCTCAGCCTCCAGAGTAGCTGGGATTGCAGGCACCCACCACCATGCCCGGCTCATTTTTTTGTATTTTTAATAAAGATAGGGTTTCACCATGTTGTCCAGGATGGTCTTGAACTCCTGGCCTTAAGTGATCCGCCCACCTCAGCCTCCCAAAGTGCTGTGATTACAGGCATGAGCCACCATGCCCACCACCACCCCCCCCCCCCCGGCTTTTTTTTTTTTTTTAAGGAGACAGGGTCTTGCTCTGTTACCCAGGCTGGAGTACAGTTGTGCAGTCATGACCTCATGGGCCCAAGTTACTGCAGCCTTGACCTCATGGGCCCAAGCAATCCTCCCACCTCAGTCTTATGAGTATCTGGGACTACAGGTGTGTGCAGCCTCTCTCAGCTAATTTTTAAATTTTTTCGTAGAGATTTGGGGGGCGGGGCCTCACTGTGTTACCCAGGCTAGTCTCGAACTACTGGCCTTCAGTGATCCTCCTGCTTTAGCCTCCCAAAGTATTGGGATTATAGGTATGAGCCACTGCACCTGGCCGCCTCCTGCTTTCTAAGCAGCTGACTAATCAGCTGGGAGACATTCATTTTGTTCATTTCAGCTTTCCCTTATTGGCCTCATCTTCTGGTTTTTGGAGATCAGGGTCATTAGACTCTCTTTTAGTTTCAAAGCTAACTGTTTTGGATAGTACTTCTTTGGGAAAACCTGAAAGAAGTTTGGGTGGTATTTTAGATACCTTGGTGGGTTGTCTGTGTTTATCAAACTGGAAGATGGAGATGTAAGCACATAATTGACATTTATTTAGTCCTCAAGATCAAAACATATTGTCTGTATTAAAGTTGATGCATTGTGTTTCTTTGGTCCTCTTGGATTTCCAGTCGAATACAGGCCAATTTTCTGGTTTCAGCTATGTCACTTAATGCTGGGACTGTTCATTGCCACCAAGATTCATGCTTCTTGCCGGTGTAGCTGCCATATGAGGGAAGAACTGATTCTGTGGCAGAGTATGAGAGCATTTTATGCTTTACGGTTAGGATGAACTCTTGTATTTGAGCAAAGGTGTGCTTAAGGTAGCTGTTTCCTGGGATGGCAACTCTAGGTGTTTTTCATGTGAAATCGTTATTTTTGTGATACATATTCCTTTACTCTGGCAAGAAGTATTGAGTGTTACTATTTTAATCTCTTTGAAAGTTTTGGAAGTCTTGAATGAAGTGGATACCTGAGTGATACCAGTTATCAGTAATGATTGCTATAAATTCAAACACAAGTTTCCTCTTCTCAGTTAACATAATCTCTCTATGTGTGTCTTTGTCTCTTTCTTCTGTGATTTTAGTCTGGTGAGATTTGATCCACTTGGACACTACTTACTCACAGCAATTGTTAACCCCTCTAATCAACAGGTAAGTTAGTCCAGCAGTTCCAATTCCAGCTAAACTGTGAGTTCTTTTCTTAACTAGTATTCCAATTCTGATTATATTGGATTTTAATTCTCAATACCCAAGTCTTATCTTTCCAGTCAAGATTTAAAGCTAGCTTCAGACTGTATATTCAGGGTTATAGCCATAATCTTGACAGGAGAGTCGATTCTGAAACCCTCCAGTGATTGCCTCATTAGAAGTAACCCTTATCATCACTAGACAGTGTTGGATAGCTTGTCACTCATGTGCCTCTGGCTGGTTGACATTTTGCTTCCCCTCACTGCTTCCATGTCATGGGGAGATGTCTTTTGTAAGACAATTGGTTTGTCAGCTGCACTCATTCAGATATGCTGCTAATTGGGAGTGGAAAATTTAATACCATGTGATTATTTTGAATCTGAGGCCAGTTGTCAGTGCTTCAGGGGTAGAGAGTTGTTTCCTACCTATGAACATTGTTTTCCTTGGATGATTGTCAGTGGTTAGTTTTTCTTGATTTACTTGGAGGTTCTACCTAACTGCCTTGCTCTACCCCCTGCCCCATGCTGGTCCACGTTGCAGGGTGATGACGAACCAGAGATCCCCATAGATGGAACAGAATTATCCCACTACCGTCAGCGTGCCCTCCTGCAATCACAGCCAGTTCGCCGGACGCCTCTCCTCCACAATTTCCTGCACATGCTGTCCTCCCGCTCTTCTGGCATCCAGGTGGGAGAGCAAAGCACAGTGCAAGATTCTGCTACCCCCTCACCCCCACCGCCTCCCCCTCAGCCCTCCACGGAGCGCCCCAGGACTTCCGCTTACATCAGGCTCCGACAGCGGGTCAGTTACCCCACAGCTGAGTGCTGCCAGCACCTTGGGATCCTGTGCCTTTGCAGCCGCTGCTCTGGCACTCGAGTTCCTTCCCTCTTGCCACACCAGGACAGTGTCCCCCCTGCTTCTGCCAGAGCTACTACCCCTTCCTTTTCTTTTGTACAGACCGAGCCCTTCCATCCCCCGGAGCAGGCCTCGTCAACGCAGCAGGACCAGGGCCTCCTGAACCGGCCGTCTGCCTTCAGTACAGTCCAGAGCAGCACTGCCGGCAACACGCTCCGCAACCTCAGTCTGGGTCCTACCCGCCGCTCTTTGGGAGGGCCTCTGTCTAGCCACCCTTCTAGGTATCACCGAGAAATAGCTCCTGGGTTGACAGGATCTGAGTGGACCCGGACAGTACTCAGTCTGAACTCCCGCTCTGAGGCGGAATCCATGCCCCCGCCCAGAACCAGTGCCTCTTCGGTGAGTTTGCTGTCTGTGCTGAGACAGCAGGAAGGTGGCTCTCAGGCATCTGTGTACACTTCAGCCACAGAAGGGAGGGGTTTTCCGGCATCAGGGTTGGCAACTGAGTCAGATGGAGGGAATGGCTCCAGCCAAAACAACTCGGGCAGCATTCGCCATGAGCTTCAGTGTGACCTGAGACGCTTCTTTCTGGAGTATGACCGGCTTCAGGAGCTGGATCAGAGCCTGAGTGGGGAAGCTCCCCAGACCCAACAGGCCCAGGAAATGCTCAACAATAACATTGAATCTGAGAGGCCAGGCCCTTCCCACCAGCCCACCCCACACAGCAGTGAGAACAACTCCAACCTGTCCCGTGGCCACCTGAATCGCTGTCGTGCTTGCCACAATCTCCTGACCTTCAACAACGATACCCTGCGCTGGGAAAGAACCACACCTAACTACTCCTCTGGCGAGGCTAGTTCCTCTTGGCAGGTCCCCAGCTCCTTTGAGAGTGTGCCATCAAGTGGCAGCCAGTTGCCACCTCTCGAGCGGACTGAGGGCCAAACGCCCAGCTCCAGCAGGCTGGAGTTGAGCAGCTCTGCTAGTCCGCAGGAGGAGAGGACTGTGGGGGTGGCCTTTAACCAGGAGACAGGCCACTGGGAAAGAATTTACACCCAGTCCAGCAGATCTGGAACTGTGTCACAGGAGGCCTTACATCAGGATATGCCTGAGGAGAGCTCTGAGGAGGATTCACTCAGGAGGTAAGCAGTCGCTTTCCTATCTTCTGCATCCCTTGCTTTTCTCCTTGTATCATTTCCTTGAGTCCTATAGATGTTGTGGCTGTATCTGGAGTGTCTGGGACCCACGCATCTGCTTCTGATCTCGCCATTGCATTTTCTTGGAAAATCTTGCTCTGGTGGCAGAGATAGGATAGGGCCTAGCAGTATGAGTCAGTTGGCTGCGCTAGCTCTATTTCGGCTAAGCTCAAGGTTCTGGCTTTAGCCTTGAAAGGAGAGTGTAGATTAGGTTAGAGAGGCATGAGGAGATGGAACCATTGACTTTCTCTGCCTGCTTTTTGACCTTGTCGAGACATTGTATGTGCAGGACTACTTATTGTAGTAGTCCCAGAGTGCCTAGGAATAAGTAAAAGAGAACCCTGCATGGTAGAGATTAGTATATTGGCTCTTCGCTGATTGTATTGCTTTGGACAACTGAGTTCACTTCCTAATCCTTATCTTTTGGAACACTGCAGTTTGACAAAGGGAAAAGAAAAAAAAATACATATATGTATATATATGTATGTCAAGAAAAATTCCAATTTTTTCAGAGATACTTGTTTTTGGGCAGCCTATTGCTCAGTTGAGATTCTCTGAATGGACCTTCCAGGTGGACTTTCACCTTGGGGTGGAGAAGAAGAATAATTCATGGAAGGAAAGACTCTCCATACTCAGATTGGCATCCTAGCCAACTCTTTCATGGGAGAAACAGAGTAGGTGTAGTTGATCGCCCACCATATGTTCCATGTATGGCTATGTGCGCATCTATCTTGATTTATTAGGGACTTCTTTCTGTAATTTTGTAAAGGTCAAAGCTAGCATAATCACCAACTCCAAGAATATGCCTGTTGGATCCAAACAGCATATTGCGCTGCATTACATCCTCTGTCGAAGCAACTGAAATTTCTCTGACATAAGCTTCTAACAAGGGTGGGAATATGAATTATGCACATAATGTACTTGTTATTTTGGGAGGATGCTTTAGACAGTCACTCAGTCAATAAGTATTAGTTGAATGGTTACAAATTTTCTAACACTGTGCTAGGCACTGTGGGAAATACAAAAGAAGTATAATACATGGTCTTTACCCACCTGAGTCTACAGTGTTATTGTGGAGGCAAGACAACGAAATTTTTCAAAAGTATAGATGAGCAAATGCTTCATTGTATGGTACCGAGATTGGATGTAGTCTCAGAGAGAGGGAAGTATCATCCAAGAAGGCTTTGCAAAATCAAGTCTTGAAAGATGGATAGGATTTGGAGAGAGCAAGACCTTTTTATTTTAGGGAAACAGCACATGTTAAGGGAGGAAAGGGTATGGTATGTGTAGGTTCTTAGGCAGTTACTAAGGGCCCTGGGTAGGAAGCAGAGGGAGACTTGACTAGATGTGAAAGATGAATAAAATAGAGAGGTTGCTAACTCTGCCCATATGCTTGAAACCAGTTCTGGATTAACAGCTCCTCAATTCCTGGTTTTGGAATATTGTGCCTGGCATACTGGTCTTCATCAGGAGCCCGAGCCTCTGTTCTTCCTCTTTGCCAAGAGTGGTGAGAAGGCAGTCAACACAGGGCATGACATGTAGTAGGCACTTTAAAAGTTTATTAAAGATCTCTGTAAAAGGACTGTCTTCAGTTACTGCTCTAAGAAACCAAGCAGTTGCTGTTTCCGTAATACCAGTGTGCTCTGGTTAGCTTTTGTCCATTCTGCTTTAGTAGTACCTCTTCATGTGCTATTCTGAGAAATTCCTGAGTGGTTTAAATAAACTCTATTGTTTGATGATAATTAGAGATACCAGTTACTGCCGGGCACGGTGGCTCACGCCTGTCATCCAAGAACTTTGGGAGGCTGAGTCGGGCAGACCACTTAAGGTCAGGAGTTCGAGACCAGCCTGGCCAACATGGTAAATCCCCATCTCTACTAAAAATACAAAAATTAGCCGGGCTTGGTGGCGCAGGCCTGTAGTCCCATCTGCTTGGGAAGCTGAGGCAGGAGAATCGCTTGAACCCAGGAGATGGAGGTTGCGGTGAGCCAAGATCACGCCACTGCACTCCAGCCTGGGTGATGGAGCAAGACTCCATCTCAAGAAAAAAGGAAAAAAAGAGATACCAGTTACTGAGGGCCTACTATGTGTTAGGTATTGTGTTCTTGCTTTGAAATAATTCCTTCTGCCTTCAACAACGACTCTATGCAAGTCAGGTATTCAATTTTCCATTTTATAAAGTTGAGGAAAGTGAGGCTCAGGGAAGTCAGTTTCTTGTGAAAGATCATATAATAGGTCTCTGAGTGAGAATTTGAACTCTGGTCTTCATGACTAAAGATTTGTGCAAGCTGCCCTTCATGGCATTTTCCTTAATATAACATTTTTATTTTTTTGAGATGGAGTTTCGCTCTTGTTGCCCAGGCTAGAGTGCAATAGTGTGATCTCGGCTCACCACAACCTCCATCTCCTGGGTTCAAGTGATTCTCCTACCTCAGCCTCCCGGGTAGCTGGTATTATAGGCATGCGCCACCACGCCTGGCTAATTTTGTATTTTTAGTAGAGACGGATTTTCTCCATGTTGATCAGGCTGCTCTCAAACTCCCGACCTCAGGTGATCTGCCCACCTTGGCCTCCCAAAGTGCTGGGATTCCAGGTGTGAGCCACTGCGCCTGGCCGATAACTTCATTTTTAAGTGAACCACTTTTTTTCTTTTAATATTTTATTATGGAAATCTTCAAACATATATAAAAACGAAGAGAAAAGTATAACTGAGCTTCCATACACCTATAACCTGACTTCAAAGGTTATCAATGCTTGGCTGGCTTTCTTTAATCTATATTCCGTCTGCTCCCGGCACCTAGATATCAGATAATTTTGTCTGTAACCACTAGATTTTCTAGAGCAATGCTGTCCAATAAAACTTCTTACACTGATGGAAATGTTCTCTATCTGTGCTATGTAAGATGGTAGCCACTGGCCACACATGGCTATTGAGCATTTGAAATGCTGCTACTGTGATCTGAGAAAATAAATGTAATCTTTAAATTTTTAAGTAATTTAAATAATCACATGTGACTAATGGCTATGATATTATACATCTAAAATATTATTAATCACTTAATAAAGTAGGTTATTTAAAACCCAGAAACTACTGGGTAGGTGCAGTGGCTCACGCCTGTAATCCCAGCACTTTGAGAGGCCGAAGCAGGCAGATTGCCTGAGGTCAGGAGTTCGAGACCAGCCTGGCTAACATGGTAAAACCGCGTCTCTATTAAAAATACAAAAAAAATTAGCCAGGCATGGTGGTGCATGCCTGTAGTCCTAGCTACGTGGGAGGCTGAGGCAGGAGAATCACTTGGACCCGGGGAGGCGGAGGTTGCAGTGAGCCGAGATTGCACCACTGCACTCAAGCCTGGGCGACAGAGCAAGACTCCGTCTAAAAAAAAACCCAGAAACTATTAAGGATGTACCATAATTTTTTGTTTAAGTATTTTTTTCTTTTCTGGTGCCAAAAAATATATGCATTGTGGTTTAAAGTTCAACCATTTAAAAATGTGTATTATAAAAATGAAGTCCCTGGTCATCTCACTGTAAACAATTTTATATTTATGCTCATTTTCTTTTAAAATATACAAATAACTCAGGGTTCTCATTGTAAGATAGTATATTAATACAGTAGTTACATTATTTATATGGAATCACTTTTAAATGAGCTAGGATGTCGTATACCATAAGGGCTGACAGCTGTCTCAAAAATGAGGTATGTTGTAAAATAAGTGCGTACACATTAAAGAAGGACCACCATTTGAATGGCTGCATTCTGATGTAAATCACTAAGACAAACAGGTGCTGGTCTGCCTCTTCCTCTGCCTTCTAAAGGGGCTGAAAGTCTCTAGGTGATGAGCCAACCCTTGCTTCTAGTTCTCCAGCAGGTGTCACTGTTGGGCTGCTGCTGCTAGGTTAGGATGACTGGGAAGAAAAGGTGTCCCTGCTGTTTGTGTACGAGGTTGGTTCTTTTAACAAAGCCTGTTTTTGTAGATGACTGTTGTTCCTGAGTGAGTGGAGTTCATAAAAGGTGATTGTACTTGAAAGGAGAAAGTTTTGTTCATTGGCCTTATAGTAGAAGATAGGCAAAGGAGAGATGTCTGGATCCTTGGTGCTGCTGGGATATTTAATAGTGTTTGCAAATAGTGAGGGTATTGATAAGCATACAGTGTGTATTTCAGTGTAGCTGTGTGCTGCCAAGTGGTAATAACCAGTACACGGTTTGTCTCCTTTTGCCTGTGGGCAGTGGAGGGCAAACTGTCTTTTTATAATAGTCTGACGCTACATTGCAACTTGAGTGGTGGGCCTTTGCTTCACTACAAAGAAATGATTTCTCTGTGTGGGAGTGCAGGATCCAGCAGAAGATCAGGGTATTGTGGCTCCTTGCGGTAGGGTGCCCTTGGCCTTTAAAAACTGGTACTAGGAAAAAGAAAATGGTTTCAATGGCAAGTTAAAACTGGAGGGAACCTAGAACTTTTGTAGTCTAGTCTCTCTCTGATGACAAAACAGAGAGAGTAAATGATTTCTTAAAGAGGTGTTTGTAAGCAAAAGTGGGGTTTGAACTCCTGGGCCCTGAAGAGGGCACCCTTTCCTCCGTTTCATTTGAAATAAGTGCCTTCAAACAGCAGTTTTCTTTGTCAAAACCTCTGTTGCTCATGTAGGTCATTGCCTGAGGGAACTTTTCAGTTAACTCTTATTGTAAGAAATTGGAGGTCTGTTAGATAATTTGTAATTATTATTTTTGGGTAGAATGGTAACTAACACAATGCTTCTAGGAGAAATGCTGTTTTAGTTATTTGCCCATAGAACTACATTGATTAATCCCAATAAAGTGATCCCTGTTAGGGATGTTCACTATTAAAATTCCAGCAACTGAGAGAGATAAAAATTGGTCTCAATCTCCTCCTAGAAGCACTAATTGTTTCTGTATTCTGTCTCTAGGTAGTTAAAGACTTGGGTCTGGAGTATTTAGTAAGACTGAGCGTCTTCTGAGAATTTAGGTCTTTTTCTCTCATGATAGATGAAGACTGGGGAAGTACATTGACGGCCTTAGTGTGAAATGTGGCCATCAAGGTTAGAGTTAGAAGCCCTCATTGGATTGCTAAGTTTCTTAGACTTTTATGGGGGAATTGCTTTGGAGCTTAGAACAGTCTGAAGCCCTTTGAGGCTTCGTGGGCCACCACACTTATTTGATCCCTCAGCTCCAGTCACTTGGGGATTCTCCAGGGAGGCCTCGGCCCAAACATTGATGGAGGAAAATAAATGGGTGTCTGCGGGGCTGATTGTAGGTCCACAAAAGGGGGCCGGCAACCTAAAAATGAGGAAAGTAGCAGTCTTCTTAGCCTGACTACTATAGAAAGGGGTCCAAATTTAGTAGTTTTTCTGTGCCATTGATCTAGCTGAGTCTAAAGAGTTTCGATATCTAATCTCTCCCAGTTTCTTTGGATGGGGAATATACACAATTTATTATTCAAAACCCAGCACAGCTGTCACCGTGTCCCTTGGGAAACCTTCCCTGACTGTCCCAAGTAATCACTTCCTTTTCTTTGTTGCATGTGTACTAGATACTTCTTTGTGATATTGCACCCATGACAGAAAATTATTTGTTTACCTTTCCGTCAGTGAGCTCCCTGAAGGCAGTGATCATGTCTGTATATATCCCTTGTCTACCTAGAATACTACCTGGCCACACAGTAGATGCTCAGTAAATGTTAGTTGAATTGAATAAGTAGAATTGAAATTATGTTCCTTATGGTTTCATATGCAATATAAGTCCTGTTTGGCCTTTTTAGTAAAAAAGATTAAAAAACCTATTACTATATCCCATCATTTGGTCTTACAGAGAGTCATTGGCTCAATAATCACTTGTTAAATAAATGAAACGGTATTACTTAGAGTTGTACAAGGAAGTCACACCTTCCAAAACTTGAGCTCCGGTGACCTCTGATGTTTCACTGTGTGCTATGTTCCTAACTTGTGAATGGGTTGTCCTGAAGCCTGTAATAAGTCTGTTGCACCTGGCCAATATGTGTCCTTCATATTGGCTTTACACTGATGACTCAGGGTCTGCGCCTTCCTCGAGAGCACTGGCATCATATGCAGCCTTCCCTTTTTTTATCTTTTTGGTACCCCATTCCTATTGAATACAGCTTGCTCTTGACACCATTTTGTTGGTCTTTGGCTTGGCATCTCAGTAATATTATTAGGTCTTTGGCTTGGCACCTCAGTAATATTATTATCTCTGCCAGTCAGTGCTGTTGGTATTTTTTTTCTCCTTAAAGATTCTTCTGCAATCTCTATGAAGGTATACTTGGTCTTGATTTAGTTCAAAAATTACATGTGGATAATCCAATTTAAATGCGAAGGTTCTTTCCTACTGATGCTTTTTCTTTAAGTTTCTGTGGAAGGCATTCATTAAATTTGCTTAGAAGTAGGATTTTTAGGGTTTGAGAAAATGTGTGCTCTCATCTTTTGTTTTGGAGTCTGAGCATCATGAGAGTGAACCTTGTTAAGTTTTGAGATGCTTGTAGGTCCCTTTTTTCTTGTGGAGGTCAGAATCCTTATGTTAGTTAGCAGAAAGTTTTGCTTTACCTCTAATTATGCGGAGTGTGAATAGTTCCCCCTGAAAAAAACTGGTGGAATTGTTGTCTTTGGTATTCAAGATACTATACAGTAAACGCTTTCTAACTTCTGAGTTCTTCTTAGTTAGAAGTTCGGCATTTAAGGACAAATAGGAAAGAATCCTCAACTGTGAGAATTTCATTTGTGATACAGGCAAATTATGACGTGTTCTTTCTAGGAAGAGAGAGGAACAAGTATTGGGAAATAAAAAGGAGACAAAGCCTGTGGTGGAATTAACAAACTTATTTTAAGAGATGTAAGGGAAGGGAAGCTGGGGAAGGTAAACTCAGGCTTTAGAATAGGGTACTGAGGGCTGGGTGTGGTGGCTCATGCCTGTAATCCCAGCACTCTGAGAAGCCAAGTTGGGCAGATGGTTTGAGCTCAGGAATTTGCGACCAGCCTGGGCAACATGGTGAAACCCTATCTCTACAAAAAGCTCAAAAATTAGCTGGGCATCGTGGCATGTGCCTGTAGTCCCAGCTACTCGTGGGGCTGAGGTGGGAGGATCGCTTGAGCTCAGAAGGTTGAGGCTGCAGTGAGCCATGATTGCGCCTCTGCACTGCAGCCTGGGCAACAGAGTGGAGACCCTGTCTCTCAGAAAAAGGAAGAGGGAACTGAGGAGTATGCACAAGGACTGCTTCCTGGATGAGTTTGGTTCTTCCTAATAACGCTGAGAGTTGGGCTTGTAAACTGTGATTGATCCATGCATCCATCCATTCACTCATTCCATTAACAGATATTTACCAAGCACCTGCTGGATTTCAGGTGCTATTTATTTTACTTTATTTTGAGATGGAGTTTCGCTCTTCTTGCCCAGGCTGGAGTGCAATGGTGCGATCTGGGCTCACTGTAACCTCCGCCTCCCGGGTTCAAGTGATTCTTTTGCCTCAGCCTCTCAACTAGCTGGGATTACAGGCGCCTGCCACCACGCCTGGCTAACTTTTCTGTATTTTTAGTAAAGACGGGGTTTCACCATGTTGGCCGGACTGGTCTTGAACTCCTGACCTCTGGTGCTCCGCCCGCCTCGGCCTCCCAAAGTTCTGGGATTATAGGCCTGAGCCACCGCACCTGGCTGGCACCAGGTGCTATTTAAATGCCAGCAATAATTCTCTCATTCTAATGGGAGAAAGACAATAAAAAAATAAGATATCTAGTATGCCAGACAGTGATAAGTTCTATGGCAAAAAAGAGAAATGTATAAAAAATGTAGGGGATGCTGCAATTTGAAATAGGATCATCAAAAAAGGTTTGATAAGGTTACACTGGAGCAGAGGAGACCTTAAAGAAGTGCGAAAACAAACCCCGTCGACACTAGGGGAAGGACATTTTAGACAGAGGAAAGGGCGAATGCAAAATCTCTGAGATGCTTGGCACCGTCAGCCAGTGCAGCTGGAGCACAGCAAGGGATGGAGTGATAGAAGATGAAGTTGGAGAGGTGACAAGGATGAGATTATGCAGGGTCTTCTAAGCCATTTAAAAGATTTTTGCCTTTTCCTTTGAGTGACTTGGGAAACCATCAGAAGTGGAGTAGCATGATCTTATATTTTAAAAAGATAACTGTGGCTGCTGGTTGAGAATAGACCTAGGAGCTAAGTAGCGTAAATTAAAGCTAGGCCAACTCTGCACACTTTTAGATTGATTTGTGTCTTGAGACTGTGTTGAGAACCAAAAAGGAGGAGTGACTTGTTCTGTCAAGATAAGAGAGGCCTTAAATGTTTGGGTGAAGAGCTGATGAACGGTTGAACAAATGAATGAATCAATCATCTCAGCAGGCATATTACCTGCAACAAAGCCCCTCCACTCTTCCCCAACCTCCAAACAAGAAGGCGTGTTATCGAACTGTGAGGAAGGGAGAGCTTGAAAAATTAATAGTAAACAAGAGATCATAAATGGAAATGAAATTCCTGTTTTTTGCTAATTACAAAACTATTGTCAATTCATTTGTAAAAAATCAAACATTACAGAAATGTACAATTGTAGAAAGTGGATATCCTCTTAAAGCCACTGCTCAGAGATCTGCTATTAACAATTTGTGTGTGTGTTAACTCCAGAATTTTTTCTATGCTAATCAAAACACATTTTTCCATTTATTTTAATTCTTTTCCTTTTTTTTTTTTCTTTTGAGACAGAGTCTCGCTTTGTAGCCCAGGCTGGAGTGCAGTGGTGCAATCTTGGCTCACTGCATCCTCCACCTCTGGGGCTCAAGCGATTCTCGTGCCTCAGCCTCCCGAGTAGCTGGGATTACAAGTGTGTGCCACCAGGCCTGGCTAATTTTTGTATTTTTAGTAGAGACAGGGTTTCACCATGTTGGCCATGTTTTGTTTTCTTTTTCACAGTGTTGCAGGATCTTTGTGTACTTAAGTGTTTTTAGAAGATGAAGTTCTAGAAGTGGAATTGCTAGTGCCCAAGAGTATGAGCGTTGTTAGTGGTAAATGAAAATTAATTGTATGCTACTCATTATTACTAATGTAAGATATATAAAGTATTTCTTATTTCCTGTTTTATTTAACTGAACATTATTTCATAGATTTCATAGATTAGAACTCTTAAGGCCGGGCACTGTGGCTCACGCCTGTAATCCCAGCACTTTGGAAGGCCAAGGTGGGCGGATCACAAGGTCAGGAGTTTGAGACCAGCCTGGCCAACATGGTGAAACCCCATCTCTGCTAAAAATACAAAAATTAGCTGGGCATGGTGGTGGGTGCCTGTAGTCCCAGCTATTTGGGAGGCTGAGGCAAGAGAATCGCTTGAAGCCGGGAGGCAGAGGTTGCAGTGAGCTGAGATCGCACCACTGCACTCCAGCCTCGGCAAAAGAGAGAAACAACATCTCAAAAGAACTCTTCAACCTTTCTTCCCCCATAAGCTCTTAAGCTTATCAGTAGTAAATTCTCCTACTACGGGTTTTCAGGAGCTTCCTCCTCAAGTTTTTGAGAAAAACTTTTGTTTTATTCTAATAATTGCCACCTTGAGGTGTTAGTGTACATTTGTTCTCTGACACCCTTGTATGAGAAAAACATAGCCCTGTTCTATCTCTGACAATCACATACATACTGGCCTTCATCCACTTAGTCTTCTGTGTCTTATTAAGTGATTGGAAAAATCCAGGCATCTCTTGCCTCTTCATAAGAAAGTAATTTTATATTAATTAATTAATTAATTTATTTCTGAGACATAGTCTTGCTCTGTCACCCAGGCTAGAGTGCAGTGGCCCGATCTCAGCTCACTGCAACTTCCGCCTCCCAGGTTCAAGTGATTCTCCTGCCTCAGCCTCCTGAGTAGCTGGGATTACAGGCGCCCACCACCATGCCTGGCTAATTTTTTGTATTTTCAGTAGAGACAGGGTTTCACCATGTTGGCCAGGCCGGTCTTGAACTCCTAACCTCAAGTGATCCGCTGCCCTTGGCCTCCCAAAGTATTGGGATTACAGGCGTGAGCCACCTCTCCCAGCTGGCAGTAACATTTAGATATCGAATGTATTCGTCATTGGGGGTGGTTAGGCAACCCATTTTCTCTTTGGCAATATGGGAATGAGGATAGAGTGAAGGAGGGATATCATTCTGTTAATCTTTTTTTTTTAAGATGGAGTCTCGCTCTGTCACCCAGGCTGGAGTGCAGTGGCAGATCTCTGCTCACTCCAACCTCCAACTCCCGAATTCAAGTGATTCTCTTGCCTCAGCCTCCCAAGTAGCTGGGATTACAGGTGCCCACCACCAGGCCTGGCTAATTTTTGTATTTTTAGTAGAGACAGGGTTTCGCCATATTGGCTGGGCTGGTCTTGAACTCCTGACCTCAGATGATCCGCCCACCTTGGCCTCCCAAAGTGCTGGGATTACAGGCGTGAGCCACCGCGCCCAGCCTCATTCTGTTAATCTTTCTTACCTTTGCTGCTCACCTGCCCAAGAAGGTCACTCTGTTTGAGCCTCTGAATTCTGTGTGTGTTCCCTGCCCTACCCTCTATATCAGGCATTGGCAAGCTTTTTGTAAAGGTCAAGATAGTAAATTATTTTAGGATTTGGAGGCTGTACAGTCTCTGTTGCAATTACTCAACTTTGCTGTTGTAGTATGAAAGCAATCACAAACAATATCTAAATGAGTGAGTGTGGGCCTGGTGTGGTGGCTCATGCCTGTAATCCCAGCACTTTGGGAGGCCGAGGCAGGTGGATCACTTGAGGTCAGGAGTTGGAGACCAGCCTGGCCAACATGTCAAAACCACATCTCCACTAAAAATACAAAAATTAGCTGACATGGTGGCAGGCACCTGTTTTCCCAACTACTTGGGAGGCTGAGGCAGGAGAGTTCCTTGAATCTGGGAGGTGGAAGTTGCAGTGAGCTGAAATCATGCCACTGCACTCCAGCCTGGGCTACAGAGCGAGAATTCGTCTCAAATAAATGAATGAATCAATGAATGAGAGTGTGGCTGTGTTCCAAAAAAACTATTTATGGAGATAAATTTGATTTTCATATAATTTTCACGAGTCATAAAAATGCTTTTGATGTTTTTCAATCATTTAAAAATATGAAAACCATTCATAGCTGGTTTTGGCCCGCAGGTTATAGTTTGCCAGCTCCTGCTTTATAGGAATGTGATTTGGAAGAGTCAGGTGCTAGAGTAATAGAAGGCATTATGACAATGAGGGCCCCAAAGAGGTTGTTAGGGGACTCCTGCACTTGCTCTCTCTCTAGTTTGGACTAGATGCTCTAAGTAAGTATTGGCTCTTGTGGGATTCTTTGATGGTTAAGAGCAGGCATAAATGCATAAAGAATTTGTTTCTTGTACTATCTGGCCTGAAGCAAGGTTCTCCAGCCTCACTTTCTTTCTTGGGAATCGTGTGCAAATGAGGAGGCTTGCCCTGGTTGGGAGGGCATGAGCCTCCAGATCCTCCAGGCAGTATGCTTGGCAGGCAGCCCTTCTCCCAGTGCAGGTCATGCTAGCACCTACTAGGCTGATCTAAATTATCCCTCATCATTCCTCTCTCTGGGGCTGAATGGTGTAGAGCGTGCTGTGTGCTTTGTATACATCCTGAAACATGAAAAGATGTAATCGCTTCTGTCAGCTCTGGGTCTTGGAGCACTTGGGGACTACAGTGACGTCTGTATGTGTGCTGCAAATACGTTGGGAGTAATTTCCCGTGTACTCATTCTTCCCCCTTCAGATCCCCTTCTCTACTGTATCTATTCAGAGTAGTGCTCTAAAGGGTGCTTTGGAGGCTTTTCCAAGACAGTAACACCAGGTGTATGGGGTTCTGTTTGCATAACATATTTTGCTTATTGTAATTGGTCCCAGCCCATTAGAACTGTGCAGGTAGCATCCTCTCCTCCTGGATTTCTTACACATTTATTGAGTGGTTGGGGGGTGGGCCCAGGATTCAGTACATCTTATTTCTGCTCTTTCTTGGAAGCATTCCTGACAACATGTTTGTGTGAGCAAATTTTGCTTTCATGGGTGGGCCTATTGTTACATTAACCAAGATATTGCAAAATAGTCCTCAAGTATGTTTGTTTGCCTCACAGTGTTTCTAAAAATTTGGATGTTTTTTTTCCATATCAATTCGGGTATCTGGATTCTGTTGAAAAAACAGGCTCACATTCCCACCTAACAGTCAGCAGGAATTGAGTAGGACAGCAGCCCCTTTCGTCAAGGCATGGACTTTCTTGATGCCTTAGTCTATGCTAGGCTGATGTCATGTTTCCTACTTAAATCCAATTTTGTGTACTTGGCCATTGCATTAGCTCAAGCAAAAAGTGTTGATGGTTAGGTGTGGGTAAATATTTCCTAAGTGCCCTACCACTTGGCTCCACCAGGGGGAGTCACTGGTCATTGCAGTACCCGCACCACCACCCCACCCATCCTGCCTAATTCACCCACAGGGGCTCCCCCTGCTTGCTGTAGGCTGACATGCTGACAGCCCCCTCACCTGAGAAGCTGCCTGATTTTTAAATAGCAACAATTAACAAACTCCTCCTCTGTTTCCAAAGGGGGAAAATGGAGGTTCCAAGCTTATTTGCTGGATGAGGCTCACTAGTGAGCAGATCTCCATTACGCCAGATTATGCAGTATGAGAGCAACCTTCTTTTGGACTATGTAAATGGACTATGTAAAATCTTGGAGAAGAATGCCTGCACCTTTTGCAGAGCACCTTGGACAGAGTGGTGGGTTCCAATGAAAAGCCTGCATGACTTGGGTGTCACTTGCCAGGAAATTAAAATCAAGTTAGAGCAGGAGTAGAAAATTGTAATAATAAAGGAATCAGAGGCTGAAAGTATGACCTTGTCATAGAAAGAGAATTGCAGCTTGTTAACATTGTGCCCTTTTCCTTTGCTGCATCAGAGGGTACGTGTGACTCTTTTTGCCTCTTCTGCTTTTTTCCTCCCCTACACAGAGGTAGCCCAGCTTCTACTGCCTTTGTCTCCTTGCTGTCCCCTTGGGTCATTTCACCTCAGCAAGGTGGCGTTTATCTTTTCTTTGTTCTGTTGGCACATGTAACCCTTTTTATCTTCGTGTACGTGTGTCTGTGATAGAAAACATAACATAGATTTACCCTCTTAATAATTTTAAAAGTGTACAGTACACATTATTGTTCAATAGATCTCTAGAACCTCTTCATCTTGCGTGACTGAAACTCTGTATCCTTTGAATGACTCCTTTTCACCCTCCCACAAGCCCCTGGCAGCCACCACTCTACTTTCTGTTTCTGTGAGTTTGATAACTTTAGGTACCTCTTATTAATGGAATCTTGCAGTATTTGTCTTTTTGTGGTTGGGTTATTTCACTTAGCATAATGTCCTTAAGGATCATCTATTAATATGTCACAGTGGCTGGGCGCGGTGGCTCACGCCTGTAATCCCAGCACTTTGGGAGTCCAAGGCAGGCAGAGCACTTGAGGTCAGGTGTTCGAGACCAGCCTGGCCAACATGGTGAAACTCCATTTGTACTAAAAATACAAAACTTAGCCGAGTGCGGTGGTGGGCACCTGTAACCCAGCTACTCAGGAGGCTGAGGCAGGAGAATCGCTTGAACCTGGAGGTGGAGGTTGCAGCGAGCCGGGATCGTGCCACTGCACTCCAACCTGGGTGACAAAGCGACACTCCATCTCCAAAAAATAAATAAATAAATAAAAGAAAAAGTTGTATGTATGTATCATAATTTCCTTCTTTTCAAAGGCTGAATAATATTCCATTCTATGTATATACCACATTTTCTTTATCCATTCATCTACTGATGGACATTTAGGCTGGTTCCACATTTTGGCTATTTTGAAAAATGCTGCAATGAACATGGGTGTGCAAATATCTCTTCAAGATCCTGTTTTCATTTCTTTTAGATACATAACCAGAAGTGGAATTGCTGGACATATGGTAGTTCTATTTTTAATTGTTTGAGGAACCTCCATACTGTTTTCCATAGCAGCTGAACCATTTTACAATCCTACCAACAGTGCATGAGGGTTCCAACTTCATATCCTTGTCAGCACTTGTTATTTCCTGTTTTTTTTTTCTTTTTATAGTGGTCATCCTAACAGGTGTGAGGCGATAAATAAATGTGGTTTTGCTTTGCATTTCCCTAATGATTAGTCATGTTCAGCATCTTCTTATATGCTTGTTGACCATTTGTATATCATTATTAGAGAAATGTGCATGCAAGTCTTTGGCCCATTGTTTAGTATGGTTATTTGTGGGGTTTTTTGGTTATTGAGTTGTAGGAGTTCCCCATATATTATGGACATTAAACATTTATCTGATATATGGTTAGCAAATATTTTCTCCCATTCCATAGGTTGCCTTTTTTTTTTTTTTTTTTTTTTTTTTTGAGACAGTCTCACTTTGTCACCTAGGCTGGAATACAGTGGCATGATCTCGGCTCACTGTAACCTCCACCTCCTGGGTTCAAGCAATTCTCCTGCTTCAGCTTCCCAAGTAGTTGGGATTACAGGTGCATGCCACCATGCCTGGCTAATTTTTGTATTTTTAGTAGAGATGGGGTCTTGCTGTGTTACCTAGGCTGGTCTCGAACTCCTGGCTTCCAGTGATCCTCCCGCCTTGACTTCCCAAAATGCAGGGATTACAGGAGTGAGCAACTGCTGCTGGCCTCCTACTTCTTTGATAAGGGAGGTAGCACAAATAGCCTTAATTTCTCAAATTCTAGGACCATTTTCTACATTGAAAGGGAGCCACCCAGGGCTGAAATGTGTTTCAGAAAGATGGAGAGCCTTGAGATAGGAGAGAGTGCAAGTCTTTCTAAATGAACATTGACCCTTCTGACTAATACAGGGGCCTTATGCTTTACAAACAGTGAGCAAGTTTACACTTGCTTTATTATGATCTGTTTTCAAATGCCTTTTTTGTTTTTAGTAGCCAAGGTTCCTTTGAGAAGAGATGTGATTTTGGCTGTAAACTAACCTCATGGACTTAGTTCTAATGTTGCTGTTGTGCCTAGCTTGAAAGTTTTACAAAGATAAGGAACTACTTTGTTCACATATTGGTGTATAAGAAACCATACTCCAAAACTTAGTGACTTAAAACCGATTCAGTTATTTTTCATGGTTTTTTTTTGTGTGTGTGGGGTGTAGACTGGGCTCAGTTGGAAAGTTCTTCTGCTGATCTTCCTTGGGTTTTCTCTAGAGTCATCTGGAGGCCCAGTTAGAATAAACTGGGTCTCTCTCCCTTGTCATGTAGACTCAGGGGCTCTTCTCTCCACATGGCCTCTTGAGAGAGTAGCCAGGCTTTTTTTTTTTTTTTTAATTTTAATTTTTTTTTTATATTTCTTGTTATATAGATGACAGGGATAGCAGACTTCTTACATAGCAGCTTAAGGTTTCCAAAAGTGACAGTTCTAAAAGGAAGGAAACAGAAGCCTGCCAGTTCTCTTAAAACGGTAGGCCCAGAATTGGCACAGCTTGCTGCATTCTCTTGATTAAAGCTAGTGATAGAGCAGTCTAGATTCAGTGTGGGAGGGGACCACACAAGGGTGAGAATACCAAGAGGATATTTCTTTGGAGCCATCTTTGGAGATTGACTACTCTAAGGGCCATATCTATTTTATTTTATTTTATTTATTATTATTGTTTTTTATTTATTTTTGAGCCGATGTTTCGCTCTTGTTGCCCAGACTGGAGTGCAAACAATGCGATCTCAGGTCACCACAACCTCTGCCTCCCAGGTTCAAGTGATTCTCCTGCCTCAGCCTCTGGAGTAGCTGGGATTACAGGCATATTCCACCCTGCCTGGCTAATTTTGTATTTTTAGTAGAGATGGGGTTTCTCCATGTTGGTCAGGCTGGTCTTGAACTCCCGACCTCAGGTGATCTGTCCGCCTTGACCTCCCAAAGTGCTGAAATTACAGGTGTGAGCCACCGCACCTAGCCTATTTCTTTTTTGAGACAGAGTCTCGCTCTGTCACCCAGGCTGGAGTGCAATGGCGTGATCTCTGCTCACTGCAACCTCCATCTTCTGGGTTCAAGCAGTTCTCCTGCCTCAGCCTCACAAGTAGCTGGGATTATAGGCACCTGCCACCATGCTGGCTAATTTTTTTTTTTTTGAGACGGAGTCTTGCTCTGTTGCCCAGGCTGGAGTGCAGTGGCACGATCTCGGGTCACTGCAACTTCCGCCTCCCGGATTCAAATGATTCTTCTGCCTCAGCCACCAGAGTAGCTGGGACTACAGGCACGTGCTACCACTCCCAGCTAATTTTTGTATTTTTAATAGGGACAGGGTTTCACCGTGTTGGTCAGGCTGGTCTCGAACTCCTGACCTCAAGTGATCTTGATCTACCTGCCTTGGCCTTCCGAAGTACTGGGATTACAGGCATGAGCCACCGCGCCCAGACTTGACACATCTAAGTTTTTGTATTTTTAGTAGAGACAGGGTTTTGCCACTTTGGCCATGGCTAAGCTGGTCTTGAACTCCTGACCTCAGGTGATCCACCCGCCTTGACCTCCCAAAGTGTGGTGTGAGCCACCGCGCCTGGCCTATTTATTTATTTATTTTTGAAACAGGGTTTCAATCGGTTGCCCAGGCTGGAATGCAGTGGTATGATCTCAGCTCACTGCAGCCTCAACGTCCATGGCCCAAGGAATCCTCTTGCCTCAGCCTCCCAAGTAGCTGAGACTATAGGCATGTGCCACCATGCCCAGATAATTTTTAAATTTCTTGTAGAGATGAGGTCTCCCTATGGTTGCCCGAGCTGGTCTCGAACTCCTGGGCTCAAGGTATCCTCTTGCCTCAGCCTCCCAAAGTGCTGGGATTACAGGCATGAGACATCATGCCCAGCCCACATCTGTATTTTATATAGTACTGATATATATAACTAACAGAAGGCACTCAGTATTTGTTTGAATCACCGGTTGGATGGACCAACACATAGATTGGTAGATGGATACCTGACTGTTCTTGTTGGTTTACGTGGATGGGGTGCATGTGATTCTCACGGCTCAGGTACCCCTGTTTATACCTTTATAGTATTCACCCTTCTTCAACATGTCTTTCTTTCTGACAAAGTACCTTTTTAGGCATAGTGACTTGAGTGGACAGAGGGCATCATATTCCCTGCAGATATTTTGGGAGCTGTAATCTAAGGAAGAAAAAAATAGTAATGGCTGTTTATTAGACTGTACTGGCTACTGTGCTTGACACAGGTTCTTAATCATAATAACCATGTGAAATAAGAGATTTCCCCTCAAATGTGGAAGCAGAGGATAATGAACTTGCCCAAGGTCTCACAGCCAGTGGGTGACACAAGATGGAATTTAAACTGCAGTCTGTCTGATTCTAAGGCTCAAACACTAAATTGCCTCATATTTTAGTTACTCAGAGTTTTCTTGGTTAGTCTCAGACCATTAAGATATATCAAAAGGTTTTATAACAGCAGCACTATTGACATTTGGGGCTGGATAATTCCTCACCATGGGAGGCTGTCCTGTGCATTGTAGGATGTTTGGCACCATTCCTGGCCTTCACCTGTCACATACTGGTGGTGCTCTGGCACCCAGAAGCAAAAACCAAAAATGTCAGCAGACATTGCCACATTTCTGGGGGGCATTCCACTCCCCTTGAAAAGCACTGGTAAATTATTTCATGATTTGTTGTCCTTTGATCTTGCTGGTTTTTAAAAATATGACATTAGGCCGGGTGCGGTGGCTCACACCTGTAATCCCAGCACTTTGGGAGGCCGAGGTGGGCGGATCACCCGAGGTCAGGAGTTCGAGACCAGCCTGGCCAGCATAGTGAAACCCTGTCTCTACTAAAAATACAAAATTAGCTGGGCATGGTGGTGCATCCCTGTAATCCCAGCTACGTGGGACGCTGAGGCAGGAGAATTGCTTGAACCCAGGAGGTGAAGGTTGCGGTGAGCCTAGATCATGCCATTGCACTCCAGCCTGGGCAACAAGAGCGAAACTCTATCTCAAAATAAATAAATAAATGAATAAAACTATGACATCTCACAAGGAACTGTCAGTGGGTTCAAACCATCTTCTTATGATAGTTAATAGTACTGCCTGGTTCTGGTGGTCTTGTGTCACGCCTTTCTCTCATTGCTTCTCTCCTCTTCTGTCTTATCTTTTGTCTTTTGTCTCTGATTTTTCTAAATAAAGCGCATCTGGGTAAAGCGGTGTTTGTGGGACTTTTTACACAGGTATCGATTTAGCAGGCATTCAGAACTCTGAGATTATAGCCATTAGTGCTAATAAAAAGAAGGCAATTTACATCTTCTGATTATAGTACAGGGGGAAAATGCATAATTTTTAGCAAGCAGGGAATTGAATGGCTTCCAGACTCTACAGAGTTAATCCTCCTCAGGGTAGTATTGATTGACATGCTGGAGGACGTTAATGTGCGAATCTTTTTGGGAACGGGGGAGGAGAGTGGAAATTGCAGTTTCTCTACTAATTGTACTTTAGGTGTCGTTTATGACAATTTCATGTTGTCTAGACAGAGGGAAATGGTGGAGAAATTATTTCAGTAGAGTCAAATGTTGAGTCCAAAAGGAATCAGGGTGGTTGCTGAAGTCAAGATCAGGGTGAAAGGGCAAGTAGTACATCCCCAGAGGCGAATCAGTGAAATCAAATGTCACTAAGAGAAGCAGTTCAGAATGAACCTTGGATATAAGAAAAGTGATTGTACTCTGAGCTTTGTGTTAGCTCAAGGGCTAACAGTGGATTGTTTGGGGTCCCAGCTGTAGTCTCTGCCCTCATATTTCTGCAGATTCTAGAAACCTCATTCCATGGACAGATATGAGCTGGGAAATTGGCCTCCTTGCCTCTGGTTAATAAACACCCCAGCACACTGTGCTTTGCTTTTCCCTCATTCTCTTGAGGCTTCACGTACTAACTCGCTTTGCCTTTCTGATATTCGTCCTAAGATTTTACTTCCTATTATATAGTGTTTGCAGTATACCAGGGTGAAGGACCTGTCACTTCTTAATGAATGGCCTTGGTCAAGGGTTTTTAAAGTTTCAGGTCAGAAATGTGGATGTGAAAAAATGTTTTTTAAGACCTTCACAGGCTTACTAGTATCACAGCAATAAATGATTCTACCAGGATATTCTTCGTAGACTTAGTTGGCCTGGAGGTAGACTTTTAAGGATATATCTGTGCTTCTGAATAAAATTAGCTAAGAATTCAACATTATGGAATTCAATAAATTCCAGGGGGAAATCAGTGAATTAGGATACACTGCCTCTTAAATTCTAAACCCTATATATCCCACCTGTTGCATGTAGGGGGCATGTGTGCATGTGGCATCAAAACTAGCTGTGGACCTTTTTTTTTCCCATAGATTTGGTCTTACTCATCCTCTGGTGAAAAGCCTCTGATGGTAAATTCTGGGTTAAAAAAAAAGTCTGTGGTCTGTGAGCAGACCTCCCAAGTCTCCCAGGGAAATGGATTTGGATACTAAGTAAAGATGTCCATGTAGATTGGCTTGGGCCTTTGAGTTTACTTGCTAACTAAAGTGAGTTTTTATTATACATTCAAGTCTTACAACTATAGTGTAATGTGTTGAGGGTATATAGGAGCTAAGCATAGTGCCAACCAGTCATCTTACAAATGTATTAAAAATAACTACCCATGTATTAAAAATAACTACCCACCAGACAGTTAGCAGAGGGTCATATGTTCCCAGGGGGAACTGGCTGACTTCTCAGACGAGACTTTTGTAATGCTAGATACATGATTGCACACTATGTATACATTCTGTTTCTAGCCTCTTCCCTTTTGCTGTCTGCGATTATGTTGTGCTCTCATGTTTTGCCATCTATCGCTCACTGCCCAGAGGCACTGAGGAATACATTAATGTTTTGTAAAGATGTTTTTAAGCGTTTCTGGTGAAAAGCATTATTTTGCACTCTGTGAATTGTTTATATTTGATAATAGTAAAATAAGGCTGATCTACACTGTAGGCACTGTGGTGTCTTTTTGTAGTATGTCTATTTTTTTCCTGAGGTTACTAGCATTTTAGCAGTGGTACCTTGCCTTGGCCCACCTCACATCAGGGGCAGGAATTGCCTGCCAGTCTCTGCTGGCAACTGCATCACATGCTTTAAGTGCACCCCTCAAACTAGGGGGCCCTGCAGCGATCAGATGAATGCCTATCGTTGGATAACTTAAACGATAATTGCTAGTGTGTGAAATGGGGAGGCTTGGATGCCTCTGCATTAGAGCAGAGATGTCAATTTGGAAATCATAATAGAGGTGTCGTTTCAGAACACACAATTATTTTTTACAAAGAATAAGGGCTTGTCATCTCCCAGCCCAGGCATGCGCCAAGGCAGAGATCGGGGAGTTGCAGAGTAAGATTCAGAAATGAAGAAAGCCACAGTGCGTTCAAGTTTATTTGGCCTCCTGCCCCTTCATCCCCTGGCAAACATTGCCCTCTTTCCCCTGTGGGGGTCTCTTTTGGCAATTTACAGTCCAGGAGCATCAGTGGTAGTTTCCCAGGCAAGTAGCCAGCCTCTGGCTTTTTGATTTAATGAGCCTCCCAGGGACCAGACTGCACTGCATTTATCAGGACAACTATGTCAGCACTTTAACCTGAGCAGCATAAGTGACCAGAGGGGATGAAGGTGATGTAAGCAGTTTCTGAAAACCTTGTTCCTTCAGGAGTTTTAGTGTGAGGTTTTGGGCATCTAGCAACCTTGTCTGAGAGTCTTGTCGCCAGTGAGGGGCAACCAGATAGGTCTTCTTGCTTATTCTTCCAAGTCTGGTTAGGCTGCTGATTCATCACTTAAATATTTGTTGGTTTCCTATTACATGTTAATTAGGATGTGAGTTTTGATGGGGATAAAAAGATGACTTGGATCCAGTACCTGTTTTCATGTAGCAAAGACAAGACATAAGTTACTGGGTGACTTGAGAAGGCCTCTTAAGAGAGGTACAAAATGCTATAGGGGCCGGGCGCGGTGGCTCACGCCTGTAATCCCAACACTTTGGGAGGCCGAGGCGGGCGGATCACGAGGTCAGGAAATCGAGACCATCCTGGCTAACACAGTGAAACCCCGTCTCTACTAAAAAAAAAAAAAAATACAAAAAATTAGCCGGGCTTGGTGGTGGGCGCCTGTAGTCCCAGCTACTCGGGAGGCTGAGGCAGGAGAATGGCGTGAACCCGGGAGGCAGAGCTTGCAGTGAGCCGATACCACGCCACTGCACTCCAGCCTTGGTGACAGAGCGAGACTCCGTCTCAAAAAAAAAAAAAAAGAAAAGAAAAACAAAATGCTGTGGGGCACTGGGGAAGAGAGGGTGAACTTCTGGCTGGAGGAGTCAGGTATTTGAGCTTTGAAGGCTTTTTACAGACAGTAATAAGGAAGAGGAACTTTCCAGAAAGAAGAAATTGCCAAGATAAATAACGTAGGTGGGATAGTGAGGGTGTGTTTAGTTTAGCTAGAACAATGGATCCCCAAAGTCAAAACTATTTTTATAATAATGCTGAGACATCCTTTGTGTTTTTCACTCTCATTCTTTCACAAGTATACAGTGTTTGCTAGAGGCTCCATGACATGTAATGAGGCTATCATCCTGATGGCTAATTGAATGTGTGCTTGTGTATTAAAATTTTTTCAGTTTTAATTTCAATAAATTGAAATTAAATATTGATAGTGGAAACCCATACAAATGAAATCTCTTTAGGAGCCTCGTAATTTTTTTTTTTTTTTTTTCGAGGCGGAGTTTCACTCTTGTTGCCCAGGCTGGAGTGCAATGGCGCCATCTTGGGTCACTGCAACCTCTGCCTCCTGGGTTCAAGCGATTCTCCTGCCTCAGCCACCTGAGTAGCTGGGATTACAGGCATGCGCCACCATGCCTGGCTAATTTTTTATTTTTAGTAGAGACGGGGTTTCTCCATGTTGGTCAGGCAGGTCTTGAACTCCCAACCTCAGGTGATCCGCCCACCTTGGCCTCCCAAAGTGCTGGGATTACAGGCGTGAGCCACCGGGATCCTCATAATTTTTAAGAGTGTTAAAGGAGTCCTGGGAGCAAAAAGTTTGTAAACCACTGGACTAGAGCATATAGTATATCCAAAAGGAATGAGAAATTTGGCTGCAAAGCTTGAATACCAAATGCCCTGCTGAGGAATCTGGATTTTATTTCCTAGGCAGAAGGAAGCTGTTAATTTGGGTTTGGTGCTCCCGGATGGAAATAGCGGTTGCCATCCAGACATCAAAGCTAGGCTGTAAAGTTATTCATTAGGCATGGGGCACCAGTGGCACCTTACCTTCTGGGAGCCAGCATTCCCTAACAGTAGAGGCCAGAGAGTTCTAGCAATTGATTGTTTCCAGTGGTTGGAGAAAGTCCAAACATGTTTGTTTGCTTTAGGATATTGATTTTTCTCTGTGATCTGACAACCAGTTAAAAGAGTATCTTCAGGTTATAATTTTTTAGTAAGGAGGAGTTGTCCACGGTTTGTTTATTCCATATGGACTAGTACCCAGACTTTCTGCACCTCAACTCTGATATCTATTGAATTTGAAGTGAAGGGGCCGGGCATGGTGGCGCATGCCTGTAATCCCAGCATGTTGGGAGGCCAAAGTGGGTGGATTATATGAGGCCAGGAGATCAAGACCAGCCTGGACAACATGGTGAAATCCCGTCTCTACTAAAAATACAAAAATTAGCCAGGCTTGGTGGTGCATGCCTGTAGCCCCAGCTACTCGGGAGGCTGAGGCAAGAGAATTGCTTAAGCACAGGAAGCAGAAGTTGCAGTTAGCCAAGATCGCGCCACTGTACTCCAGCCTGGGTGACAGAAACTCTGTCTCAAAAAATGAAATAAAATAAAATAATGAAGTGAAGGTTCTTTTCTTTCAGTTGATCTGCTCCGACCACTTTTTTTCTTTTCCAGAGCTTTCTTTGACTATTTTAAAAATTGTATTCCTAGTGATCAAGAATACAGCTGATACAGGGAACTTCTTTGCACATAACTCAGAATATTAATCAGGGAAAGAAAAAATAGTTGTATTCTTTTAAAAATGTTCAGGATTTCACAGTTTGAATTATATGCCTATTATGATTTTAGCAGAGCTTAATATTCATTTTTGATGTTTTTTTTCCAGTGCACAATACTTTAATTTCAAGTTCTTTTTTGTTCTGTCCCTTAGTAATTTAAAGAATTCTATGTAAGCAAATGTTTTAGAGCAGAAATGGGCGAACATCTTCTGTAAAGGGCTAGGCAGTAGGTATTTTAGGCTTTGTCTCTATCAGGATTCCTCAGTTCTGCCTTGCCAGCTCCAAAGTAGCCACTTATTTACAAAAGAAGACAGCTGACCTGGGGCCTGTAGTTTACCAAACCTGCTGTAGAGCATTAGGGCAAGTTGCTATTCTAAGAAATCTTTTTACAAAGTGAGTAATTCTTTTTTTTTTTTTTTTTTTTTTTTTGAGACGGAGTCTTGCTCTGTCACCTAGGCTGGAGTACAGCGGCGCTATCTTGGCTCACTGCAAGCTCCGCCTCCCAGGTTCATGCCATTCTCCTGCCTCAGCTTCCCAAGTAGCTGGGACTACGGGAGCCCACCACCACGCCCGGCTAATTTTTGCATTTTTAGTAGAGATGGAGTTTCACCATGTTAGCCAGGCTGGTCTCGAACTCCTGACCTCAGGTGATCTGCCCACCTCGGCCTCCCAAAGTGCTGGGATTACAGGCGTGAGCCACCGCGCCTGGCCGTGAGTAATTCTTCTGAAAACAAATGGCTATCTCTTTCTTTTCAGTATTTTACTTTAAGATTTTTGTGTGTTGTATGTTTTTGTTTTTCATTTTGAAATAATTTCAAACTTGCAGAAAACGTATAGAGGATTCCCATATACCCTTTACCCACATTCCCTAAATGTTAACATTTTGCCACATTGGCTTTATTATCTTCTTTTGTTCTCTCTCTCTCTATATATATACGAATATGGGTATACTTTTATATGCTTATAGTTTTTTATATTTAAGCTTATCCTATTCTTTAAGTATTTGGCATTTTTTTTTTTTTTTTTTTGAGACAGAGTCTGTCCCTGTTGCCCAGGCTGGAGTGCAGTGGCGCGATCTTGGCTCACTGCAACCTCTGCCTCCCGGGTTCAAGCGATTCTCCTGCCTCAGCCTCCCAAGTAGCTGGGACAGGCGTGTGCCACCAGGCCCGGCTAATTTTTTGTATTTTTAGTAGAGACATGGTTTCACCATGTTAGCCAGGATGGTCTCGATCTCCTGACCTCGTGATCCACCTGCCTCAGCCTCCCAAAGTGCTGGGATTACAGGCGTGAGCCACTGCACCCGGCCTGTTTAGTATTGTTAAAGTAATATATAGTTTGATAGAGCAGTGGCCTTCAGACTTAAAAAAAAAAAAAAAAAAAAAAAAAAACCTTATTAATAAAATGCTTTCTAGCCGGGCGCGGTGGCTTACGCCTGTAATCCTAGCACTTTGGGAGGCCGAGGCGGGTGGATCACCTGAGGTCAGAAGATTGAGACCAGCTCCAGCCAACATGGTGCAACCCTGTTTTTACTAAAAATACAAAAATCAGCTGGGTGTGGTGGTGGACGCCTGTAATCCCAGCTACTTGGGAGGCTGAGGCAAGAGAATCACTTGAACCCGGGAGGCGGAGGTTGCAGTGAGCCGAGATTGCACCATTGCACTCCAGCCTGGGCAAAAGAGGGAAACTCCATCTCAAAAAAAAAAAAAAAAAAAGCTTTTGAGTAATCCATGTGTGTTATGATTATATATTATATAGCAGAAGTTGTAATATTTCCCCCTTGCTGTCCAATGGATCAAATAGCACAACCCCTCGTATACCTCACTTGGACACCAGTGGTGTATAAAATGAACCAGGCAAGTAGAGAAAACAAGGAAGTATTTTGTTTGGTTGTATTGTGTTTTTGTATTTTTTTTTTCTTCAGCTTCAGTGATAGCAGCTTCGAACCTGAACAAGCTTGTCTGAGCCCTTCCTAGGCCCTCCCTGATTTCTTGTGATAGATTAAGTCAAGTCAAGTTTGTGGTGGTCACAGCAGAATGTGCAGAACTGCCATCGCATTCAATTTTCTCCTACCATTTCCCGTTGACAGCTGTCTGTAACAGGCTAACACTGGGAAAGAAAGATCTTTTGGCCGGGCGCAGTGGGTCACGCCTGTAATCCCAGCACTTTGGGAGGCCGAGGTGGGCGGATCATGAGGTCAGGAGATCAAGACCATCCTGGCTAACACGGTGAAACCCTGTCTCTACTAAAAATACAAAAAGAAATTAGCCAGGCATGGTGGCAGGTGCCTGTAGTCCCAGCTACTTGGGAGGCTGAGGCAGGAGAATGGCTCGAACCCAGGAGGCGGAGCTTGCAGTGAGCCGAGATCGTGCCACTGCACTCCAGCCTGGGCAACAGAGCGAGACACCGTCTCAAAAAAAAAAAAAAAAAAAAAAAAAGAAAGATCTTTCTTTGAGGTTCCTAGCAATGGTGGTAAACATTCCTAGGATGTTTACTCATCTAGTAACTCTAGTTCTTTATTCCACACCAATTGGAGAAGCCTATTTTTACTCCAGATAGTACTCGTATTGTAACTATGAAGAACTGATGTTTCATCAGTGTATATGTGTATTCATGGTGATTGGCTTTCCTGCTTTTGTGCATTAGCAGTAAAGTGACATATATATGTGGCTTGCCAGTTCCACTATATTGTCTGGGCAGCAAATGTTGCCAACACATTCCGTAGTAAGTAGGCACAGGGGATGCGTGTTCCAAAAGAACCTCATCAGAGACTCTCCAGCAACAAAGCTTCATATTTTGGGTCTATTCCAACTTAAAGAAGTCTTCCTAATTAAGGTAGGAAGTTAAGGTGGGAAATAGACTTTTAGGATTGTAAAATGGAGTCATTAAGGCCAGCACAGTGGCTCACACCTGTAATCCCAGCACTTTGGGAGGCCAAAGCGGGCGGATCAGAAGGTCAGGAGTTTGAGACCAGCCTGACCAACATGGTGAAACCCCATCTCTACTAAAAGTACAAAAATTAGCCGGGTGTGGTGGCGCATGCCTTTAATCCCAGCTACTCAGGAGGCTGAGGCAGGAGAATCGCTTGAACCCAGGAGGCGGAGGTTGCAGTGAGCCAAGATTGCGCCACTGCACTTCAGCCTGGGTGACAGAGTGAGACTGCGTCTCAAAAAATAAAAAATAAAAATGGAGTCATTAAAACTGAAGTTACCTAATGCAAACCCTTCAGATCAGGAATCTCCTTTACAGCATTCCTAATAAATCATCTCATCTCACTCAGTACTGTCATTGCCTTAGCAGATTGGGGGTAATATTTGCTTTTGTTACCATAATTAGTTTCTTTAAGAAGGATGTATTTTTGTTTGTTTGTTTGTTTGTTTGTTTGTTTTGAGATGCAGTCTCACTCTGTCACCCAGTCTGGAGTGCAGTAGTGCGATCTCAGCTCACTGCAACCTCTGCCTCCCAGGTTCAAGTGATTCTCGTGCCTCAGCCTTCCAAATAGCTGGGATTATAGGCACGCACCACCACGCCTGGCTACTTTTTTGTATTTTAGTAGAGATGGAGTCTCACCATGTTGCCCAGGCTGGTCTTGAACTCCTGAGCTCAGGCAGTTCACCCATCTGGCCTCCCAAAGTGTTGGGATTACAGGCGTGAGGCACCACGCCCAGCCAAGAAGGATGTTTTTTGGTCACTGTGGAGGATGCTGCTTGCCAAAGGGCCTCAGCTTACTAAACGACCACTTGGAGGATAACACAACAGGTGGTGACATTCAGGACTAACTCCAGAGCACTTTAGGGTGGAACAAGCTTCTAGGTATTCTAGGATAGTCAGCTGCTCCCAGACCTTGCTTCCATTCTTCAACTCACACCCAGTTCCTGAAGAACTGGTTTGTTAAATGATAAATAAGTACTATATAAGATGGCATAAATGACCTGAATACTCTTCTCAAAATTTTGATTTTCCTTTTTTCCCAGACTCTGTATCTCTCACTACCCTTACCTGTCCCACACATTCTGTATTTTAAAAGACTCAAAGACATGCCGTTATTTTATGTGTTCCTATGAAATCATGAAAAAATCCTGCCAGTGGGCAGGCACAGTGACTTATGGCTGTAATCCTGGGACTTTGGGAGGCCGAGGCAGGAGGATCACTTGAGGCTAGGAGTTTGAGACCAGCCTGGGCAACATAGCCAGACTCTGTCTCTATCAAAAAAAAAAAAATCCTGCCAATTAAACTGTGTCACACAACTGTAAAATACACCCCAACCTCAGACACATTCAAAGGTGAAAAGTGTGTCTTAGAATTGATGAAACAGCATTTCTGCCACATTTGAACCACAGTGATGTTACTGAAGATTTAGTCTTTCAACCAGAGAGATGTATTTTATTGCTTTCCTCTCTTCCTCCTTGTTTACATTGTGTTCTCTCTGTTCAGTGGTAGGATTGTTACAAGTGTCTAAGTATGGGGATATAGGCCTTGTCTAGAGAGAAAACATTACTTGATAGTTGGTTGTCCTGGGCAGGAAAGGTTGCAAGCCAGGTTGTTAGGGCCTTTGCTATGTCTCTTCCCCAGGCTGTTAGGGGAAGTACTGCAGTGGGCCAGTTGCTGGAATAAAGTGACCGCACAGGACTATACCTAAAGCCAGATGGTTTTAGTAACAGTGAATTGAATTAAATCAATTGGAAAAGATTGGTAGCTGCTGTCCTTATCCTGCAGGTCTGCTTTAAAGAAGAGTCTGGCAGGGAGCCAGGGACCTGTTCCTAGGAAAGGCAGGCAAGATGCTGCTGGAGAGGAACAATATGCGTTCCTCTCTGAGACCATTTCCTTTGAAACATGTTCTGGGGCAGGAGCTTGATTGGCTGCCAAGGCACATGTGAGTTGGGAAGCACCATGTCAGACATGCAAACCAGGGAGCCCCTGGGCCGTGTTTATTATACGTGTTCTGACTGGCCCTTGTTGTTTAAAAAAAAAAAAAAAAAGTTGTAGCTAAAATTTAACAATCAGGAGATTTTATACAAAATTCCAGATTTCTAGCTTTCCTTAAAAAATAGGAAAAGCCAGCAATACTGAGCCTATATTCTAGCTTAGTAACAATTGGCTGGAGCTAAATGATGGGCCACAGACCTTCCTGTTTGTCAGTCTCCATTGAATACATATGCTCTTGCTTCCTGCCTGGACCGTGGAAGGTCTTGCAGTACAAAATAGAGATTTGAGGCATTTTGGAGTTAAGACAGGCCTTCCCTGGAGTCCTGTTACTATCTCTTAATAGTTATGTGCCACAGAGTGATACACTTTAACTTCTGGGCCCAGTGTTCTCATGTATGTAGTCATACCTACCTTTCTAGGTTGTGGTGAGGTTTAAACAAATACATATGAAGTGCTCAGTATTACCTATTACCTGGCATCAAAAAAAGTGTTCAATAAAATGTACGTATCACATATGATCAGTTGAGTTTGTTATTGGGCTAGATTATATAAGTAAACGTTGTCAGTTGAAAGCCTATGGAGTACTCTTATATATATTTATATTTTTAATAGATATATTATAGTTATATATCTGAGGAGTACTCAATTCTCACAAAAAAAAAAAAAAGAAAAAAGAGCGTAGGCAGAGCAGAATGGATAGACAGGAAGTAGATGTGGATGATGATGGCATGGAGGAACCAAACAACAAGATAAATGTTAGCACTATGTGATAATCTCTGTGTGTGCCTAATTTTTCACTCCTGTGTTGATCCGAACCTTCTATTTGTCTACTGGAGGTACTGCAAATAGAAAGAAGATCATGTCTCTGAAGCACTTGTTCATTTCTCATTGAAGAGCAGTATTCAGCAGAATGCAGTGGTCATGTCCAGTGTGGGAGTTTTGCAGCTCTTCATTTATTTGTGTCTCTACCTACTTAGCTTGTAGAAGGGTGTGATCCCAGATAACAGGCGTTAGCTGGCTGCAAAAGGGGAAAGTTATATATCTCTCCCTCATTTTTCCTTATGAATGACCTCTGAGTTGGTAATTGACAGGGATTATTGCCATTTTTTTAATCTCTGCTAGGAGGCTGCTGGAATCTTCCCTCATTTCATTATCCCGTTATGATGGAGCAGGATCCAGAGAGCACCCAATTTACCCAGACCCAGCGAGGTAAGGCCAAAGTGAGAAATGGCACTAGGTGGGGGGAGGGGCGGCCCTTGGGGTTGCCACACTGTTGGAAGCTCCGTTCTGTGCCTCTCTGGTCCTGGTGCTCTTTTATTCTTCAGTTACAGTTTTGAGACAGGTGGTTCAGGTGATGGGGAAGTATTGCAGGTAAGTGAACAGTACCTCTGGTGACAGAGGGTTATGACCAAGCTCTTGTCCTTTGGGACTCATTTCCGCAAGTGTGGTGCTAGAGGAGGAACCTGGAGAGGCCACAGGTAGTCATAGGATACTCTTTTTCTGTTGGCCAGAGAGGCTGTTGTCATTCAGATGGACAGCCAACAGGGGAACAAAATGTTTTTAATTTATAGGGAAATTATGTATAGATTAAACAAAAAACCCAATTTGCTGTCATTTGAGAGGGAATTTAGAATATCAAAAGGCAGAAGTCAAGCTCCTTCAGGTATTGACATTTTTGGAGACTGCCCAAAGGAAGAGACGACCGAAGAAGGAGTAAATGGATAAAACAAGTTGGCATTTTATTAAAGTGCTTGCCTTACACTTATTAGAAGACATTTGAGGCTGGGCATGGTGGCTCACGCCTGTAATCCCATCACTTTGGGAGGCTGAGGCGGGCAAATCACTTGAGGTCAGGAGTTCAAGACCAGCCTGGCCAACATGGCAAAACCCCGTCTCTACTAAAAATACAAAAAATTAGCTGGGCATGTTGGCAGATGCCTGTAATCCCAGCTACTTGGGAGGCTGAGGCAGGAGAATCACTTGAACTAGGAAGGCAGAGGTTGCAGTGAGCAGAGATCGCACCACTGCACTCCAGCCTGGGTGACAGAGCAAGACTCTGTCTCAAAAAAAAAAGAAGACATTTGAAAAGTTCTAAAGAGATAAAAAACAAAACAGAAGTTATTTCAATGAGTTCAAGGCCTGCCCTTCACTGATGGTGATAACTAAGGACCAAGGGTGGGATATTAATGGATAACATTCATCTGCAGAGAGCAGCCCCTTGGGGTTGTCACAGCCAGATTTACGGATTCTGTTCGTGATCTAAAAAGGCACATTATTTAAGCAATACTAGAGCACATTAGGAGGCTTTGCCAAAAGAAAAGGGTAATTTACAGTTGTGGGGTTGGCAGGTTAGCAGTGTAGGTTAGGTAAAGCAAAATGAACTTTGCTCTAGATTAGGACTTTCAGGTCTGCCTGGAAAAACCTTTAGACCAAGTTGATTCCAGGAATATTAAGTGCTTTTATTGTTGCCACAGTTATGTCATGACACTGAGCATTCTTTCTGAGATACTGGTGCAAAGATTCTTCATTATCCTCTTAGTTCCTTTTCCACACCCTAGAAATGACAAACTTAAGGATCAGGGAACATAAGGATTGATGACTTTAAAACAGGCAGGCACCATAGATGATGAGTGAAACAAGGAAGTTTATGTGAGTCTCTAATGATGTTTGAGGATTATACACCCTAAATATAAGGGAAAGGAATTTTTCATATGAATCAATTACTTTGAAGCACTGAGATAGAGAAGTTCTTGCAATAAAGACAGCAATAGGCATCTCATCCCCAGAACTTTTAACCTGGCAGTGTTCTACAAGGATACTTAACGACCATGATTTATCCTCCTTTTATATAATAAATCTGTTATTTATCCTACTGTGATCTTTATCACGGAAAGTGTCATACTTCGTGGTGTTGGTATTTTTACACTTTGAATACAAAATAGGTTTTTTTGGAAAAGGAAGTATTTTTCCTTGAAGAAAACTTAAGGATTTATTTAAACATTTAAAATGTTCACTTGGAAGACTAGGGTTGTTTGATGATTTTCCAGCTCTTTGTTAGGAGGATGATTGTTACTACCTCATTGCTGGTTGTTTAGTTTCTTTTTCCTCTTAGGCTTCACCCTATACACTATGTATAGGTCAGAGCCTTAGTGAGACACCTCAGCATTCAGATCCTTAGCTTCCCTCTGCATATCTAAAAGGACAAGGCTAGGATATACTTGTATTTAATAATTGTGGCAGGAATGCTTTTTAAACCATTAATCTACAGTTTCATAGCTTGGGGAATTCCTATGTCCCTACATAAAAAGGCAGTCTTCTTATTATCATTAGCATCAACATTATGTCTACCTCTATCACCAATAATATTATGTTTTTTCCATTACTTAGGGTAGCCTATAAAGTAAGTGTACTTATCACTTTTCAGAATCGGTTCCAAATAAAAGGGTCTTCTTTCTCCTCTTGAGATTTTTCTCCTTGTATATTCTTTTCTAGTCTGATTGACTTGAGAATTTAACCAATGATGCTTGATTTCTGCTAGAAGAGTTCTATATATTGGGCAGATATAAGAACAGTGCACGAACATCGACTTCTGTTGGTTGAAAATTTAGGATTCTGTGGTTCATCCTTGCAAAATGCATGGGAACAGGGGCCCAAACAGATAATGAAAGTTCCTCCAGTTGAGGCTTTTAGGAACTAGCTCTTGTACTCTGATTCTCTTGGCCAAGGCATCTGTGCCTCCTATGCCTACTTGCTATACACAGATATTATAATATTGACTCGTTGGTGTTCACTGCAGTGTATTATTCTGTAAAACAGACTTTTGAGTTTAAAAGATTGTTAGCTGTTCTGCTTGGGAATTCCATTTGCTGGTTGGCCAGAAGGATACCACCTTTGATGACAGGCATTTCAGAGGCAGCCTATGTTCCTCTAGCAGTTGACTGCAGTTGACTGTGACCTGGGTTGGTAGACTTACTGAGGACCTCTTTGCAAGATAGTTGCCAATACTTTTTGTACCATTTGGATATAACTATTCCTGTTTCTGTTCTTAATCAATTTTTTTCTGATTTCCATTAAAAAACCGAAAATCTATGCCCTTTTCCTTTTATATTCAAACATTATGGAAGTATATAAAATACAAAAGTCCCAGGAATCCTCATTAGGATTGCTGTGTTGTTCCCTTATAGTTTTTTTTGCCTAGTAACAGCAACATATTTTAGTATATGTATTAGTGTATACAGACCATTCTTCAATTTTTCTCCCACTTAAGATTTTATTTTAGAGGACTTTCCTTGTGAGTATATAGGAATAGTTTATTCTCTTTAATTGCTACATGGTGTTTCTTTGTATGGATATATTAATAATTTATTTAATTTGTTGCTGGGCATTTGGGTTGCTTCCCAGTTTTTCACTAATGCTGACAATGTTGCAAATGAACTTTCTTATATATATCTTTGTAACCTTATGTATTTCTGTAGGATAAAGTTTCTAGTAGAATTATTGAGTCAAGTGTGCCTGGGGCAGGTTTTTAGTCTTGAAATTTTTTAGTAATCCATTTAATATTATCATAGAAAACATTTTTCTGTTATTGTTCCTCTCATGTTTTCAGTCCATAGCGTCAAATTATATAATACTGTTGTGAGAGATGGAGGAAAACTTGAGAAGGCAATGTGGAGAATTGTATATAACACTAGGAGTTTTCATGGAGTAGCAAGATATTAAAGCCGTAGTTTGAAGAATGTAGATCTGGACTAATTATTTACAGGAATAGCCATCATAAAGGAGAAGAAAGAGGAACAACTCTCACCTTCCATATTGCCCAGTGCCCACGCAGCCTCTGATGCTCTGATTGTAAGAAATAGAAAAAAATCTCTTTTATTTTTTTCTGTTAGATTTTCTGTTCTCCCAAGTATATTTTACTGTCAGTCTCAGTTCTGAATTTTTTCCCCATGTTACAAATATCTATGACTAATTCTTAAGGGAGAGAAAAAGAGGTTCCAAGAGATCATGCTAAGGAGGTAGGACAAATCTGGAGCTGTGTATACTTGTTGGAGAAGACAGAAGTCCTGGTGAAGATACCTGTGGATACCTTCTTTAATCATCTGAGGCTTACCATCTCCTGGCATCTTTTCTCATCTGTAAAACATGATGGTAGATAATTGCTCAGGTCCCTTTCATGTCTTCCATTTTGCGTATGGATGGTGATCAAGGAAAAGCTATGAATGAGCACAGCTCTGTGTAAAGAGCACCCTGAGGAGCTAAAAGTGTACCTTCAGAAGCTAGAAGGAAAGGCCCAGTGTTTCTCTTGGGGAGGGGCAGCTTTTCCTCAGAAGATGTCTGGTTAAGCTGCCTGTTTGCCTTATCTCAGAACAGAAACACTGGTGATAGTCTGATAAGTATATTCTGCAGTGCAAACCTCCTGGTGAGTTGAGTTAAATGCCCTTTAATTTTCATGTCTCCAGAGTTCACCTCAGCAGGGAGATGCCATGGGAGAGCTGGATTAACTGCCTTTCATAGTATTCCCCACATTAGTGCTAGTTTGTGTTTGTCCATCTCTGTCTCTCTCAGATTATCTCCTGCTGCATACTACGCCCAGAGGATGATCCAGTATCTCTCACGGAGAGACAGTATTCGCCAGCGCTCCATGCGCTACCAACAGAACCGTCTCCGTTCTTCCACCTCCTCCTCTTCCTCAGACAACCAGGGTCCATCAGTAGAGGGAACCGACTTGGAATTTGAGGACTTTGAGTAAGTACATACTCAGCTTGCTTTCTTCCCTCTCCTCTCAAGCTTGGAGTGCTTCCAAGTTGGCCACTGTTGGAGCTACAATGGTGGATGTTCTTGCTCCCAACTCCTCAATTATTATTTATGAGTAGCAGGATGGGGTGAGGGACAGAGGGTTAAGATGCCCAGAGCACTCCCACCTCTGGCAGTTGCTTTGCTGATTCACTGGCGCGCGAGGACAGAGACCTCCCATTGGGCCCCAGGCCAGATTGCGAGAGGATGGTGGCTGTTGCTCCTCGGGCAACATTTTTATTTCCCTTTTGCATGTCCAGTGACCGTGGAAAGCTTCTCATGGACTGTCTTTACCACATCAGGGAGGCTGGAGGGTTGGTGTTTTTTCTCCTAAGCAGAGTAGCTGTGGAGATGTTGTCTTCGTTCTGAAATACTTGGATTTCCCTAAGAGGCGGATTTTCTATCTTAGTGCCCTGATCAGACTGACTCTTTAAGATCCTACTCCATTGCCTAAACTTTTTTGGTCTCCCTACTCTTACCCCCCATTCAGGAACCTTAAAAAGTTGTCTGTCAAATTAATGTGGTGGGTTGAGAAATGATTTCTTGCTTCTTTGGGCTTTTTTGAGTGGTCAGCGGGGAGAGCCATGGGAGGATGCGCTAAAGGAGCAGGGTCAGCCCCAGGCTCTAGAATTTAAGCTAGCCAATCTTTTTTTTTTTTTTTTTTGAGACGGAGTCTCGCTCTTTCGCTCAGGCTGGAGTGCAGTGGCGCTATCTCGGCTCACTGCAAGCTCCGCCTCCCGAGTTCACGCCATTCTCCTGCCTCAGCCTCCTGAGTAGCTGGGACTACAGGCGCCCGCCACCGCGCCTGGCTAATTTTTTGTATTTTTAGTAGAGATGGGGTTTCACCATGTTAGCCAGGGTGGTCTTGATCTCCTGACCTCGTGATCTGCCCGCCTTGGCCTCCCAAAGTGCTGGGATTACAGGCGTGACCCACCGTGCCAAGCCTTTTTTTTTTTTTTTTTTTTTGAGACGGAGTCTTGCTGTGTTGCCTAGGCTGCAGTGCAGTGGCACAATCTCGGCTCACTGCAAGCTCCGCCTCCCAGGTTCATGCCATTCTCTTGCCTCAGCCTCCGGAGTAGCTGGGACTACAGGCGCCTGCCACCACGCCCGGCTAATTTTTTTTTTTTTTTTTTGTATTTTTAGTAGAGATGGGGTTTCACTTTGTTAGCCAGGATGGTCTCCATCTCTTGACCTTGTGATCCGCCTGCCTTGGCCTCCCAAAGTGCTGGGATAATAGGTGTGAGCAACCACGCCCAGCCTAAGCTAGCCAATCTTATTGCTGGGTTTTGCATTCTCTCATCTGCTGCTTCTGACCTTTCTAGCCATTCATTGTGTTTCTTTCCATCCTGAAACTGAGCTTTTATGGCCTGTATCAAATTGAACATTTGGCTCATTTTGATTCCTTATATTTTGGTATTGTCAAACATAAAAGCAAGAGAGAGAGAAGGGCGGTTAAGCATTATTTCTTCCTCCTTCTTCACTGGCATTTGTGAAAGAGGACAGCCTGTCAGTCATTTCCTCCCCACCTTCCATCTTGACATAGCCGGGTCAGGTCTGGGGCCTTAAGAGTTCTCATCTCCCCCTCAGCTTTCTTCCTTAACTGAATGGCTAGTTCCTCACAAGTCATCTTGCAACAAAGCTTTTTAGTGTGTTTAAGAAATCTCTTTGCCAGAAAGGACTAGGAAAGTGAGAACAACCTTTGTACCAATTTGCCTTCCTGATGCTGTCATTAAACACACTACTAGCATTTGTGCTCTTAGAAGCAAAAGGAAAACTAAGTGGGAGGTTTATTTGTCTGAGAAAGATGTAAATGTGAAAGAAATGCAGGGATGGCCTGAAGTAGCAGTGGTGTGGCAAATGGAGCAGAGGTCATGGTTCTCTCTTGTCAACTGCAGGAGAAGAGCAGAGCTACCTTCTGACTGTCAGCTTGTTCCTTCTCCCTTCTGTCCACTCTAGGGTGAGGTGGATGCGTATATCAGCAGTGAAGGAAATGGAGTGTTTGTTCCCTTAGCCAGGCAGATACTTACAGTGAAATATGTTCTCCTGTAGATACGGTTTTTCCAGCACCAGGGTCTATTCAGGGAAGCAGTTGAAACATACATGCCAAGGCTGCTGGCACTTAGTGCTGCTGAAAAGCCTGGGTGACTTTCTCTCACTAATGCTGTGGAGCCCTGGGAGTCAGTGTTGTGGATTGCCTAGCCCTCTTTCCATGCACGCCTGGGAGACTGCGTTATCTTTTTGCAGTGGTGAAATGTGGGGCTCATGCCTTCAAGCTGTATCTTGCCTCGTGACTTGTCCTTCACAAGGGAGTTCTGGGTTAGTTTAAAATGTTCTGTTCTTGTCTTACCTTCCCTTTCTCCTGCTACCACCTCCTCTCTCTCTCCCCTTCCTTCCCCCTCGATTTTCCTGTGTCAGACTGCCTCCTCCTTATGCTCCCCCCAGCCCACCTGTGCGCTCTCCCCCACCCCCTCCCCTGGCTTTAGCATGACCTGAATTTACATTTCCTTCTTCACCTTTCATGCACTGACTTACTGTTTTTTCTCAGGGGGTCTTATATTGCTCCCTGGTTAGTAACAATGGACTGATTTCTCTCATACTCCTTGGAAAGTCCCTTCTGGGGTGTTTGCCTTTCTTTTTGGGCTGATGTAGACTAGAATCTTGTTTTTAATAGCAGCTGTGGATTAGTCACCTCAACATTAGTAGTCCAGGTCTTCTAGTAAAGGATGTTACTGGCTGGTTGAAACTGACTGTTTATTCTTTCTCTGTCTCCTTCCCTGCCCACCTCCCTCTACAGTAAACTGAATGCTGCTTGTGGTTGCTCCTGTCCTCTGAGTGTCCACGTGCTCTGTGAGGAGGGAGAATAACAAAGAAGGAATGTACCAGCACATTTTAATTTTTCTGCCCCAATCTTTTGCCTTAGCTTTGGTAACTAGAAGGAAAGTCAGAGGCATGTGCAGTCACGATTTATATTTTTTTCAGGTACAGAGAGACATGTAAGGTAGATATGGCGAGTAATCCTCCTAACAATTAGGTTACCATTAAGACAGTTGTTCCTTTGTTTGGTATCCTCACCTTCTCAGCACTTCATGCTCTTGCCTTTGCTACCTCACTTTGATGACCTCTCCCTCTGTTTGCTAAGTCATAGATCATTTTGCCATTTTTGGGCTTGTCACATCCAGTTGTATAGTGTTCTCAGAAAACCAAGGGAGCCATTACTCAGAGCCCATCTTTTGTGGTTCTCTTCCATTTGACCAAATCAGATATGTCTAAGGTTAGAGGACAGGAGCAAGCATATTTAGTGTCTGAGTTTTATTGTCCTGCTGATTTAAAAACCTTTGAAAATGATGTACCACCATTTTTGAGCCTTTCCAAGAGCTTGCTGTGGAGCAAGACCATTGAGATTTATCTCTTGGGAGGGTGGCTTTGGAGGTTGGTCAGCATCAGGTTAAATTTTCTGTTCTTTTGTGATCTAGATGAATGACCATCTTCCTGGGCAGGCTTCCTCTCCTGCCATTCATCTCTGTCTACAGCAAGGATTGAGACTGCAGGGTCCTTGTGTTTATCAAACTGCACAAACAGGACATCCAGAAACCTGCTGTCAGCAGGTCTCTCCTGAAGCTCTCAGCAGCTGCCTTTGCATAAAGATGTTCATAAGCAGGGTAAAGGTGTGGCTGCCCATGACATTGCTGTCTGTCTGCTTTCAAGCCCAGACCACCTACTAGAATGGAGATGGCAAATAAGCGTAAGGCAGACTTCCATTTTCATGTTTGCCATCCCTTTGGAAAGAGGGAGGGGGCTTTTATAAAGCCCAGGTTAAGTGCTATGGCCCGTAGTTGCTAAGGCCTACAAAAGAGGTGGTGTGTATGCTTTATGACAATTATTCCAGCTATGCTTGCCCCCTTACTCATTTTATCTGTTAATCTAAATGTAATTATAATTCCAGAATCCTCCCTAGCCCATATTCCTGCCCTTCCTGCCTCTTTTTATAGCTGCTTTGCTTTCTGAGGCAAAGGGATACTGTAGCAAAGGCTTTGCTAATGACAGTCAGACTAGAGAAGCTTCAGATTAGATCAGTCGCAAATATCTGCATCGTATATACTAGCCACTGGATAATTACATTCAGCTTCTTGAAAACTGTTGCTAGAGCCGGGTGTGGCAGCTCACACCTGTAATCTCAGCACTTTGGGAGGTTGAAGCAAGAGGATTGCTTGAGCCCAGGAGTTCGAGACCAGCCTGGGCAACATAGTGAGATCCCCATATGTATTAAACAAATAAAAGACTGTTGCTGGCACAGAAGTCTCTTATTCACAATTTTGACACACGGGCTGTACTTTGGATTTCTGCCTGGAAAAAACATCTCAATGAGAATTCTAGTCTTTTAGCCTTAAGATGAATTCTCTTTAGGTCTGTTAATTTATTTTCTTAACTATTCTAATTAATTTGCTTATATTTGGGTCCTCTTTTCCCAGAAGTCCACATTGTGACCAAATACAGGCACACTTTGTTTTATTGTGCTTGGCTTTTTTTGCGCTTTGCAGGTATTGTGTTTTTCACAAATTGAAGGTTTGTGGCAACCCGACATTGAGCAGTTGGCACCATTTTTCCAACAGCATGTGCTCATTTTGTGTCTGTCTGTCACACTGGTAATTCTTGCAGTATTTCAGATGTTTTCATTATTATTAGATCTGTTATGGTGACCTGTGATCAATTGTAATTGTTTTGGGGCACTGTGAACCACAATCATATAAGACAATAAGCTTAATTGTAAATGTTGTATATATTTTGACTGCTCCACTCACTGGCGATTCCCCCATCTCTCTTCCTCTTCTTGGGCCTTCCTATTCCCTGATACACAGCAATATTGAAATTAGGCCATTTAATATCCCTATAGTGACCTCTGTATGTTCAAGAAAAAGGAAGAGTTGCACATCTCTCACTTTATGTCAAAAGCTACAAATGATTAGTGAGCAAGACATGTTGAAACTTGAGATAGGCCAGAAGCTAGTCCTCTTCTGCTATAAACAGCCAAGTTGTGAACACAAAGCAAAAATTCATTTTTTTTTTTTTTTTTTTTTTTTTTTTGAGACAGAGTCTCGCTCTGTCACCCAGGCTGGAGTGCAGCGGCACAATCTCGGCTCACTGCATGCTCCGCCTCCCAGGTTCATGCCATTCTCCTGCCTCAGCCTCCTGAGTAGCTGAGACTACAGGTGCCTGCCACCACGCCCAGCTAATTTTTTTGTATTTTAGGTAGAGATGGGGTTTCACCGTGTTAGCCAGGATGGTCTTGAACTCCTGACCTCGTGATCTGCCCACTTCGGCCTCCCAAAGTGCTGGGATTACAGGCGTGAGCCACCACATCTGGCCCACAATTTAATATTCTTCATCTGCCCCTTTGATATAACTTAAAAAGCCTAGTTGAGTCATGGCAAAGAAGATATGTTAGAAACTAGAGAATACCATTCTTATCAGGTGATAGACCTGATGACTCATGTATTTCAAGTTCTCCTGACTAGAATTCTAGCCACCTGTCCTTGACAGTACTTGTTCCTGCTCTCTTCTGAGCCGGGAATTTCTAGGACTTCTGTAGGAATCAGTGACTACTCTCTAATAACAAATATATAACTTGTACCCAAGGAAGAGGGGGTAACTTTTGGCAAGTAAAATCGTCAGAGAGGGATAAGGTATTATCTACTTCATTTTGAAATAGAGTTCCCTTTGTCTTTTCCTTTGTCTTATGAGCCACAGACTCTAATATTAGGAGTGCAAGAGAAATGCTGAGGAAACACACTGTAAAGTTACTCTCTTTATAGGTTGGAACCTGCTTAAAGCAGTTAGGAATCAGCCAGCCATCTACATTTATTGAGTGGTGGTATTATACAAAATTAGTTCTTAATGTGGAACGAGACAAAAACTTCTCCACCTATAGTCCCAGCTACTCAAGAGGCTGAGGTAGGAGAATTGCTTGAACCTAGGAGGCGGAGATTGCAGTGAGCCGAGATTATGCCACTGCTCTCCAGCCTGTGCAGTTTTTTATTTTCATAAAAAATTAAAACAAAAAAAAAGAAAGAAAATGACCTGGAGAGAGACAAAAACCTCTCTTATTTTCCAGATAATTTTTGTAGTGGTCGAATGTCTTTACAAAATGGCTTAGAAAAGAGCTGTAAGTCTTAAAATAGGGTCTTTATTTAGGTATACTTAGGAGAAAGGCAAGTACAGTAATTCCTCTTTGGAAACTGTAACTTAAGCGAAACTACTATAATGAAACTAATTTTACCATAGACTAATTGATATGAACAAGAGTTAAGTTCCTGTGACATATTTCTGGCTACAAAAACGTCACCAAGCATCTAAAACACCCAAAACACTTCTTATATTAAACATTGAAATAAATGTGAGCTGTTTGTACATCTAAAAGATTAATAAAAATATAATTATTTGATTTTTGGTGAATCAGTGAGTGACAGTGGTCAATGTGGGGTGAGGTAAATCAAGGAATAGATGTTTGCAAAGTGAAAATTGTGAGGAACTACTATGTAGTTAAAACATAAACAGGAACAAATATGGTCAGTGCCCTGAGACTTAGTACTGCATCATTATTGTTGTGCATCTGTATGATTATTGTATGCTTTACATATTTTTACATTATTTTGTATTCATTTATTTTCCAACCTGCTTATTCCCATTCTGGCTCACAGGTGGCTGGAGCCTATCCTGGCAGCTCAGGGTGCACAGGGAGAACCTGCCCTGGACAGGATGCCATTCCGTCACAGGGTGCACTCATGCACACACCCACACTCACTCAGACTAAGGTAGTCTAGGCATGCCAGTTCATCCAATGTGCACATCTTTGGGATGTGAGAGGAAACTGGAATGCCCAGAGAAAACCCACACAGACATGGGGAAGTGTGCAAACTCAGACAGTGGCCATGGCCAGGAATTGATTTTTTTCCCTCATCAACATTATACAAAACAACATTGAATGAAACAACATTATTTGAGTACCAGCTGTAAATGCATGGTCATAGAAACATGAAACAGCATGGAATATTTGGGGAATTGCTTTGTTGATAGGTGTGGCTAGACTGTAAAGTTAAAGATGTGTGGCAGATGAGCCCCTAGAATGGAGCTAGATCTTTGTCTTGCGTGCCTTGCAAAGGAGATGAACTTTATCCCATAGGCAAGAGGGAATCATTGAAGCATTTTAAGTTATGGAATAGCATCAAGTTTTACATAAGTATCTAAAAAGATAGACTGTAATAAGTTACCACTAAAATACTAGGAGAGCATTGTATAAAGGGAGAGAGTATTTGGGGAGAGGTGAGAAAGCTTCATGGATTTGAGCTGGGTATTGAAGACTGCATAGAACTGTGAGAGAGGAATTGATATTGGTGATGGGTATAGCGAGGAGATTCTAGATAAAGGGAGTAGCTTAAGCAAAAGCGTAGAGACAGGAGATTTACAGGGCTTATTCAGGGACCCTGAATAGATCTGTGGCTAGAGCTATGGAGTGTTTGTGATATGAGAGAGATATCAGAAAGCCCCGAACTCTGGATGGCCTGGAATGCCTGGCTGAGAAGTTTGGACTTTGTCTCAGGCCAGCCATCATCCAATATATATTTTAGGCAGCTAACTCTGATAGCATTGGTTAAGGTGACCTAAAGTGACAAGTGTACTGATGCAGAAGTACCAGTTAGAAAGCAGTGGGCATAGTACAGGTGAGGATATCTGAGGGTTGCATTGTAAGTATTGATTGTCTGAGGGCTTGATGTTTTCTAAGTGTGGAGCCTGTTTGTGAATGTTTTAGGGGAACGAGCTTCCTGAAAGCACAGCCATCTTACTTTTCTTGTCTAAAAAAAAAATGCTAAGTCCTTTTTTACTCTTACTGGATCCAGTTTTGAACTAAATTTATAAATTAGCAATCACTGCTTCTTAGAACAGCAGTGACTGGCATTGAGATCACTTGTCAATGCCTGCTGGCCCCACAGCCTGACAGCTATTGTCTACGGAATAGTCCTGGGTTCTAGTCTTGGCTGAGGCTGTGATTTATTATCTGATCTTGAGCCGGCCCCTTTCCCATCCTAGGCCTCAGTGTCTGATGTGTAAAATGAGATTAGATAACCTCAGATTCTTGTAGCTTTAAGCTTCTTGGATCTTTGTTGGAGTTAACTATCTTAGAAAAATTTCCCCTGTCAGCCGGGGGCGGTGGCTCATGCCTGTAATCCCAGTACTTTGGAGGCCGAGGCAGATGGATCACAAGGTCAGGAGTTCAAGACTAGCCTGGCCAAGATGGTGAAACCCCATCTGTCTAAAAATATAAAAATTAGCTGGGCGTGGTGGCGGGCGCCTGTAAACCCAGCTACTCAGGAGGCTGAGGCAGAGAATTGCTTGAACACAGGAGGCGGAGGTTGCAGTGAACTGAGATTGCACCACTACACTCCAGCCTGGGTGACAAAGTGAGACTCCATCTCAAAAAAAAGAAAAAAAAGAAAAATTTCCCCTGTAGTAGGCAGAGGTACAATAATGAAAAGTCTCAGAAAAGTAAGGGGCCTTCCTGAGGATTAAGAATAGGCTATATGGTACCTGTCGAGCCTCAATGTATTTGTAAAATACATACTTTACCTGAATTCTAGCTCTTACTGAGGACTTTGATTTATTGCTTAAAAACGTGTAATATTGCTTAGCAACTTTAGAATTAATACTTTAGGATTCTAGAATTAGAATTACTGGGCAAGTAAAATACATATGAATATTTGTTAAGAGGAATGCAGAAGAAGAGAAAGAAAATGGAACACGTCTGGATTGTGCTTGGGCTTAGAATGGGAAAATACAGCAGGAAAGAATTACGCAGTGGGGGTTTGGGGGAGGAAGACATAACCCTTAGATTTATATGCTTATTTTTTAACATAAAATGCACAATAGGAATGTGGATTTGCATAATGTAGGCAGATGAAATTAAAAGGTAACATAAGGGAGGAGAGGAATTTGTAAATGGTAATTATCTCTTGTATTACCATTCCTTGGAGAAAAATGAAGGCTCTGTAGTTCCAGGAGACCTATGCTATTAGCTATTCCCTATGAATGATATCAGCTGGGGCTGTGCCTTCCTTCCAGAAATCAAAGCCCTTGCATATGTGCACAGTCATTGAAAGTAGAGACTGGGGCCTCAGTTTCTAACCAGCAGCACTCCAGTAAGGAAATGAGTTGACCAAGATCACTGTGCTCTCCAGGGACAGGAATACCAGCTAGGCCTTCTGTTGTCTGGAGATTGAGTAGAAACAGAGCAGCATAGGGAAACAAAAATTTTTTAATAGTCTAATTGTCAGCAAAGTCAACTGTATACTGTCAAGAGGACAGTGGCCTTTTGAGCTTTTTGCTGCAAGAGCTTCATTTATAAAGGCCCAAGTCAGAGCCATTTGTCACTGAGGAGCAATGACAACCTGACTGTCTGGTCAGGACTCAGACAGCAGTCTGTAGGTGCATTTTTCATTCCTTCAAATTACAGCCTCTCTCCGAGGCAATTAATCCTAGACATTTAGCAAAAGAGCTGCTGCTGTGTTTCTCCCTTGTTCTGGAAATACATCTTCTTGTATTCAGCACTTATTTTGGATACTTGATTGTTTGAAGGGTGTTTTTTTTCTGGTAAAATCTTTGATAAGAAAGTATTTTTCCCCCTACTCCTTCCCAAATACCCCTCTGAGAGTTAATCAGAGATGCACAGAGTTCAGCAACTGGGAAAGCCATTAATAACCCAGCCAGCTTCTATCCTGCTGGCTCAAAGTCAGCTTCAGGCTGTTGGAATTGATGAGGGTTTCTCTGGTGTTTCCCTGAAAAGTATTCCTCCTATGTTGGAGGAGCAATACCAACATATTTGTGTACTCTGTTCTTCACACTTTTAAGTCATTACCCTTGGAAAGGGTGTTGGCTATGTTGTTAGAGCCCGGTATTTAGCACCCTTCACTGTTCCTAAACTGTCTGGGTCTGCCTTTCTCTCACTTTTCATCTGGCAAATATCTTCCAATTCACTCATATTCAGCCTCTGCCTGCCTGACCAAATTTGTCTCCTTCTATCTCATAGAGCCTTGGCTTGATGTCGACCTTGTATCAGCACGGAAGTGAGTGGCAGATTTCTGTGTAGTTTTCTAAGTATATCATTATTTTAAGTACTTTTAATTCCTGTGCTCTTCTATTGGAACTTATCCCTCTCCCTTCAGTTCTTCCACTAAATATCCCATGCATTGAAATTTCTTTTCCCACCCCAACCCATTATCTCTGAATCTTCCCCTCTTTCTAAACTATAGAATCTAGAGAGTCATCAGTTACTGTTTCTGCCTTTAGTTATTTGGAACTGTGCCTTTGGTCCAGGATTTCTGTGTACCAGTACTAAAACTGATGGCCTTTTCCCCTCTTCCTGTCGAACTCGTCCTTTTGTAGTATATTTTGACCTTTGCCACCTTACCCATTCCGGTATTCAAGGTTTTACCTGCTCAGTAAATGTTTGAGCTGGTTTGGTTATAGGCTATTTTATCCTAGAGGTCTGTGGGTTCTTTTCTCCCATAGGCAGCATCTCATATTGTGTTTATTATGTTTCACATTTTCCTGGTCGTGCTGGGTCCTCTCCTGTCATTTCTCCTTCAGAGTTCTCAACACTTGGAATTTGAAATCTGCTCTGCCTTGTATTGAGATGACATTTAGCTCCTATTTCTCCATTCTTAGCCAAGATGTTAAATAAACTGAGGACCAGCATGAGCACCTCCCCTTACTTAACATGTTGCCTCTTTTATAGTGCCTCGTGTAACCTTCAGTCTGAGACTGCGTGTATTTGAGCCAGCTGATCTCATTCTTGTTTTCCTTTATATATCCCCCACTAATCTCTAAACACTATAAAGCCATTATCTCTGACCATATTTTGCACCCTCTCTTTTCCATCAGTTTTTAAAAATGTTGGTAAAATACACATAACATAAAATTTATCATCTTAACCCCTTCCCTTTATTTTTTTATTTTATTTTATTTTATTTATTTATTTATTTTTGAGACAGAGTCTTGCCCTGTCACCCAGGCTGGAATGCAGTGGTGCACTCTTGGCTCACTGCAACCTCCGCCTCCTGGTTCAAGCGATTCTTGTGTCTTAACCTCCCAAGTAGCTGAGATTACAGGCGCTCGCCATCACGTCTGGCTAATTTTTGTATTTTTAGTAGAGATGAGGTTTCACCATGTTGACCAGGCTGGTCTCGAACTTCTAACTTCAAGTGATCTGCCCGCCTCAGCCTCCCAAAGTGCCGGGATTACAGGCATGAGGCACCACACCCAGCCCCCTTCCCTTTTTTTTTTTTTTTTAAATGAAGGGATAAACTGAATCAGAAAGAAATTATATTTAGGTTTTAATAGCAACAAAAAGATGCTTGTGACCTACGTTGTACGGGCCCACATTTTCCCCAGCCCTGGGGTTTGCCCCTTTTTCTCTGTTGTCTTCTTGTGTTCTTTCACCAAGCTCTGTGTTACCTTTGGGCACTGGCAACTGCTCAGTACTGTCCAGTGCACTGGCTTCTCCTTCCCTGCTCTTCAGCCCTTCTAACGAGAGATAGATTCGTGTTTGTTGTCCAGAAGGAGGTGAATCTTTGGATCTTGCAGGAGCAAATTGTCAGCTCTGTAATGTGATTCTGGGAAGGCCAGCTCTCTCTCATGGGTGTGGAATAATTAGATTTGACCCATGATGCTTCTTTTCTAGCTTTATTTTCTATTTTTTATTTTATTTTATTTGAGACAGAGTTTTACTCTTGTCGCCCAGGCTGGAGTGCAAAGGCGCAATTTCAGCTCACTGCAACCTCCATCTCCTGGGTTCAAGGGATTCTCCTGCCTCAGCCTCTGAACAGCTGAGATTACAAGATGCAACACCATGCCTGGCTAATTTTTTGTATTTTTTTTTTTCTTAGTAGAGACAGGGTTTCACCACGTTGGCCAGGCTGGTCTCGAACTCCTGACCCTAGGTGATCCTCCTGCCTCAGCCTCCCAGAGTGTTGGGATTACAGGTGTGAGCCACTGTGCCCGGCCTGTTTTCTATCTTTCTTTAAAGAGATGAGAGTCTCTTGTTGCCCAGGCTGACCTTGAACTCCTGGACTCAAGCAGTCCTCCCAGGTAACTGAGACTACAGATGCACACCACTGTGCCCAGATAGTTTTTTATCTTTTTGAGGCTTAGAGGCCTCCACCCTTTCCCCCGCTTAGGATCCTTTTTAACTTCAAAATATTTTCTAACTCCTCTTATGATAATTAGTTGTACTTTGTTCAGTACTAATTGATAAGTGAAATATACGATAATGAAAAGCTATCATGAATTCAATTGTACTTTTAAATGAATTAGTAATTTATCACAACAGTAGTATATTTGAAAAATAATAGTATGCTTAATTTGGAAACTGTCTTATTTGTTTGATATTCAGCTACTCTGTGTACATGTATAATTTGTGGGCTCCCCAGTAACTGCAGTCTGCTGGTCAGGAACTCCTGATTCCATTGTTCTCTTTAACCCCCCTTTTACATTCCATATAGTCTTATCTCTTTCTCCTTGCCCCTCCTTTCATCTGCACAATTTCAGGTCAAAGGAATAAGATATGTTAAGGAACACAGTGTACGCTTTCTCTTTTGGGAAAATAAAAACCAAATACTTTCAATGGATCAGCTTCCAATATCCCTGGTATTGATTTGTCATTTAATGCTCGGCAGCCAATTCTACCAAGATATAAAAACCATCATAGACTTTTGTTTCTGGCTTGTGAAGTTCCCAGTGGTCCACTTAAAAGCCAAGTGTTGCCTTAACTTCGGTTTCAGGGCCAGTTTGAAGATTATCTCATTGATTTGAAGATAATCCAAAGGGAGAATTCAGAAAATATCCCAAATCAAGCTCTCAAAGGTTCATTTATTTTGTGGAGTTGGTTAAGCCGCTCATTAACTGCTCTGTCCAGCCAGTGCCCTTTGGCTTATTATTCTTTTGATGTACTGGAAACTAAAACATGTGAAGCTCCTTTCCTCTTCTCTTGTAGGAAGCAGTGAAATGTAGTGGAAAGATCTAGGACTTCAAAGTCCAATCTTCCTTGAATCCTGCCTTAACCACTTACTAGTTATGTGACCATGGTATTTACCTCTCTGGTCTTTCGTCCGCTTCTCTGTAAAATAGTAATAATACTTCGTGGCCTAGCCAGAAGAATTAAATGGGATAACATATCAATAACCTTTGTATTGGAACCTAGCAGATACTTAATAAATGGCAGTTACTACTATTGCATGGACTGTTAACAGTCCATAAAGAAAACACCCAGACTTTGTATTCAAATGACCTAACATAGGATTACGTTTTCTAATATTCTTCACCATTGACAGTCTGTAAAAGAAGGTACTGTCTTTTTCTTGTGCATTTTTTTTTCTTTTACCTGTCACTGATTTTTCCACATGGAAGACCTAAACAGATTTCATTTGAAGATAACCATTTGCCAAATGAAATTGGTGGGGGAATTTTTCTTCCTTTAAGACCTCCTCCCACAGCAGGCGTCTGGATAACAAGTAAAATGATAAATAATGTAAGACAACCCCCCAAGACACATTTTTCTTGCATCTTTCAATATAGAAAAAGTTTATATATATCCATTCCAAATCCTAAGATCTAAATGTGGCTTCAGTTTGAGACGCTAAGGGACCACATTAACTCAAGAAAAATCCTCCTCTTTCCTGAGCTGTTGGTAAATGCTCATAAATCTCTTAGTTGAGGTTCTCCAGAAATATGTTTTATTAATGTGCTGCCTAATTAGTGAGCAGCCAGATGACTAATTTATGTGGGGTCCTCTCCTAAGTGTAAGAATGTCATTTTGGGGATGTTTCCTTTTTGGGCTGGTGGATGATTCTTCCTTAGTGACTCTCTTATGTGTAGTGTTTTTATTTTTTTCAGGGACAATGGTGACAGATCCAGGCACCGAGCTCCACGCAATGCCCGGATGTCTGCACCTTCGCTTGGACGCTTTGTCCCAAGGTAAGAACCGAGTTGCTAGCAACAGAGGGAGCCTTCGTTAGAGCCTAGGATTTAGTTTTAAACCTACTTTCTGGTCTTTGAATTGTCCACATCTGGCATTGTTTCCTAGTGGGCCCATAGCCCAGCCCTGCTGTCTAAACTCTTGACGGATGATGGTTAGCCACATTCAAAAGAGATGAAAAAGTGGTGCTGGGAGAATCCTGTTTAAGAACAGAAGTGTTGGGGGAACTTTAGAAGGAAGGGCAGAAAAAGATAGATACAAATCTGCGGAAGGACCAATCTTGGGAGATTTTATTTCTTTCTGGGCATCTGTGGATTCAGTGGGTCCCTTAGCCCAGATTTTTCAGTGTAGGTAGTTAGTATCTGTTTCGTGGTAGTCTTTAGTCAGCTTTTCACATGTGATTCCTTCTTGTAGGCGTTTCTTGCTGCCTGAGTACTTGCCTTATGCTGGGATTTTTCATGAACGTGGACAGCCTGGCTTGGCTACTCACTCTTCTGTTAACAGGGTCCTGGCAGGTAAGGAAATGTTTCTTTGGCTTTTGAAAATGTGAAGGGCCAAGGAGCCAGATAAAGCTTCTCCCTCCTTTACCTATGTTGATGTGATGGTGTCTTGGCATCTGTCTGAAAATTCTATTTTGGGGTCCTGGTTTGATATTCAGTTCCTTACTTGAAGGCAGGAAATGGCAGGGTTGAAGAAAAATGTTTCTCTTACCCTATTCCCACTTTCCCTAGACCTTTTTTTTTCTTTTAAATTATTTGTTTAAACCATTTGTTTCTTAATCCAGCAATTAAATTCTAGCTATGCTTTTAATTGAATGATAAAGGTGCCGTGTTTATGTTTTGGTTGGTGAGATACTCATGAGCCAGATCCTGTGATTTAATTAGGAGCTTAGTGCACACCTCTCCACTCCTTTGGTACTGCCAGCATGTGGAATTTCCAGGCAGTGTGGAATCTTCTGAGGAAGGAAAAGAGGGAGACGCCCTTGGAGCTGGCTCAGAAATCTCCACAGAACAGAAAATGGGCTAGGCAAGCCCCACTGAAGCAGTTTTATTGTTTATTTACTTATTTATTTTTGAGACAGAGTCTCGCCCTGTCACCCAGGCTGGAGTGCAGTGGCACGATCTTGGCTCACTGCAATCTCCACCTCCCGGGTTCAAGCAATTCTCCTGCCTCAGCCTCCCGAGTAGCTAGGACTACAGGTGCCCGCCACCACGCCCAGCTAATTTTTTGTATTTTTAGTAGAGAGGGGGTTTCAACGTGTTAGCCAGGATGATCTCAATCTCCTCACTTCGTGATCTGCCTGCCTCAGCCTCCCGAAGTGCCGGGATTACAGGCGTGAGCCACTGTGCCTGGCCAGCAGTTTTATGATGGTTGAATAGCTTAGTGACAGATGTTTTTCGGCTGTGAGGCATGACGTGACTGTGTTCTGAGACGTTGTGTGTGCTATTGCTTCTGGTCAGTCTCTAGAGAAGGAAGTAAAGCAGAATTCCATTTTTATATGTGGCAAAGGTTGTTTCCCTGTCACAGTCTTTCCCTACCTCCCTCCCACCTCCACTGCCGACTTATAAATTTATGAATGCAAATGCATAAAAGGTATAAAAATCAAGCCACATTTAGAGGTATCTTTAATAAGCATCTTTATTAAAAGTTTTAAAATGACATTCTGTTTTGGAGAATCTGGGCCATGTGATGGTTAAAGGTGGGGAGGGATCTACTGAGGCAGTGGCACTGTCTGACTGTGAGAATGTTACAAGCTTTATCTTATGATTTCTAACCAAGCTGCTGTGACAGCATCAAGGCCATGGGATCTGGCCTTTCCTAAATAGTATGTTTGATCCAACATCAATGCTTAGAAATTCCAGAAACCTCAGTGGTTTCTCTGTCAGACACCAGGACTTCATAGGCTCTGGCCTGGCAGGAGAGCAGACTATACCACAATCTCCTGACAGCCTCATCTGAGGAGGCTCTGGCCCTAGTTGTAAAACAGATGCTGTGGTCCGTGCCTCTCCTTGCCTGGCACTTCTGTGTGGCTTAACCGAAGGCACGTTAAAGCTTTTTTCACTGGCAGATAATAACTTGCTGCCAGACAATACTCTAGAGCTCTTCTCCACCCTTCTTTGTTCCAGACATCTGCCTCCACCACCCCATACAGCACCTCCTGCTTCTCTACTGCCGGCAGATCTCTGTTTCCTTGGCATTTAGCTTTGGGGGAACAGCTGTATGTTGTTTTTTTCTGCCTTGCCTCCAAGACCTCCTTACTTCAATTTCCTGTTTCCTACTTTATGCCTTGTGGTCTGACCCCAAATGGCCTAATTACACTTATGGATGCCTTTGAATATAGGGGCTGTGTTGCAGTGGGCAGCTGTTTACAGATGTGAAATCTGAGAAAATCTATCAAAGGATGCAGAATGCCATTAGGAGAAGGAACTCTAGACTCCCTAGAACCTCACTCTTGAGTTAGATTAGCAGATGGTTTTCATTCACCATTAAACTAGTTTCTACCAATTTTTCAAAATACATATTACAGAGTATTTATTTATCATTCGTTGATATTTTGATGTCCCTCCAGATTCTATTGGCAGTTGTATCATTTGTTTTCTTCTCTTGAGAAAATTCCAATAATAATAATATAGCAACAAAAGCCTAACATTTATTGAGCACTTGCTATATACTAGGGAGTGTTTTACGTGCTTTACACATATTTCGTTTCTGTCTTGCAGTAATCATATGAGATAGGTGCGATTACCTAATTAACAGTGGAGGAAACTGAATCCCAGAGGGCTAACTTGCCCAGAGTAATGCAGCTAAGAAGTAGAAGAATGGAGCCAGTAGTCTCTAAACCACCTTCCCGATCCGCCTCCTCGTAGTTGTTTTAAAGGACAAAACATTAAAATGTCATTCTTTTTCTTAGGACTTTATAAGAGGGAGAGAGCTCCCAGGGAACTTCAGTGTTTTTCTTGTTTGTTTTAATTATTCTATTTAAATGGTTCCTAGACATAGGTTTTTATGATCCAGTGGTGCTTGCTGAGGAAAATCTTATTATGTAACCGCCCTTTTCCTGAGCCTTCTTGCCCTCCTGGATACAGATGTTTTGCTTTTTATTAAACTTACTTGTGATCATGTAATTGAGCTGCTATAATAATAGCTTTCAGAGTGAAAGAGCAATTGACCTTTTAGCAGTAAGCACTCCCAATTTTCCTGGAAAGGCACTTTGTCATGTATGATTGGAATGAGATTGTAATGGTCCCAGAACAATTACATTTAGCAGACATTTGTTCTACAGCTGTCATATGCCAGGCAGTGTTCTAGGTTACCAGAGTGAATAAGACAGACTATGATCCCTGCCTTCCTGTAGCTCCAAGTCTAGGTGGTTAGCCATGACTCAGTCTTACTCCAGACATAAGTGGAACTTTTGCATGGTGAATGGCTTTTTGCAGGGATGAAGCTTGGAAATTTGGCAGACCTGGAGGGACAAAGCAGACACACACCTGCAGTTTTAGGGGGTGTGACCAGTACTGTAGTGCCAAATGAGTCTTCAGTGGACCCTAAGCAAAGCCATTCAGAATCATCAACAAAAATGGGTTTGCGGAAAATCAAGATCCGTTCTACTTCCTCCCACAAGAGACTGAAAGCAATAATAGAAAACAGAAGCTACTATAGAAAAGTGTTATAAGGTGAAGAGTAAGTTATTGCAAAAAGAATTTTTAAAATATTAAAAAATAAAGAGAAAAGTGTTTTGATAGTCTATTATTCATCTCTTCTCCCTTATCTTGGTGCCTTCACCTGCAATTCTGTAGGTTTCTGGTAGCCTCCAATTGGTCATCAACCCAGGCCTTTCCCCATCATCATCAGCAACACAAATTCTAGACCCATACTTAAAGAGCTGTAAGTACATTTAAAGCTATTGCAGCTCTACCAGGTAAAATTGTGGGAGAACATACAAAAGTCTGAGGAGCTCCCCCTGCTGACATTGTAGCAGACCACTAGCTCTGTGTAGTCACAGCAACTGAAATGATGGAAATGAAGCTGAGTGCCTACCGTGGACCAGGTACTGTCTTTCCCACGTTATCTCTTTTCATCTTTGCAACAACCCTGTGAGGTAGGTGGTAGCATTTCCATTCTGTAGGGAAGAAAACTGAGGCTCAGAAAGTTATGTCACTTGCCCAATATCACTGTGAGAGGCTGACCTGGAATTTTAAACCGGGTCTTCCTGACTCTTAGAAGAGTTCTGTTCTGTCGTCTGTGCCATGTTTTGTTTGAGTTCAAGTAGGGAATATCTGCCAAAAGGTTCTTAAGCTTATAATATTTTTCTGCATGTTTGAGGCCTCATAAAAGTGAAATAAGAAGCTTGGCATTTGACAGCTTCCTGGTAATTACTGGAAGAACAAAAAACTTCTGAGGAATAGGGGCCTGGGTAATGTGGGGTATTAGCTGTCTGTCCTGCATAATCTTTTTGACTTTCATCCTAATGAGCATCTGCTCCTAGCAGATGTGGACCTGATATACTTAATTTACTGTTTTGATTAAAATCAATGGGAAGTGTCAGGGTTTTCTTGCTCCTAGCCACAGGTCATTACGGCCTGGTCCAGTGTCTTGAGCAAGAGATGGCTTTGTGCCCAGTTATCCTAATTTCTCTTATGACTCCTTCTTCTTCTTTTTAAATATAAAAAAGAAAAACTGGCCAGGTGCGGTGGCTCACGCCTGTAATCCCAGCACTTTGGGAGGCCGAGGCAGGTGGATCATGAGGTCAGGAGATTGAGACCATCCTGGCTAACGTGGTGAAACCTCATCTCTACTAAAAATACAAAAAATTAGCCAGGCATGTAGGTGAGAATTGAACAATGAGAACACGTGGACACAGGAAGGGGAACATCACACACCGGGGCCTGTTGTGGGGTGGGGAGAGCGGGGGAGGGATAGCATTAGGAGGTATACCTAATGTTAAATGATGAGTTAATGGGTGCAGCACACCAGCATGGCACATGTATACATATGTAACAAACCTGCACGTTGTGCACATGTACCCTAAAACTTAAAGTGTAATAAAAAAAAAAATTAACCGGGCGGTTGCGGGCGCCTGTAGTCCCAGCTACTCTGGAGGCTGAGGCAGGAGAATGGCGTTAACCTGGGAGGCGGAGCTTGCAGTGAGCCAAGATCTCGCCCCCGCACTTGGGCGACAGAGCAAGACTCCGTCTCAAAAAACACAAAAAAACAAAAAAACCTTTTTACTGAACGGTGTCACTTCTCAGTACGACTTCTTTGACCTATTACTTTTTTGGGAGTGTGTTGTTGAATTTTCCCATATTTTGAATTTCCCAAATTTCCTTCTGTTGTTCTCTTATTTAATTTGATCATGGTCTGAGAACATACTTTGTGTGATTTTATTCATTTTAATTTTATTGGAACTTGTTTTATGGCTTAGTATATAGGCTCTTCTAGAGAGTGTTACCCATGTGCTTGAGGAGAATGTGTATTCTGCAGTTATTTAGTGGAGTGTCCTGTAGATGTCGGTTAAATCTACTTGGTCAATATTATTGTTCCAGCTTTGTATATCCTTGCTGATTTTCTATCTAGTTTGTCAGTTATTGAGAGTGGGTATTGAAATCTCTATTATTATTGAATTGTGTATTTTTCCCTTCAATTTTGTCAGTTTTTTTTTTTGTTTTGTTTTGTTTTTTTGAGACAGAGCCTCGCTCTGTTGCCCAGTGATGCAATCTCAGCTCACTGCAACTTCCGCCTCTTGGGTTCAAGCGATTCTCCTGCCTCAGCCTCCTGAGTAGCTGAGATTACAGGCGTGTGCCCCCAGGCCTGGCTAATTTTTGTATTTTTAGTAGAGATGGGGTTTCACCATATTGGCCAGGCTGGTCTTAAGCTCCTGATGTCAAGGGATCTACCTGCCCCAGCTTCCCAAAGTGCTGGAGTTACAGGCGTGAGCCACTGCATCTGGCCCAATTTTGTCAATTTTTGATTAATGTATTTTGTGACTTTGTCATTAGGTGCACATATGTCTACGACTGATATGTGTTCCTGATGAATTAACTATTTTACCATTGTCCCTCTCTGTCTAGTAATATTTTTTGTCTTAAAGTCAATTTTTTCTTATATTAATATAGCTACTGCAGTTCTTTTATGGTTGTTGATTACATGAGATATCATTTTCCATCCTTTTACTTTCAGCCTGTTTAGCTCTTTGAATCTGAAATGTGTATCTGGTAGAAAGCATATGATTGGAGCTTGTTTTTTATCTAGTCTGACAATCTCTGCTTTTTGATTGTTTAGTCCATTCACATTTAATATTATCATTGATATAGTTGGGTTTTTGTCTGCCATTTTACTGTTTGTTTTTTGTATTTCTGATGTTTTTATTCCTCTGTTCCTTCTTTACTGACTTCATTTGTATTAAATGGGTATCATCTAATGTGTCTTTTAAATTCCTTTTTTGATTTTTGAATGTATTTTATCAGGATCAGTTTCCAATTTATTCAGACTTAATTCTGGTAAGATATAGAAACATTTTTCACTATCTGTTGTTCCCCTGTGGCTCCATTCCCTTCTACCTCTTTTGTGCTGTTATATATATATTAATATTACATCTATATGTATTACAAACCCAACAATGTGGTGTTAACTTATTGATTAATACAATCTTTTCTCAGGCATCCTTCTGTTTGTTGCCTGGTGTGGGAAAGACAGAGCTATACTTTTCATAAAATTTACTTTTATTTTCATCTAACTTTATTAACTTGTTAATAAAATTGTTATTAACTTTATTTTTGGTTAACAACAATTTACTTGTTATTATTGTTAACTTTATTTTTGGTTGTCCTCTGCCCCTCTCATCTCTTTTATTTTTATTTTATTTTTAGAGATGGGGTCTCGCTCTGTTGCCCAGGCTGGAGTGCAGTGACCCAGTCACGACTCACTGCACCCTCAACCTGCTGGTCTCAAGCTATTCTCCTACCTCAGCCTCCTGAGTAGCTGGAACTGTAGGCACACAACACCATGTCCATCTAATTTTTGTACTTTTCGTAGAGATGGGGTTTTGCCATGTTGCCCAGGCTAGTCTCTAACTCCTAGGCTCAAGTGATCTGCCCCACTCAGCCCCACAAAGTGCTGGGATTACAGGTGTTAGCCATGGTGCCTGGCCCCTCTCATCTCTTTTATTTGTATTTATTTATTTATTTATTTATTTATTTATTTATTTATTTATTTATGTTGAGATGGAGTCTTGTTCTGTCACCCAGGCTGGAGTGCAGTGGCACGATCTTGGCTCACTGTAACCTCCATCTCCTGGGTTCAAGCCATTCTCCTGCCTCAGCCTCCCAAGTGGCTGGGATTATAGGTGCCCACGACCATGCCCAGCTAATTTTTATATTTTTAGTAGAGACGGTGTTTCACTATGTTGGCCAGGCTGATCTCGAACTCCTGACCTCAGGTCATCCGCCCACCTTGGCCTCCCAAAGTGCTAGGATTACAGGTGTGAGCCACTGCACCTAGCCTCCTCTTGTCTCTTTTAAAAACACCAGTACTCTGGTCTTAGATGTTCCCCACTTCCCTGGTTCCTTAGGGAATTACTTTCAGGAGGACTTTTTAGTCTCACTTAGTCAACTGGGGTGGGCATCTAGAGCCTCAGGCTTGCTAACTTTTAGGAATTAGCCTTATTTCACCATCTGATAGCATAGCTGTCTAATACAACAAATTGCTTAATCACTATATAGCAGATCTTCACTTGAACTGGCAAATCTGGTATAGATTAATAATAGAGACTGCAGTTAAGGGCCATCGTGATATTACTTAGATGAAAGTGAACAGAAATGAATAATATTTCTGGTGTTGGGTCCTTTATCTCTTTGATCTCCCTTTATCTTTCTGCCGTGTACCCATCTGGTACCCAGTAGCCAGGCAGATAACATGAGTGGCACATTCCAACTCAACATCAATTAAGATGGCTGTTTATAAACCCCAGATAAATGGACAATTAGTGGTGGTGGTACTGGTAGTGCTGCTTTAATAATTAACCCAATTACATTTCATTCTGCTCCAGTGATGAAAGTGAAGGGAATAAGAGGCTGGCTTTGTTGCCTGGGAAACAGAGAAGTAAATGCAGTACTCCTCCCAGAGAACTCAGCCTTCCCAGTTGCCTTATAGCACCCGGGGCCTTTTACCTATTTGGTGTCCACCAGTCACTGGAGCATTCGAGTCCTTTCTACCCCAGCCCTTTACCTTATCTTATACCACTAGTGAGAAGTGTGCTTATTGAGAACATGGGGCCCAGTTTCTAAGCTGAATTGCCTGTGCTTCTTCAGGCTTTTCTAGGGAAAAATACTGGGCCTTGTCAATGAACTTTTCTGTTCCTTTTATATGTGTAAGTTTTTCTGTGCTTTTGTCTCTCTTTTCCCCAGGAAATTTCCTCTTGATCTTTCCCCACTTATGCTTTACCCGTGTGCCCTTTCTGTATTGTCACCTTAAAATGTACACAGCACTTTCTAAATGCTTAGTATTTTCCAGAACACTTTGGGTATTACAAAATAATTAAATGATTCTGCCCTCAGGGAGTTTACTGTCTAGCCAGGGAGTAGCCCAATATCTATGTTTTGTTTTAGCCCTGCCACTAAAAATTTACTAATTCCCCTGAGACTTTAACTACCAGTCTTGATAGATTAGCTAAGGGAGGTGGGGTGTAAGCCTGGGCTTGGATCAAGGACTTTCAGTCCAGTTTGTCTTTCGTACAGTTTGAAGAAGCTCTGCAAATGTGTCCCCGTTCATCTTTTGAGTGGGACTATAAGCGTGAGTAAGTGGGGCACTGGAAGGACAGCTGTCATTTATATGGTATACTCTGTCTGAGAGACAGTATAGTGAAATGTTTAAGAGTTTGGGCTTCTTGAGGCCGGGCATAGGGGCTCACGCCTGTAATCCCAGCATGTTGGGAGGCCAAGGCGGGCGGATCACCTGAGGTCAGGAGTTCGAGACCAGCCTGGCCAACATGGTGAAACCCTGTCTCTACTAAAAATACAAAAATTAGCCGGGCGTGGTGGCAGGTGCCTGTAATCCCAGCTATTCGGGAGGCCAAGGCAGGAGAATCGCTTGAACCCGGGAGGCAAAGGTTGCAGTGAGCTGAGATCGCGCCATTGCACTCCAGCCTGGGGGACAAGAGTGAGATTTTGTCTTAAAAAAAAAAGCCTGGGCACAGTGGCTCACACCTGTAATCCCAGCACTTTCAGAGGCCGAGGCAGGTGGATCATGAGGTCAGGAGATCGAGATCATCCTGGCTAACACGGTGAAACCCCATCTCTACTAAAAAATACAAAAAATTAGCCTGGTGTGGTGGCAGGTGCCTGTAGTCCCAGCTACTCGGGAGGCTGAGGGAGAATGATGTGAATCCGGGAGGCGGAGCTTGCAGTGAGCCAGAGATCGCACCACTGCACTCCAGCCTGGGCGACAGAGTGAGACTCCATCTCAGAAAAAAAAAAAGCCAAAGAAGTATAGGTGGTGGCAGGGATGCAGTGGAAAGGGAATGCGTATACACTGTCAGTGGGAATGTAAGTTAGTACAAAGTAGAAATCTTAATGTCCATATGTCTGGATTGAGGCGCCACTATTTATTTGTACTTTAAGTTCTCTGTACTCTGGGGCTTCCCTAGACCTAAAATGATCTCAAAGATTATTAAATCCCATGGTTGTGTGCTCCTTGGAATTACTGCTCATTTTGAAGGTGCCAGCTGAAGATTCTCTCTAATCTATAATGACTCAGTATAATGCCAGAATTCTTTTACTTCTCTCTTCTTAGGTTATGATTAGTATGTGCTTTGACATGTTTTGCAACCCCTCAGAACAAATGCAATGATCTAGAAATCTGCAGAGGACATGTGAGGAAAGAGAAGGCCAAATGTGAGGTCAAAACCCATATTTTCCAGTGGAAGCAGCAGCTTTCTTTGTTATATTTCTTTACATTTCAAACTTTCTTTAGGATTAGATATCCCCTACCTTGGGCCCCTTGTGCATGGCACAAAGCTGCAGTGAGCTGAGCCTATGATAAACCCAGGGACTCACCTCAATAGCCCTATAACATGAGAGACTGTCTTTACAGGGTGAGTAAAGAGACTTGGAACAATCCTCTTTACTGTCCCATCTACTTCAGTAGTTTTTACCAAAGTGAGCAGTATGAATGCTGGAAGTTAATAACCCATGCTAACTAACCCCCTACCTCCTTCTTTTTACCTTTTTTTTTCTTTTCGAGACAGAGTCTCACTTTGTTGCCCAGGCTGGAGTGCAGTGGCACACTCCTGCAACCTCCACCTCCCAGATTCAAGCAATTCTCCTGTCTCAGCCTCCCGAAGCTGGGACTATAGGCGTACACCACCACGCCCAGCTAATTTTTGTATTTGTAGTAGAGATGGGGTTTCACCATATTGGTCAGGCTGGTCTTCAACTCCTGACTTCAGGTGATCCACCCACCTTGGTCTCCCAAAGTGCTGCGATTACAGGCATGAGCCACCATGCCTGCCAGCCTCCTCCTTTTTAAAACCCTGGGCTCACATCAGCTTTTCTTTCTCGTTTCCTTTTCCTATCTCCAAGCAGCCTCGTTTATTCCAACCTGGCTGGAAATGCCATGGGAGCTGGCAGACATCACCTCTTACCTTTTCTACCAAAGTGGAGCCAACCTGTGGTTGTTAATTTCCTTTCTTTAAAACTTGCTGATCAACAAAGGCCAGCTCTTCCCCTGGGTCCTCATGCCACTCAGGTTGAAGAGCAAGCATGGATATCTTTGTATGAGCCATGATGGGGAAAGAAACTCCTGCAAATAGGTGACTGGGGCCCTTTGGGAGTGTTAAGACTCCCTTGGGTATTTCTTTTGGGTAGCTGTTGAGTGTCACCCCAGAGCCAGAGAGTCATCTTGTAACCACATACTCACCCTGTGAAGATAGTCTCTCATGTTATAGGGCTATTGAGGGGAGTCCCTGGGTTTATCATAGGCCCAGTTCACTGCAGCTTTGTGCCATGAAGAAGGAGCCCAGCATCACTTCTACTGTCTTGAGCTGTGGGGCTACATTCTTTAGGGATGCCTGGTAAGCAGATTCATGGTTTTTACTCTTTTTTTTTTTTCTTTTTTTTTTTGAGACAGAGTCTCACTCTTTCACCCAGGCTGGAGTGCAATGGCATGGTCTCGGCTCACTGCAACCTCCGCCTCCCAGGTTCAAATGATTCTCCTGCCTCAGCGTCCTGAGTAGCTGGAACTACAGGCGCATGCCACCACGCCTGGCTAATTTTTGTATTTTTAGTAGAGATGGGGTTTCACTGTGTTGGCCAGGCTGGTTTCAAACTCCTGACCTTATGATCTGCCTGCCTCGGCACCCCAAAGTGCTGGGATTACAGGCGTGAGCCACTACGCCTGGCTGGTTTTTACTCTTGTGGCTCATAGCTGGTAAAGTAGAAGCCAAAAAGATTCCTTCCTAATGCAGGGAAGTTAACTGGTCCAGGGTACAAAGGAACAAGGGAAAGCTAGACAGGAGGTAAAGGGTAGAAGTCCCCATTGGGAACAAGGGTTTCTCCTTGTTCCTGTGAAGTGGGGTGCACAGTAAACATGTGAGGGACATTTATTTTCACAAATGAAGCTGGCTAGAAAGGTGAGTTGTCTCCAGAATCTACCATATTGATATAGTTAGTGCCAGTGGCTGCTTTTTGTAATATTTGCTGACTCCCAACAGCAAGTGTTCACAACAGTCTTTTACGGTTTCCGTTGGACTGGTAACATAAAGGAATGACATGGAAATATCCGCAGTCACTCCTGCTCATTAGAGTGAAGTTTCACCCAGACAAATAGCTCTGAGATTGTGACAGTTCTATAACAGCATTTACAATTATCCAAAACATTGCCCATCATGCTGAACTGCAGAGGGGTAGTGAAAAGACAGAATTTAGTAACTCAAGCTTAGATTTGGCCATGAAGTAGTATTATAGAGAAAAACAATCCTAAAATTCATAGGGAGCCAGAAAAGAGCCTGAATAGCCAAAGCAATCCTAAGCAAAAACAACAACAACAAAACAAAACACAAAGCTGGAAACATCACATCACATTACCTGACTTCGAATTATACTACAAGGATGTAGTAACCAAAACTTGCAAAACGTGAGGACTTTGGAATATGATATTTCAAATTTGGTAAACAAAACCCCTAAGAACATTTGTTCTATACCAAGTACTGTTCCAAGCACTTCTCACATATTAATCACCAGCAGCATTGCTATGATACACTGTCATTTTTACAGATGAGGAAACTGAGGCTAAAAGAGATGAAGTATTTTACCCAAAACCACAGCTAGTACTTGACAGAGTGGGAGTTGGACCTCAGGCAGTCCTGCTCTTTTCCAACAGAACCACCATGGGGTGTGATCTGATTCTTTGTTGGTAGAAAAACAGGCTAAAATCTAATCTCAGGCTTTACCTTCAGAGAACAAAAATAGGCCGGGCGCGGTAGATCATGCCTGTAATCCCAGCACTTTGGGAGGCCGAGGCAGGCCGATCACCTGAAGTCGGGAGTTCGAGACCAGCCTGACCAACATGGAGAAACCCTATCTCTGCTAAAAATATAAAATTAGCCAGGCATGGTGACGCATGCCTGTAATCCCAGCTACTCAGGAGGCTGAGGCAGGAGAATCACTTGAACCCGGGAGGCAGAGTTTGCAGTGTGCTGAGCTCAACAAGAGCAAAACTCCATCACAAAAACAAAAACAAAAATAGTGTGTTCAGCTCAGAAGACTGCTACTGGGGAGGGGGCTACTATGCTCTTATATCCTTGTCGCAGATCCTTTCCCCTAGAAAGAGGGCCCTGTAGAAGAATTATATTCCCAAACAATGAATTGTGTAGTGGTAATTACACTGTTGCCATCCCTTTGGGAAGAAGGCTGGGGCGGTGATTACATTCCAAAACAGAGCTGTTTGGGTGTAATTGCACCGTGCTGCTCTTATCAGTCTGGGGACGGCAGGCCTCTGGTCTCCATCCTCATTTGTTTTTGAGATGGAATCTGAACAGCATTCAATTAATAGTCAAGACCCAGGCACAGGGAAGTCAGCCAAAAGAGCCAAGAGGACATTAAGTTGCTATTGGCATTTTCCTTCTACTGAAGTTTTCCAGACCTTTAAGTATCAGCAAATTTGAGGGGGAGCCTAGTTGAGAAAATTTATTTGGCTAGTGAAGGGTTAGAGATCCCTCTTTAAGAGGCTGTGCCCCAAACCCCTCATTGGTCTCTATACGTAAAGGAGAGATAGTTGGATGGCAGTGAAATTTTCCTCTTCTATCAGCAGCTTTAGCTCTGTCAAAAGGTAGTCCTTCCTTGAAATCATTCCCTGGGACTTGCAGTATGTATATATTTTTTTCATGTATGTAGCTTCCAAAGTTGTAGAGCAAAGAGCCTCTCTCTGGTTGTTTTGAGATAATAAGGCTGACTTTGGTTAAACTTCAGCAATAATCTCTAGATCTGGACTAGAAGAAAAAATAAAATGAATTATTTTGTTTTATGACTCAGAGAACAAAAAACTGCCAGTTGCTTTTAAGGTACACATGTTGATCTAGAGCAAAGAAGGAAAAGACGCATGTATTGGGATGAGGGTTGCACAACCCTGGGAAGTGGTATAGCTTTGGCCATTATGTCATTTAGCTTTTGCTGCTGAACAAACCACCCCCAAATTTAGTGGCATAAGACATTTCTTGTTTCTCACAATTCTGCGAGTCCAATTGCAGTTTGCCTGGTCTGCATCATTGGCTCTTCTCTGTGGTCAATTAATAGCTTGGCTGGATGTGGATGATCTTAGATGGTTTAGTAGGTAAAATAATGATCTGCCTAAGAGGTCCTTCCACATCTTAATCCCCAGAACCTGTGAATATGTTACTTTACATGGCAGAAAGGACTTTGCAGTTATGATTAAGATTATAGATCTTGAGGTGGGAAGATTATCCTGATTTATCTGGGTGGGCCTCATCTGATTACATGAGCTATTAAAAGTGGAAGAGGAAGGCAGAAGGGTCAGTCAAGGTGCTGCAATGATCAAAGATGGGAATGGCCTCTGCTAACAGCTAGCAGCGAGTGGGAACCTCAGTTCTGCATCTGCAAGGAACTGAATTCTGCCAGCAACCGAAATGGACAAGGAGACAGACCCGAACACAGGCCAGCCAACACCTTTCTTCTAGCCCAATGAGTCCTTTGTTTGACTTCAGGCCTATAGAACTGAGAGATAATAAATTTGTCTTGTTTAAGCCACTAAGTTTCTGCTTGTTGTTATGGCAGTTATAGAAAACTGATAACAGATAGTTTCACACATGTATCTGGCATTTGGCAGGCTATTTGGCTTCAGCTGGGATGACTTGTCTCCTTTCTATTCACCAGTAAACTAACCTGTGCTTCTTCACATAGTGTCTCAGGGTTGTGTGTGTGACGGAATCTCGCTCTGTCGCCCAGGCTGGAGTGCCGTGGTGTAGTCTCAGCTCACTGCAACCTCCGCCTCCTGGGTTCAAGTGATTCTCCTGCCTCAGCCTCCCTAGTAGCTGGGATTACAGGCGCCTGCCACTACACCTGGCTAATTTTTGTATTTTTAGTAGAGACAGGGTTTCACCATGTTGGCCAGGCTGGTCTCAAACTCCTGACCTCAGAGTTCTGAAAAGAAGCAGGAGAGGTCAAGTCCTACTGCATAAGCACTTTTTGAATCTCTCCTTATGTCATGTTTGCTTTTGTCCATTCCATCAGCTAAAGCAAGCTGTTTGGGTAAGCCCCAAACCAGGAAGAAGACTCTCTAAGGCCATGGATACAGAAGGGCCTAAATCATTTGGGGCCATTACTGTAACATGCTGCCACAACTAAGTAGGCTTTGAAATCTGAGGTAGCCTGCTAGCACACTCTGAACACATTGCTTTTTTTTTCTTTTCTTTCTTTTGAGATAGGGTCTCACTCTGTTGCCCAGGCTGGAATGCAGTGGTTTGATTACAGCTCACTGCAACCTCTGCCTCCTGGGCTCAAGTGATTCCCCGGCCTCAGCCTCCCAGGTAACCGAGACTACTGCACATGCCACCATGCCTGGCTAATTTTGGTATTTTTTGTAGAGACAGGGTTTCACTGTGTTGCCCAGACTGGTCTTAAACTCTTGGGCTCAAGCGATCCTACCACCTTGGCCTCCCAAAGTGTTAGGATTACTGGCGTGAGCCACTGCGTCCAGCACAAATTGCTTTTTTTAAAAGTGTCCTTACATATACTGAGGAAAGCTTCAGCATACCAAAGGATATAAAGGTACAGATTTAGAACTTTCAAGAAATATCTTCGGGCATGGTGGTGCATGCCTGTAATCCCAGCTACTCGGGAGGCTGAGGCAGGAGAATCGCTTGAACCCGGGAGGTGGAGGTTGCAGTGAGCCGAGATTGCGCCATTGCACTCCAGCCTGGGCAACAAGAGCGAAACTCCATCTCCAAAAAAAAAAAAAAAAAAAAAAGAGAAAAAAGAAAAAAACAAGAAATATCTTGCCTTAGGTAATTATTTGGGTTATTCAGAGAAATGAATTTAGGAACAACATTCAAATAAAAAGCTGGACCCTGGTTTCCTAGACATAGGATATCAGGGAAACTACCTTTTCTCTTTCTCTGGGTATTTTCTAGGATATAGCCCTGTATTTCTGTGCTGGAGGGTAAAAAGATGTGCAAAAGAGCTCTGTGGGTGGTTGGGCCCCTTGGGGCCAAATGTATTTCTGTGTAGGAGTAAGACTGACAGAATTAACTGTGCAAGCACTTACTAATTTGCTGTAAGTGAACCTGTACCCGTGGCATCATTTATAATCCAGAGCTCCTTGAACAGAAGCAACTCAGAAGAAAAGTTCCTAAAAACTAAGGCAAGGAATTTTTGTGTGCCCAATTACTGTGGCATATTATGCTTTCTTATAGCAGTGGTTGGGAGAAGCAAGAATTCAGCTATTCTCAAGCATAGGACTTAGCTTTTACTTGGCATTATTGAGATTGGTTAAAAACTATTTTATGGGGACCAAATGTGAATTGCATAGATTGGGCCTCAGGTCACATAGAGACAAATTCAGTATATTCACCAGTCATTCTTTTTTTTTTTCATTCACCAGTAAACTAACCTGTGCTTCTTCACATAGTGTCTCAGGGTTCTTTTCAAAGTAGAGAGTTCTTTTAAAATACAAAAATTAGCTCTGGCTAATTTTTGTATTTTTAGTAGAGATGGGGTTTCGCCATGTTGACCAGGCTGGTCTCGAACTCCTGACCTCAAGCGATCTGCCCGTCTCAGCCTCCCAAAGTGCTGGGATTACAGGCGTGAGCCACTATGCCTGGCCTCACCAATCAATCTTTTAGGACTTCCTTGATGTACTTTTAGAACCACCTCAGTCGCTGATGGGCTGGGGGCTCTGCTGTTGATAAACCCTGGATATTATCCTAGGCATGTGCATTCAAAATGGTATAGCCTATGTACAATAAAGACGTGTCCTCAAAGAGGCTGGGCACAGTGGCTCAAGCCTGTAATCCCAGCACAGTAGGCCAAGGTGGGAGGATTGCTTGCACCCAGGAAAGCCCAGCCTGGGCAACATAGTGAGAGCTCATCTCTACAAAAAGTTTTTTTTTTTTTTTTTCCAGAAATTAGCTGAGCTTGGTAGCATGTGCATGTAGTTCCACAGTTCCAGCTACTCAGGAGGCTGAGGTGGGAGGATCATTAGAGCCTGGGAGGCAGAGGCTGCATTGAGCAGAGATCACATCACTGCACTCCAGTCTGAGTGACAGAGCAAGATCCTGTCTCAAAAAAAAAAAAAAGAAGTATCTTTAAAGAGACAAAGACTCTCCCTAATGAAAACTCGGCCTTATCCTTTTTTGTCTGATAAGAGTTAGAGGTTGTGGTGATGAGATTGAGCTAGTGTCCTTCTATTCTGCCTTTACTTTTACTCCTGGGTCCCTTTCCCCTCCCACCCTTCCACCTTTCTCCCTTTATCTGTTGTGGGTCTCAGTATTTAAGCAGATTTTTTTTTTTTTTTTTTGAGACAGTCTTGCCCAGGCTGGAGTGCAGTGGCGCAATCTCGGCTCACTGCAACCTCTGTCTCCCAGGTTCAAGTGATTCTCATGCCTCAGCCTACCTAGTAGCTGGGGGGTTACAGGCGTGCGCCACCATGCCCAACTAATTTTTTTGTATTTTTAGTAGAGACAAGGTTTTACCATCTTGACCAGGCTGGTTTCGAACTCCTGGCTGATCCACCCACCTTGGCCTCCCAAAGTGCTGGAATTACAGGCGTGAGGCACCACACCCAGCCTTAAGCAGAATTTGAACTTGATTTTCTTTAAGGCAGAACTAATAGAGCTAACACAGGAGCTAACTGAGAGCTTATAAAAGCCACAAAGTGTTTCTTGGTCTAAATATTTTTCTGGATTCTGCTGATGTGAAGCAACTGGGGAAAAGTGGTAAAATGTTGTATAGCTTATTTTGCAAACTAATTAAAACTGAAAATATCAGTGCAAAGCTGGAGTAAATTGTTTAAAATGCCCAGTTTCTTCACTCCCATGTTCTAGGTGGAGAGGCCACAGGGACAGTTTAGGAGCACATGCTGTGAATAAGTTTCTGGCTATTCTAATCTATGTCTTACCTGGGAAGAATGTGAAGGTCCTATGGGATAGAAGCAGTACCAGCACCACGGGTTGGCTTGGGACTCTTTACGTATCTCCCCACCACTATTATCTAACCACAAGCCACCCCTAAAAATACACCATCTAAGTGAAAAACAGTGTGCTTGCTCTGCCGGCAGCTTCAAGACAAGTCACCTAACTTGTGCACACCCTACTCGTTCACCTGCCAACCCTGAGACTCATTTATAGAATTTCTTGAGCTGCCACTGGATGGAACTAACAGAGAAATTGGCCATGGGATTTGGAGGTAATAGTGCTGAAGGAAACACTGACTGGCTGATTTCCCCTCTCAACTTCATGGACACTTTTTCCTCTTCTCTGTTATTATTTCTGGGTACTGTGTGTTGGAGGTTTGGTTTGTGTGGACTCATCAGTCATTGTTTTCAGGCACTGAGTGCAGCTCTCCACCTTTTCCTTTGTGATATTAGTGTCTCCCCTATATGGAAGAGTGACCATTTTCTGAAAGGCTAATGCAGCTATGGAGGGGAACAGTGTTCTTTTCCGACACCTGGAGAATAGCTGTTAGGGTTTAGAATTCCTGAAAAAAATCATTTTAGTCTTGATATTTTAGTATATCCTTTATTTGAAGCTGCCTGCTTTCTTTGCCTTCTTTCTTGTGAATGCCACAGTTTCCTGTTCCACCTTTCTCCGAATCTGAGACCTTACAGTAAAAAAGAAGTATGCGACAAGAAATTACGGGATTCTCGTATCCAGAGCAAAGTGATGATGGTTGCAAGTTGACTATTTGACATTTTACAGTTTTATATGACTCATAACTTTTGTGTGGGGAGCATAACTGAAACAAATTATCAAACTGGGAATGGCCTCAGGGGCTCTGTCTCTGAAGGAAAGGGTTGGAATTTTGAGTCCTTGGGCCTTCTGAATTTGACAAATTGAATTATCCTAGGATTCCTCTGTCTCTCATTTTCATTTTTCATTGGATAGTCTGTGATGGGAGGGGATTTTTGTATACAGAGAAATAGACTCAATCAAAGAATACAGCAAACTAATACATGTGGAATTAAGGTCCAGTCTACCCCCTCAAAGAAATGTATGCTTGTCTGTTCCTTTTCCAACCTGGAACCTGGACATTAAACTGTTGAATATTTTGTCTATCTTCCCTTTTGGCTTTGATGTTCTTAAACGTTGAACGTTAGCAAATGTCATGGAGACACACCCATAACTACTTTCTTGTAAGGAAACCAAGGACTTGAATTCTTCTCTTATTCATAATTAATACTTTGCATTCCAAGTTATAGGTAGCACTGGGCGCTGGAGGCTGCCTGCCAGATAGGCTGACTAGGGTTTGAAGTTAGTTGGGTTGCTATTCTACTTTGCAGAAGAACCTAAAATACTTTAATTTTTTTTCTATTGATAAGACTGTTTTTCAGTTTAAGATATATTCAATTCACCTCACTCATTTTCTCCTCTCATCTCCTCTCCAAGTACTCAGGTTGATCCTATGGGAACATAATGTCATCCTCCTCATGTTATACATATATGCGGACTTTGTCAGGCTGAGCCTTAAAATGTCCATTTCTCAAGCGCACACTGTGTTCTTTCTCTTTCGACTATCTTGCTTTTTGTTTTTTTTCACTGTTCTGGCTCTGATATGGGTTAGCTGCCCTCAGTGAACCAGTACTGTATTTCTTTCCTTGAACTTAACTTTACCTGCTAGCCATAGGGAAAATCCAGAATGAGTACTAATCCTTTCTGGATTTCCCCCTCTGTCCAACAGACAGTATAGTATAGATGCTTAAGAACAAGGGTAGAGGCCAGGTGCCGTGGCTTACGCTTGTAATCCCAGCACTTTGGGAGGCCGAGGTGGGTGGATCACCTGAGGTCTGGAGTTCAAGACCAGCCTGGCCAACATTGTGAAACCCCGACTCTACTAAAAATACGAAGTCAGCCAGGCGTGGTGTCACGTGCCTGTAGTCCCAGCTACTCGGGAGGCTGAGGCAGGAGAATCGCTTGAACCTGGGAGGTGGAGGTTGCAGTGAGCCGAGATTGTACCACTGCACTCCAGCCTGGGCGACAGAGCAAGACTCTGTCTCAAAAAATAGAACAAGGTTAGAAATTGGGCCTCTGTTTATGTTGAGAAGTATATGAATAGACCTGTTCGTATTGATCATATACCTGATAATAATTAATTTATTTATTCCCTTATTCATTTGAAAGTATTTTCCTCCGGTGGTTCTAATATTTACTAACTTAATAATGAAATTAATCAACCAGGAAAAATATCAAACTGACTGATTTTACCACCACATTTATTGCTACTCTTTTTTTTTTTTCTTCCTAAATCAGGGCAGCACCCTGAACCAGTAAAAGTTCAGGGATCTCCTCATTGCTATTCTAAGGAGTAATATAGTCCTATTTTCAAGTTTGTGTGTATTCATTGGAATATACTTCTTGAGTGCTACTATGTGCTAGGTAGGTCCTACACTAAGTGTTGGGAATTTTTAACAGGAAAAATTAAGTTACCTTCTTTAAGAATCCTTAAAGGATCCTGTCCGGGTGCGGTGGCTCACGCCTGTAATCCCAGCACTTTGGGAAGCTGAGGCGGGCCGATCACAAGGTCAGGAGATCGAGACCATCGTGGCTAACACGGTGAAACACCGTCTCCACTAAAAATACAAAAAGTTAGCCGGGCGTGGTGGTGGGTGTCCGTAGTGCCAGCTACTTGGGAGGCTGAGGCAGGAGAATGGTGTGAACCCGCGAGGCGGAGCTTGCAGTGAGCTGAGATCACACCACTGCACTCAGCCTGGGCGACAGTGCGAGACTCCGTCTCAAAAACAAACAAACAAAAAAAGAATCCTTAAAGGATCCATTATTTTTCTGCCTTTTCAATACTTATTATTGCTATTCTACCTCCAGAAATCCTGGATTTTTTCTGATTCTTTATCACTGATCATTATATCACTCTGTGACAGTTTCCCCCACAAGTAACAGGAAGAATTAACTTTGTTTTATGTTAGGGCTTTATCCAAAGATGTCAATACAATACTCATCCTATCAGAGAAATGTGTTACAAAAATGCAAGTTATCACCCTCTCTACTTTTCTCTGTGTCACTTAAACACACCTAAAGTTCCTGGCACTCAAACCAGATGTACACAGGCTTCTTTTCCTCAGAAAGCTTTTTTGGGGTATTGCAGTGTCTTTCCAGCTTTAGCTTCCTTTGATGAGGTCAGTTGTCTCTTCCTGGCTATCACAGAGGCTGTCATGCTGACATGATACAGGAGGATGTAGTCTTTAATGAGTGCCTTTGGCACTACTTGTCAATTGCTTATTTTCCAGTGACGTTGCATTAAAGTATTAATTAACCACTAAATTCAAGTTGACCTCTTAATTGAGGAGGCTTTGCTTTCCTGAAGGCAGGCAGACTGACTTTCCTAACATGATCTAGCACTCTTGTATGCCAATAAGTTTTGATCAGTGTGTAAAATATACCTTTACTAAAACTGTTACTGTAATATCAGGTTGATTTGAGGTTGAGGAAGTCACACTGTGTTCTAGAGTGGGATTTATAAGTTGGTATGAGCAAGAGGTAAGGGACTGGTACCAAAGAGCAAGCCTGTGTTTCCTGGAGCATGTGTGGAGTTTGCCTGGTGAGCAGGTGACAGGGCAGGGAGAACAGCTCTGCTCAGTGACTCAGTGACATAGTTCCGAAGGCCACCAGATAAGGACTAGGAGACATTGTCTTACTGTAAGTGATTTGTGTTTTTATTATTGCTGACTTTACTGTTCTCTGAGTCTTTTGATTCCTTCAAATTGCTAAGAAATCTAGTATTCAAATGTATGTTGTGAACACAAAAAGATTGAGAACTACTGATCTTGTGTTTTAGAAAATAAACTAGAAGTTGACAGGTTGTTCTCCTGACTCCTTCAGTAATTCTCTATACAATTTGAGTGAGTCATTTAACCTCTGTCCACTTGACAGGTGAGGGTGTGGTACTTACCGCTATGTTCCTTCCAGAATTTAAGTAGGAAAAATTGGTAAAGTGCTCTAACTTCATTTGAAAAAGATATTATCTGTAGTCCAAAGGAAGAAAATTAAATATATGTCCTAGCACCCAGGTTATTTGCGGTAGCTGAACTACTTGAGACAAGCTGGGACTGCCAACTTTAGATGTTCCAGTGACAAGAACACCTCAATGCTAAGAGACAGGCTCAGGTGGCTGAAAAGGATCCATCTCAGTTTAATAAAAGGAGTTGCCAAAGAACATCTGAGTTGTGCTAGGCACCCTTGGGACATAAAATAAATACTTCTTGTTGAACTAAATAGAAGCGGTCACAGCAGCAGTAAGGAGGAGGTAAGACTTGTCCAGGATTTGCACAGAATCTTTTCATAGGCTGAATGTTGCTCCACAATGTGTCCTTTGACTATCTCTGGCTAATTATTATTTTAATCTCTTCTCAGCTTTTCCAAGAACATAACGTTAACCAAAGATCTTAGGCCATTCACAACTCTTTTGTAAAAATTAATGTGGATGTGAAACGAGGCAACAAATCCTGAAGTAGAAAGTTATTCCTGGCCAGGCACGGTGGCTCACGCCTGTAATCCTGGCACTTTGGGAGGCCGAGGTGGGTGGATCATGAGGACAGGAGATCGAGACCATCCTGGCCAACATGATGAAACCCCATCTCTACTAAAATACAAAAAATTAGCTGGGCATGGTGACGCGTGCCTGTAGTCCCAGTTACTCAGGAGGCTGAGGCAGGGGAATTGCTTGAACCTCGGAGGTGGAGGTTGCAGTGTGCCGAGATCACGCTACTGCACTCCAGCCTGGCAACAGAGCAAGACTCCATCTAAAAAAAAAACAAAACAAAACAGAAAGAAAGTTATTTCTTAACCCTTTTGGGGGAAATGCCAAAATACTCTTAAAGGAATATTACTCTGTTGCCCAGGCTGGAGTGCAGTGGGGCGATCTCGGCTCACTGCAACCTCCATCTCCCAGGTTTACCCCATTCTCCTGCTTCAGCCTCTCGAGTAGCTGGGACTGCAGGCGCCCGCCACCATGCCCAGCTAATTTTTTGTATTTTTAGTAGAGATGGGGTTTCACCGTGTTAGCTAGGGTGGTCTCGATCTCCTGACCTTGTGATCCTCCTGCCTCGGCCTCCCAAAGTGCTGGGATTACAGGTATGAGCCACCGTGCCCAGACGAATTTTTATATTTTTTAGCAGAGGTGGGGTTTTGCCATGTTGGCCAGGCTGGTCTTAAACTCCTGATTTCAAGTGATCCGCCCGCCCGAGCCTCCCAAAGTGCTGGGATTACAGGCATGAGCCACTGCATCTGGCGTGAATTCAAATTTCGTCTAAACTCTTGGTAACCTGGAGACCATGGGCAAATGGTTTATCTTGATCTGAGCCTCAATTTCCTCCTCATCTATTAGATAGGGATTCAGTAAATTCTTTCAGCAACTACCCTATCAGAAATCGCCATGCAACATTTTCCATGCCTCTTCCCTGTTTTATATTTCTCCATGGATCTTACCATAATTTAACATACTATATGGTGAACTTATTAGTTCTTTCTCCTCCTCCCTCTAGAATGTAATTTCCATGAAGGTGGGAATTTTTGTCTGTTTTATTCATTGTCTGGCATGTAGTAGATACTCAAATATTTGTCTGATGAGTAAACAAACTTCCTTTAGGGTGGTTGTGAAGATAGAATGGGAGCTTTTTATTTTATTTTTTTGAGACAGTCTCACCTTGTCACCCAGGCTGGAGTATGGTGGTGCAGACATGGCTCACTGCAAGCACCCAACTCCTGGGCTCAAGCAATCCTCTCACTTTAGCCTTCTGAGTAGCTAGGACCGCAGGCCCATGGTGCCACACCTGGCTAATTTTTTTTTTTTTTTTTTTTTTTTGAGACGGAGTCTCACTCTGTCGCCCAGGCTGGAGTGCAGTGGCGCCATCTCGGCTCACTGCAAGCTCTGCCTCCCGGGTTCACGCCATTCTCCTGCCTCAGCCTCCTCAGTAGCTGGGACTACAGGCACCCACCACCACGCCCGGCTAATTTTTTGTATTTTTAGTAGAGATAGGGTTTCACCGTGTTAGCCAGGATTGGTCTCGATCTCCTGACCTCGTGATCCGCCCGTCTCGGACTCCCAAAGTGCTGGGATTATAGGCGTGAGCCACCGCGCCCGGCCAACCTGGCTGATTTTTTAAAAAATTTTTTGTAGATATGGGGTCTCCCTATGTTGCTCAGGCTGGTCTTGAACTCCTGGCTCAAGTGATCCTCCCAGCTTGGCCTCCAAAGTGCTCGGGTTATAGGCATGAGCCATGGTGTCCAGTCTTGAATGAAAGCTTTTAGAGCACTTATTTTGGCACTTGGCATGTTTTCTTTAGCTCTAAGGAAGATAATACAAGTCTTATTTATATAACTGATTAATGTATAAAGTATCTTGCTACACAATGCTTAGTTATATCAGAATGCAAGTATGGATATTAGATTATTGTAAATTTTTAAAATGAAATAGGCTGGGCACAGTGGCTCATTCCTGTAATGCCAGCACTTGGGGAAGCCAAGTTAGGAGGATTGCCCGAGGCCAGGAGTTCGAGACCAGTCTGGGCAACATAGTGAGACCATATCTCTACCAAAAAAAAAAAAAAAAAAAGTTTAAGTTAGCTGGGCATGGTAGTTTGGGCCTGTAATCCTAGCTACTCAGAAGGTTGAGACAGGAGGATTGCTTGAGCCCAGGAGTTCGAGGCTGCAGTGAGCAATGATCGTACCACTGCACTCCACCCTGGGGCAACAGAGTGAGATCCTATCTCTAAAAAAAGAGAAAAAGAAAGAAATATATGTTGCTAAGTCTTATTCTTAGATTCATTTTACTCTGAAGATAACATATTTAAATTGTGCCTAGTTTATAGTATTTTCATTGTACATATTTTCATATAATGTACATATTTTCATACAGTTTTCATATATATTACACATATAATAGGTGTACATATTTTCTGTCTCCTTCAAGATTGTCAGTTCTCTCAAGTTAGGAACCATACCTTTTTTTCATAGTTGCTGTCCCCAATGTTTCTTTTACAGTCTGTTGTAATCTAAGGATTCTATTTCTTTTTTTTAACTCCTTACTATCATTCCCAAGGTACTCTGTTTCTAAAACATTCAGAGAAATAAAAAATTCTGTTATAAAAACAATGATTTCATTTTGGAGGAAGGGAAGATTAGGAGCTGGAGAGTTCAGCATAAAACACATTTTACCATATTCAATGAAAATACGTTAGATATAGATATAACTGTAAAGCCTAAACTAACTAAATCTAATATTTTATTACATCTTCTTTTTCTTTTTTTGAGGTGGAGTTTCCCTGTTGTCACGCAGGCTGGAGTTCAGTGGCGTGATTTCGGCTCACTGCAACCTCCGCCTCCCAGGTTCAAGTGATTCTCCTGCCTCAGCCTCTTGAGGAGCTGGGATTACAGGCATAGACCACCACACCCAGCTAATTTTGTATGTTTAGTAGAGACGGGGTTTTGCCATGTTGGTCAGGCTGGTCTCGAATTCCTGACTTCAGGTGATCCACCTGCCTTGGCCTCCTGAAGTGCTGGGATTACAGGCTTGAGCCACTGTGTCTGGCCTTCCTCCTTTTCTTTCTCTCTTTTTCTTTTTTCTTTTTTTTTTTTTTGAGACGGAGCCTCACTCTGTTGCCGCCCAGGCTGGAGTGCAGTGGTGTGATCTCGGCTCACTGCAAGCTCCGCCTCCCAGGTTCACGCCATTCTCCTGCCTCAGCCTCCTGAGTAACGGGGACTACAGGCGCCCGCCACCACACCCGGCTATTTTTTTTTTTGTATTTTTTTGTATTTTTAGTAGAGACGGGGTTTCACGGTGTTAGCTAGGATGGTCTCGATCTCCTGACCTTGTGATGCACCCACCTCAGCCTCCCAAAGTGCTGGGATTACAGGCGTGAGTCACTGCGCCTGGCCCTGGCCTTCCTTTTCTTTAAGAGTGATGCTTGTGCTACTAGGAGGCTGAGGTGGGAGGATTCCATAAGCCCAGGAGTTCAGAGTTACATTGAGCCAAGGGTAATGCTTGGGCCTCCTTCCTCTTCTTTTTTCTTTTTTTTCAAGAGATGAGGTCTCACTATATTGCCCAGGCTGTTCTCAAACTCCTGGACTCAAGCCATCCTCCTGCCTTGGCACCTCCTAAGGTGCTTGGGACTACCAGTGTGAGCCACCATGCTGCCCGCCACCCCTCCCCACTTTTTTTTGTATTAGTGATTGGTCCCACCACGCACTGCTTGCTGCATATTCTTTATCATCTATTGTTCTTATAATTCACAGAACCACTCAAAGAAGGCAGCTGTTGTTTGGCCATTTCTTCATTCAACAAATGTGTGAGGGTTTCCAATATACCTGTCACCATCCTATGCCCTGGAAGAATAGCAACCATGTTTTCCTAAGTAAACTGAAGATTCCAGGATCTCTTCTCACTATTCTAGCCCTGATTGAGGCCATTATGCTTTCGTAGCAGTTTCCTGCCTGGTTGTTCCCTGCTTATAATCTTCCCATGCCAGAAATACTTGCCAGTATGTGGCCCTAGACTTCTGGTAAACATGAAAGAATGAACATGTGTGTTTATCTCCACTCTCTCCCAGATCTCTTCTAAATTAACAGTAAAAGGGCCAGGTGCAGTGGCTCACACCTATAATCCCAGCACTTTGGGAGGATCACGTGAGGTCAGGAGTTTGAGACCAGCCTAGCTGACATGGTGAAATCCCATCTCTACTAAAACTACAAAAATTAGCCGGGTATGGTGGTGTGCTACTCGGGATGCTGAGGCAGGAGAATCGCTTGAACCCAGGAGGCAGAGGTTGCAGTGAGCTGAGATCGTGCCAGTGCACTCTAGCCTGGGCAACAGAGTGAGACTCCATCCCAAAAAAAAAAAAAAAAAGAGTAACATAGAGTAACAGTAAAGGAATTAGACAAAAGTATATATTCATTGTAAAAAGAGAATGGGAAAAAGCGAGTGATGATTAGTAAGTGATGACAAGAACATTTCTCTTCTAGAAGAAACAAAATTGCATGTGAAAGGAAATACGAATTTATTATACTATTCCTGTATTTGTGAATATTTATATAGTTATAATACTGTAAATAATTTACATTAACCCAAACATGGGATGTAACTATTTTGGAAGGATGGGGGAGAAAAGAAGGTAGGAACAAATCATCTCCCATCATAGGAAATCAGTAGATAATAGCGGAAATTGAAAAATCAGTTATAGGCCTAGTGCAGTGGCTCACACCTGTAATCCCAGTACTTTGGGAGGCTGAGGTGGGCAGATCCCTTGAGATCAGGAGTTTGAGACCAGCCTTGCCAACACGGTGAAACCCCTTCTCTACTAAAAATACAAAAATTAGCCAGGTGTGGTGGCGTGCACCTTAGTCCCAGCTATTCAGGAGGCTGAGACAGGAGAATCGCCTGGATCCGGGAGGTGAAGGTTTCAGTGAGCCAAGATCGTGCCACTGCACTCCAGCCTGGCAACAGAGCGAGACTCCATCTCAAAAAAAAAAAAAAGAAAAAAGAAAAGAAAAAAAGAAACATTAGTAATTTTAGAAATATGATGGTTAATTATCAGAAGAAAAAAAAGGTTTGAAAAGTGATTGCCTCTGGAGAACAGAAATCAAGGAGGGTGGGTCATGGGGCTGGAGGCTGCCATTTAACTTTATTAGCCTTGAATACTTTCTAACTTTAAAAATTATGGGTAGGTAGTACTTTGATAAAAATAAAAATTTGAAAGCTATCCACTGTGTAATTTACTTACTCAAAAATGTCAAAAGATTTCTCTTTCCTGCCACACAGATGACAAGTTCCTTATCTTTTTTCAACCTGATCTCTATTATTATTTATATAAGCCTTTGCTTCCCACTGAACTGGTATTAGCTCTTGACCCCTGAATCCACTTTGAGCAGTAACCTCTTTCTATCCTGAACCATTCTCCTTTCCACATGCTTCAAGCCCTAGTTCCTCTGTACTCTGTAAATTTCCTGCTCCTTCTCAGGTAGCCATTGGTGCCCAGTGGCCCCTTCCTAAATGGCTGTGGCTGTGGTTGGTCTCCTCGTTAGATACTCACATTGCCCTTTTTTTTTTTTTTAGACAGAGTCTTGCTCTGTTGCCCAGGCTAGAGTGCAGTGGCACGATCTCGGCTCACTGCAACCTCCGCCTCCTGGGTTCAAGTGATTCTCCTGCCTTAGCCTCCCAAGTAGCTGGGACTACAGGCGTGTGCCAGCACGCCTGGCCTCATTTATAATGCTTTTGATGGAAGTCCTATCTTCCCAACTGGATTGTAGGCTCCAAACAAGCAAGAAGTACATCTTACTACCATTTTATGTACATCTTCCACAGTGCTATTTGATAAATACCTGTTTAATATTCAGTTCTCACTCAGCCATCAAAAAGCTTTCTGTTTTGAGATCACTATTCTTTATTCTAGGCATGTCTCAAGACTCTGTACTTTAGTCTAGATCCCAAATCTGTGTATCTTTGTCAGCCTTAGTGAGGTTGAAGGCCAAGGCTTTATCTGTTTGCTGCTGATACTGTCGCTGGTTGGCACAGCATGCTAGTTGTTTTTTATAGAATATAGCATGGACAGTTGCACAATTTCTGTGAATGTTTAAGCAAGATTGTATGTATACATTTCAGAAGTTCTGTGTTACTTATGAGAAGTGCTAATTTATCATGAGCATCACTATTTTGGGGATGGATGAACCTTTTTCCTTTCTACCTCCTTACACTGATGATCCCTTACACTGCAAAGAGCCAGGAAAAACCAAAAGTAAATAAAGCCCTATGCAGTCTCCACTTTTTCTCTTTGCACTCTCTAACCACCTGGCTTTGCATGTTCCCTAGAGAGGCTTCCTCTGTGATATATCTTAGCCTGTTGAGCCCCAAAGTTACCTGAAATATTTAGGTCACTAGTTTTTAATCTTTAGAGAACAGTGAACTCTCTGAGAAAATATGGTAAAAACTTAGACCCTACACTAAGAAAAAAACACCTACACATAACTGTAGTAACGTGTGCCCAGGATTTTGTTTTTATTCCAATATGGTAAGGACAAAAGATGAAGAGATGATTGCCGTTGAAAGGATAGTTTGTTCCTTACAGTTCCCAAGAGATGAGCGTGTGCCATGCCACACAACACAAGGCCACATGGGGAAGTACCAGGGAGTCAGGAGGCAGAAGGAGGGCAGGGAGGAGCATGAGCCTTTATTGGGGTTTCTAGGGGAAGGGATGGGTGAGGCTAAGTAAGTTTAGGATTGGATCGGTTTGAATAATTTTGGCAGGGTCTGGGCTGTAGGTGTGGGCACTAGTTGTCCATACTTGGCCCTGGGGTGATTTAGGGCTGGGGAATATTGTCTTGGTGTTTATTTTTTTTTATTTTTTATTTTTATTTTTTGAGAGGGAATCTCACTGTGTCGCCAGGCTGGAGTGCGGTGGCGCGATCGCAGCTCACTGCAACCTCCACCTCCCGGTTCAAGTGATTCTCCTGCCTCAGACTCCTGAGTAGCTGGGATTACAGGCACCCACCACCATGCCTGGCTAATTTTTGTATTTTTAGTAGAGACGGGGTTTCACCCTGTTGGCCAGGATGGTCTCAAACTCTTGACCTCGTGATCCGACTGCCTTGGCCTCGCAAAGTGCTTGGATTACAGGTGTGAGCCACTGCGCCCGGCCTTGTCTCGGTGTTTAATAAAGGAGGTAGTTAGGGTATGGACTCTGGATTGGTTGGTTTGCATATCAAAGGCAAGTTGTTTGCAATCTCCAGGAAGTAACTAACCCTGGGAGGTACAGTTGCTTATCTGCAAAGCCCCTAAGATGTCAAAGCATCATAAAATATAGAAAATTAAAAATATTAATGTAATAACACACTCATGAACACATGCACAATTTTATTTGCTATTTCAGGGGTTTCTTGAACCACCTGAAGCCTATCTGTAGACCCAAGGTACAAAACCCAAATTGGGTCCTGGGAGCTCTGTGCCTTTGAATACAGTATTTGAGTTTAGTTTAGACCATCTCAGGAAGGTGCATAGTGAATTATTAAATCCAGGGAAATGCAGCAACTGCTCAACTTTTTTGGTAAAGCTTTTCTTTCTACTTTGTTTTGACTTTTATACTAGGAGCTTATTTGTGGGTATTTTGTGCCAAGAGGGATAAGCCTGCATTCTCTAATTGCTGCATCAAGTCTGCTCACAGGGCGTCCTGATGACATTTTAAATACATGGAAATTTTTGAATGCATGAAAACATCTAGTGCTGATTCTCTGGCACCTGCTCTTCTCTTCTTGGAGTTTATCCCATTGCCTAATTCTGTATATTGTTTCCAAACCTTTCATTAACCATTGTTGGAATTTTTGCTTTTTAACCTCAGCATCCCCACTTATCTTTTGAACAGAAACAAAAACTGTCTCTGACTACTAGGCATTTCCTAGAGTGAAAAGCTCCCTATCTCTCCTTTTCTGACTTTTCAGAGCATGAAATGGCTGTGCTAATCCTGTTGGCCCCAAGGCAAGAGCCTTGCAGAGGCTAACAAAGGAGAAGGCCTGCACCCACTTGGATCTTCCACAGGCCAGAGCAGGAATTTTTTTGTTACGTTTTACCAACTTGCAGAGGGAAGCCCGCCCACCCCGGCTTTGTTTTGGCTGCAGTTATATTTCCCCTGCATGAAACCATCAATTTCTTAGGGCCCCGAGTACTGTGCTATGTAGACTTCCAGAAGTTGGGTGCTTTCCTGGAGTTGCAGAAATCAGACAAAAGATTTTTAGGAATTTTGGAAGTGCCATTCTGACGATTGAGTGGGTATCTTCTCAAAGCCAAAGATACTTTGAGTCCTAGTTAACAAATTGAGTTGTAATTCTGTGCTTTTGTGCAAGGTACTCTTTAGTTAAGTGCAAGGATTCGGAGGTACTTAAGTCTCTCAGAGGGATTTAAGGTAGTCCCTACTCTTAAGGAGCTGACAGTCGAATAGTCCAAGTCAGATATATTCAAGTGGCCCTTTGTTTCTTTAATTAATATGGAGTTACTGCATACCTTCTACAGCAGAGCATCTATATATTTTATATAAAGATGAAGAAACTGTGTGTGTTCTTGCTATCAGAGGCACCTACTAATAATGTACTATGGGGATTCAGATTCAGGGAAAGTGTTGAGTGGGAATAGAACAGGTATACTTGGCTTGTAGATTTTGAGTTGGCCCCTGGTGGGCTGAATTTTAAACTCATCCTCAAGTGGAGTGAATAATGGTAGAGCATCCTGCAGAGGGCAGGAAATTGAGCAGAAGAACTGTAACAGAATAAGAGAGAAACAAAGTGCCATGGGGCTTCTGAAGAGGAGATCATAATCAGGTTAGTGAGATTAGAAAAGACTTCTTAGAAAAGGGGATTATTGGCCAGACGTGGTGGCTCACGCCTGTAATCCCAGCACTTTGAAAGGCCAAGGTAGGTGGATCACTTGAGGCCAGGAGTTTGAGACCAGCCTGGCCAATATGGTGAAACCCCGTCTCTACTAAAAATACAAAAATTAGCCAGACATGGTGGTGCACGCCTGTAATCCCAGCTACTTGGGAGTTTTGAAGCAAGGAGAATCGCTTGAACCTGGGAGGCGGAGGTTGCAGTGAGCTGGGATCGCACCACTGCACTTTAGCCTGGGTGACAGAGTGATACCCTGTCTCAAAAAAAAAAGGAGGGGGGTGAATTATTTGAGAAAGTACTTGAATGGGGAGATGAGGGATGAAGGGGATTTTAGTAAACATTGACTAGGGCAGGGAGGAGGGAGTCTAGATAGTGGGGGCAGTATGAGCAGAAGGTTTAAATGTAGGGATGTGTTTAAAACACATGTACAAAGTGATGGGTCTGGAGAGCAGTGGGAGACAAGCCCAGAGGGGTAGATGACAGACAGGTCCAGATCGAGGAGGGCCTTGAAGACCAACGAGTCTACCTCAGTGTAGTCAGTGAGGAGCCACTAAAGCTTTAGAGCAGGTAAGTGACAATCAAAAATCTGCTTTAAAAACAATCTGGCATTGAAGACAGACGTGAGGAGAGTAAAGAGGAAGATAGATGGTTTTGTATGGGACAAGGGCCCGGCGCTTAGTGTTGACTGCAAGATTATTTCCTGGTTTCCCATACCCCAAGGGGCATATAGAGAAGCTTGCAGGTTTTTGTGTATTCTTTATGATGACCAGCAACGGAGTTGGTCTTAAAAAGGTGTGTGCTTACACCGCCGTGCTCACTTGTTTACGCGCATCCCTAACTTGTGATAGCAGGTCCAGGGTTTTCTGGGAGATGCATGCAGCTCTGACAGAAAAGGAAACACCAAAATACATTTTAATCTCGTCAGATATCTCTTGTAAAAGCTAGAAATTTGCCACAGGCCTTTCTCAGACATTTATCTAACCTGACATTAAAATTATGAAGGATGAAGGGGATTTTAGTAAACATTGACTAGGGCAGGGAGGAAGGAGTCTAGATAGTGGGGGGCAGTATGAGACTTAAAATTAAGTCTTTCTTCTTTTCAGGGTAAGACGTTATATGGCATCAAGATGGCATTGAAGAGAAATGCTTGGGCCTGGGCATGTGTTTGCATGCTTCATCTGTGCAGACAGATTGTTCCTAGTTTGAACTCAGGAATTCCATGGCTTTAGAGTCTCTGCCTTTGTGGGGTACAAAGTTTATGTGACCATATGTCACTCAATAGCTGCCTGCAGAATAGTTTCACCAGTGCAGTAGCTCAGGCTTTACATGGTATGAACTTGATTCATCAAGACTCAGGACATGTTTCTGTGGGCATAATCTTTTATGTCAGCAATTCCAAATAAACAGAATGTAGACTTTCTGCCTGCCTCTGGAATTTAGTGGGACTCCACATCCCCAAGTATTTAACTTTAGCCAATTATGACCTCCCCCATACTATGTTGGTCAAGGCTTAAGATTGTGGGAAAGCACATAAATGTTCTTTCCTTTGTATTCCCAGTTGTTTGCTTTCGTTTGCTTCCTTCCTTCCTATTGTGAGAAATTTTAAAAATACTTGCAAACATATGCCCAGAAATTTTAGAGTAGTATCTATACAGGCATATATATGACATGCATTTGTGCTTCCACAACCAAAATTTAATAGTTATTGACATTTTGCCCTATTTGCCTCAACAAATTGAGTTGTTTTGCCCCATTTGTCTCAACAAGTTTATTATATTTTATTTTTCCAGTCAGGGTCTTCCTCTGTCACCCAGGCTGGAGTGCAATAGCAGGATCACAGCTCACTGCAGCCTTGACTTTCCAGGTTCAAGAGATCCTTCCACCTCAGCCTCCTAAATAGCTGGGACTATAGGCGTGTACCATCGTGCTTGGCTAATTTTTTAATTTTTTGTAGCAATAAAGTCTCATTAGATTGCTGAGGCTGGTCTCGAGCTCCTGAGCTCAAGGGGTCCTCCCGCCTCAGCCTCCCAAAGTGCTGGGATTATAAGTGTGCACCACCACTCCTGGCCCTAATTGTTTTTTATTTAATTAATTCATTTATTTATTTTTGAGATGTGGTCTCACTATGTTGCCCAGACAGGCCTTGCATTCCTGGCCTCCAGTGATCTTCCCACCCTGGCCTCTCAAAGTGTTGGGATTACAGATGTGAGCCACCGTGCCTGGCCTCCCAACAGATTTTTGAAAATGAAACATTTCAAATAAAGTTGAAGTTCCTTTGACCCCTTTGATTATCTTTACCACTTCACAGGCATCTGCTCTTATGACTTTGGTTTATATGGTTGTACTTTATCTTTTATAGCTTAATATATTAGTAAAATATTGTTTTGTATTTTAAGAGTTGTGTTTATGCTGGACGCGGTGGCTCACGCCTGTAATGCCAGCACTTTGGGAGGCTGAGGTGGGCGGATCACGAGGTCAGGAGATCAAGACCATCTTGGCTGACACGGTGAAACCCTGTCTCTACTAAAAATACAAAAAAAATTAGCCGGGCATGGTGGCGGGCACCTGTAGTCCCAGCTACTTGGGAGACTGAGGCAGGAGAATGGTGGGAACCCGGGAGGCGGAGCTTGCAGTGAGCCAAGATTGCGCCACTGTGCTCCAGCCTGGGCAACAGAGCGAGACTCCGTCTCAAAAAAAAAAAAAAAGAGTTGTGTTTATATAAATGGGGTCGTATGCATATGGATCATCATATAACTTTTAAAATTCAGTATTATAAGTCCATGTTGATATAGTTTGATTGATTTATTTCTGTTGTTACATAGTATTCTAATAGTCATTCGTATGTCTTGTTGTCTGTTCCCGATTGATGAACATTTAACTTTCTAGATTTTTCACTCTTATAATGTGCCCTGAAATTCTGTACACATGTGGTGTCTTCTCTAAGATGTTTACACAGAGATGAAATTGTTCTGGCTCATCTTCAGTTATATAGCACAGATTTTTTGGCTACTAAAGCTATAACACTCTTACTTCTTAAACATGTGAAAGGCATCTCAGGGTATTATTCTGACCGGCACTCAGTGAAAAGAGGGAACCTGAGGCTCCTGAACTTCATTGGTAAATCCAAGACCAAGGAGTTTTTCTGAAGTCCTTCAACTCTTTAGCTTCATGGAATAAGTAAATGTATATGTCAAATACAATGGAGATTAAATAGTAAAATGTATATATTTTTTACTTCTCTGTGGTATTCCAGGGTGTGTGTGTGTGTGTGTGTGTGTGTGTGTGTGTGTATGTGTATTTTTTTTTTCTTTTTGGGAGGGAGATGGAGTCTTGCTCTGTTGCCCAGGCTGGAGTGCAGTGGTGTGATCTCAGCTCATTGCAACCTCCACCTCCCAGGTCCGAGCAATTCTCCTGCCTCAGCCTCCCAAGTAGCTGGGATTACAGGCACCTGCCACCATGCCCAGCTACTTTTTGTATTTTTAGTAGAGACGGGGTTTCACCATGTTGGCCAGGCTGGTCTCGAACTCCTGACCTCAGGTGATCCACTTGCGTCGGTTTCCCAATCTAGGATATAAATTTTTTATTAAGTTGTTATAAATATAAGTATCAGTGTCTCTGACCCCCTTTTAAAATTTATAAAGTAATATAGTTTCACTGTAAATAATTCAAGTAATACCAAAATATATAAAGTAAAATGTTCAAATTTCTCTTCCCACTCTTCCAACCCCATTCTCCAAAGTTTGATTGGTTTGTAACATGTCTTTCCAAGTTTTTTTCTATGTGTAATAAAAAACATACGTATATTTATACATCTGTATAGTTTTCATCATTTTATTTTGTAGTGGGGATGGAATCATACAGAATATCCAGGATTTCTGTCTGTCCGTGTATCTAGATCTGCTTTATTCTTAGTAGTGGCTGCGTGGTGTTCCATGGTGTAGTTGGACATAATTTGGTCACCTATTTTCTTCCCGATGGATGTTTAAATTTATTTATAATGAAAGACAAACTCTTTTTGCAAAATATAGTTGCTTTGTCCTGTTCCTGGATGTATATGCCATACTAAAAACTCCTTTAAATTATGATTTGGTTCTGTATAATTCAGCCAGTCCCTCTAATACGCATAGGTAGTAAAAGCCGTCTAGGACCTGTTATCTCACTTGCAGAAGGAGCAGTTTCTAAGGCCAATGGTGACATTCCTTGTGTATTTCATGTTTATGGATGGGAATATTCTAATCCCATGGCTGGACAGTATCTAAAATGTGAGGTTCTGGTCATGGTGACTCAAGCTTTTAGTCCCAGCTACTCAGGTGGCTGAAGTGGGAGGATCACTTGAGGCCATGAATTCAAGGCTGTAGTGAGCAATGATCATGCCACAGCACTCCAGCCTGGGCGACAGAGCAAGATCTTGTCTCTTAAAAAATTAAAAACTTAAAAAATATTATATGAAGGAAAAGTTGATCCCTTCTCTCAAGGAGTTCACCATCTCAAGAAGAAGGAAAAATCACACAGTACCAATGGAAAATCGATGGCTCAGTGTACACAGAGGCAAAAACACTTGAATTCGGAGGAAACTTTATGTACTTGTAGTCAGGTAACCTAACAGATGACAAAGTTTTGTGTTATGAAAAACAGCTAATAGTGTGTAGGCAGGGATTTCTCTCTAATTCAGGAAAGCTTCTGGGAGGAGGTGGGGTTTTAAACAGGCTTCAAGACTGAAAAGGCTCATCTGGATGGCTGTGTTCCAGGTGCGTCCTTTTAGCAGCGTCTCAATATATGGCTTGCTAATATTGCTTTTCCACTGTGTTCCTGGTGTTAATGTTTGAACACTGGATTTTAATTAGAAGCTATTTCAAATTAGCTATCTTTTTATGACAAGTGCTGTTCTCCTCAGATTCCACAGCATATGCCTGGTTCTGGGGACTTCTCAAGTTTCAGAGCAGTTTATGCTGTGAAACAGACCCATTCACCATGCTCTCTCTCACTTATTTTTGCTCCTGATTTTCCATTAGTGGGTTCCTGCACTTCAGAACAAGGGTCTGAAATCTTTTTTCCATTTTAGAATCTAAAGGAAAACAGCATGGCTGGGCCAGTAGGGTGGAATGTCTTTTTTTTTTTTTTTTTGCAACGGAGTCTTGCCCTGTCACGCAGGCTGGAGTGCAGTGGCGCAATCTCGACTCACTGCAACCTCCACCTCCCTCCTTGGCTCAAGTGATTTTCATGCCTCAGCCTTCTAAGTAGTTGGGATTATAGACATGCACCACCACACCTGGTTCATTTTTTGTATTTTTAGTAGAGACGGGGTTTTACTATGTTGATTAGGCTGGTCTTGAACTCCTGACCTCAGGTGATCTGCCTGCCTTGGCCTTCCAAAGTGCTGGGATTATAGGCGTGAGCCACTGCGCCTGGCCCAGCCCATCTTATAAGCAACCGTCACCACCAAATCCATTAAGAATCACTAATATTTTGACCTTACTCAAAAAAGCCTCAGTTCCATTACAGTAACCAAGTCAGCCAGATGCTTTATCTTGATGCCACAAATCTCAAAATTAACATTTTCCTTGAACCTAGTTGTGGAACACCCTCAAGATTGTCAACCGTTAAATTTTTCCCCCCTTCCAAGGTGAATGTGAAGTTGGACTGAGTGTTGTATTTAGGAGTCCATTTTCCGATCTAACCTCACCTTTGACCACCAAGTTCTGTGGGATTTGTTAGCCCTTGGAGCTTAGCCTGTCTGTCGCTGGGTAATGGTAATGTGGCAGTGATTGCAGTGGACTGACACCATGCTGTCCTTAGCCTGAATGAAGCAGGCTTTGAATTAGAGGGTTCAGCAGGCTTGGGAGCTCTTCACCTTTCTTCGCTGGGAGCAGGCCTGTCCTCTTTCTTGCATGTTGGCCCCAACTGACTCAGCTGTAATGCTGTACCCTGAAATGTACAGGTGCTGATTTGACAGGAGCTTTTCACCCTTTAGAAGCTGGGCCCCCTAATGTGAATGTAGGCTCATAGAGCAATAATTCACGTGTAGGTGGCCTGTAAGGAAAGTTTTAACAAAAGAGTTGGTTAAGAAGCTGATTTATTTTCTTGCTTTAACTCTCTTGTCATGTGCTGAGTGGGGGCGGAAGAGGAGGGGAGGGTGGGGACTGGTGCTGCTGAAAGCATTTATCTTCATTTCTGCCATCTCCCAGTGTTTATTACCCTGTGATCGACAGATGAGGAAAGCTGCCAGTCAAACCCACGTTCAGCACATTTCCATTTCCCTTCATTGCAGATTTTAGGCTTTTGAAATCTGCATCCTCTTTGCAGCAATAAAGGTCGTTTCCCTCCTGCTGCTGACGAGCCAAAGACCCTCTGGTCCAATTCCACTCGCTTGTGCTTCCACCAAACAATAAAAGCTGCGGGAGTCTCAGCAATTTAAGACAAGTGATTGGTGAGAGCCATTTAGTGTTTGAGTCAGTCGCTCTCTTTTTCTTTCTCTCTCACCTTTTTCTCCCTCAGTCCTTTTCCCTACCTTCACCCCTCTCTTTGCCCATTCTTATGCTGCTGAGGCACCCCCTTAAGCAGCTGCATTGCATAATGATGAGAGGCTGACAGTTTTCCTGGCTTCACCTAGGGACCCACCTAAGCCAGTGTCCTCTGTTGCTGGGATTAAGTATTGGCAGTGTCAGGTTGTGGGGAATGTATTAGTGGAGGTAGAGTAATTCTTAATACTCTTATCCACCTGCAAGTCTTTTGTCAGAGGTAGAGGCTTTGAGGAAATCCCTGCCTGGTGGGAGCGAATGCTAGATGTTTGTGTTTGGGGTTTTTTTTTCCCCCATTTTTCCTTAACACTACGTTTTTTGGAATACTGTTCCTAGTAATCTTTCAGTAGCATGTGTTCTTGTGAGCTTATTTGTTTTTGTCTTAAATAATGTTTGTGGGTGGAATAAAGGTAATGATACTCATTTCTTTGAAAATGGATGTTCTGCTTTCATAATTACTTGTCCCAATTACATCATTAGTGTAAGTGCAGGTAATTGCTTCATTAGGACATATGTATTGAAGGAGGGAGGGCAAGTCTATAGCATGGTGATAAAAACAGGCCTCACCCTCTTTCTCTACCCACACAGGAGCATCTCAGCTTGACTTCAGGGATCCAGGAGCCACCAGCCACCCTGTAAACAGCCCAGATTAATCCTGGGTTTCAGTGTCATGGGAGGAAGGAAGGATGACCTAGTAAAGAGCAACTTACTTACTTTCTTTGGGGTGGTAACTCATTGCTGAACTCTGGATGGCACTGGTGCGTTCAAGGCAATGTGATTGAATCATTGGGGATTATTACTGAATTAGGGAGCAAAGTATTCTTATGGAAGCTGTATGCTTTCTGAGGCTCACCAGGCCGGATGGCATGAGCCCTATCCTCTGTTTGAGTTATTTGACTGGCTTTTTAAGGGAGTCTCCATTTTCATTCTGGCCATGACAGATCAAGAGGTTATATTCTCCCATCAGACCTTACTACTTTCCTGTAGAGTTGAATATTATTCTGATTTTATGCCATGTCTGTGAATGTCTTTGTGTGCACGCTACCTAGTTATGCATCTCCTCTTTCAAAGCATGTTAAAAGATACCAATAGTAAATGATTCTGCTTATATGAGGCTAACTAAAGTAGTCAAATTCATAGAAAGTAGAATGGTGGTGACCAGGGACTGGGGAGAGAGGGAAAGAGGAATTGTTTAATGAGTAGAGCTTGAGATTTGTTACATACATACAGTTCTACTGAACTGTACACTTAAATATGGTTAAGATGGTAAACTTTTATGTTGTATTCTTTTTAGCACAATTAAAAAAAAAGAAAAAGAAAACCTATGCTGGGTGCAGTGGCTTATGCCCATAATCCCAGCAATTTGGGAGGCCAAGGCAGGAGAATCATTTGAGGCCAGAAGTTTAAGACCAGCCTGGGTAAATACTGAGATCCCATATCTACAAAAACAAATTTTTTTTTAATTAGCTGGGTGTGGGGTGGCGTACACCTGTGGTCCCAGCTACTTGGGAGGCTCAGTTAGGAGAATCACTTGAGCCCAGAAGGTTGAGGCTGCAGTAAGATGTGGTCATGCCACTGCACTCCAACCTGGGCATCACAGCAAGAACCCATCTCCATCTCAAAAAAAAAAAAAAAAAAGCTAATACCAGATTCCTTGTTCACTTACTACTTATTCCAGATAAGAAGGCTCTATCTACTGCTGTGTCTTTAATGAATATCAGGTTAATTTCTCTTTCTTTCTTTTTTTATTTTTATTTTTTTGAGATGGAGTCTCGCTCTGTCACCCAGGCTGGAGTGCAGTGGCGTGATCTCGGCTCGCTGCAAGCTCCGCCTTCCGGGCTCACACCATTCTCCTGCCTCAGCCTCCCAAGTAGCTGGGACTGCAGGCGCCCGCCACCTCGCCCGGAGAATTTTTTTTTTTTTTTTTTTTTTGTATTTTTAGTGGAGATGGGGTTTCACCGTGTTAGCCAGGATGGTCTCGATCTCCTGACCTCGTGATCCACCTGCCTTGGCCTCCCAAAGTGCTGGGATTACAGGCGTGAGCCACCGCACCTGGCCAATTTCTCTTTCTTTTTTGACCTGTTATAAACCTTACTGTGCTGTGGCCATGTAATCCTGGTTTGAATTGTTGTTTTGAGAAAATTTTTTTATGAAGCTGTGATACATAGGAATATTTCACAGTTTGCCAGGCATGATGGCTCACGCCTGTAATCTCAGCACTTTGAGAGGCCAAGGTAGGAGGATCACTTGAGCCCAGGAGTTTGAGATCAGCTAGGGCAACACAGCAAGACCCCGTCTCTAAAAATTAAAAATTAAAAAAAAATTTCATAGCTATTTCTTTTCCTTTCCTCATACACTGTATTCCAGGCCTTGCTACTTTTCTTGTTGAACTCTCAGACTATCATTGCTATATTGGCCTGATCCAGTGCCTTTGGCCTCAGTAGAGTCTTTCTCAGGTCTGCCCCTAAAGTTCATGATTTGCATGTGGACTAATATTATCCTTCTTTGGAGCCTTTAGGAGTTTATTGGACAATAAAATTATGTTTATTTGGGGGCCTAATTCCTACAAATAAGACACGTAACCATTGAAGTCTGTATTTAGAAAATATTTACCCTTTAATTCATGTTAAATATATTGCAAACTTGTTTAATGATTAATCTCAGCATCAGATTAAATGACTGGTAGAGTAGTTATTAAACTGCCTAAACATGATAGACCAAGTGCCTTACTCAGAACATTTCCTATGCCAGAATTATAGACAGCCACGTGGTGCTTTTTTGGGATTTTATTTTTGTGGTTTGCAGAAAATGACGTTCCCTAATACTCTTCATATCTTTTAGCCTCAGGAAACAGTGAAGACTCTATTTCAGCTATAGATAATACACTCAGAATTAGTCTTTGAAGCCCTACTTTTTCTTTACAATGGAAATAATTCTATTTATCTTAAGTCCTTTTATGATTGCTGGTTTTCCACACAGTATATTTTCTATAAAATAAAAACTACTATTTAATTCTCATATGAACCTATGGTTCAGTTATAAACATATGATAGAATATTATTCAGTCATAAAAAGGAATGAAGCCAGGCAGAGTGGCTCGTGCCTGTAATCCCAGCTACTAGGGATGCTGAGGTGGGTGGATTGCTTGAGCCCAGTAGTTCAAGGCTGCAGTGAGCTGTGATTGCACCACTACATTCCAGCCTGGGTGATAGAATGAGACCTTGTCTCTTTGGGGAAGAAAAAAAAAAAAGTGAAGTACTGAAACATGCAATAAGCGTGGATAAACTTTGAAAATGTTATGCTGAGTGAAAGAAGCCAGACACAGAAGGCCACCTACCATATGATTTCATTACATGAAATGTCCAGGAGAAGCAATTAGTGATTGCCTAGGGCTAGGGCAGGAGTGGGACAGAGTAAAAGGGAGTGACTGTTAATGGGTACGGTATTTAGGGGAGATGAAAATGCCTGAAATTAGACAGTAATGATGGTGGTTGTAAAATTTATTTGCTGATGGTTACATAACTGTGCGGATATGCTAATAACCTTGAATTGTATACTTTAAAATAGGTGAATTGTAAGTTATATCTCAGTAAAGCTATAATTTTAAACAGACAGACACACATATATATTTGGGCATTTTTCTCAATGTCAGAATCATAAATGAGAACTCAGAGAAACTTGGGACACTTCTAAGCATGGAAGAAGTCTTCTTATTTGTCATCAGGGACTTTTTCCAGGTACCAGGCTATAGGATACATTGACTGTGATTTCAGATTAGATTAAATGATGATTAGAGTGAGTGTGACTGAGTACTTAGTTATACCCCTTTCTTAGGACAGATTTTAAGACTGCATTTGAATGAAGCTTTCTGGAAAGAAGATTAAGTGTTCTTCCTAGGATGCCATGCAGATATACTCAGAAAGGGAAGATGGTTCCCTTGCTCTGAGAATTATTTTTTGTAAACAGAAGCCAGTGTATTTATTTACAGAGAGCTCAGATAATCCATAAGAGAAAAGTTAAAGTAACCAAAGCTAGGTAGGGTAGCATGTGCCTGTTGTCCTAGTTACTGGGAAGTCTGAGGCAGGAGGATCACTTAAGGGCCAGGAGTTCAAGGCAAGCCGGGCAACATAGTGAGGCCCCATCTAAAAAACAAACAACAACAACAACAACAACAAAAAACCTTAAAATAACAAAGGTTTTTAAAATGTACATAAGACACTAGTAGACCATCTAAAAGATACACAGTGAGCTGGTAAACAAATGAAAAGATGTTCACCAATACTCTTAATTATTAAGGAAATGAAATGGATCCAAAAAATAGGATTACCATTTTTTACTTCACAAATTGATAGACATTTATTTGAATAGTGTTTTCTTAATAACAGCATTATTGAGATATGATTCACCTACCATACAGGCCACCTATTTAAAGTATACATTTCAATGGCTTTTAGTATATAGAGTTGTGCAGTCATCACCTCTATCTAGATATTTCATATCATCTTTATCACCTCCTAAAAAACCCCATACACATCAGCAGTCACTTCCCCTTTCCCTCTCTCACATCCCTCCAGCCCAAAGCAACTGTCAATCTGTTTGAAAAGTTGATAAGTTTTTCAGTTGGACCTGCCCTGGGCTTTCTAGTCTCAGCTCTCCTCCAGCTCAGCTGGTCAGGAGAGCTGAGACTAGAAAGCCCAGGGCAGGTTCATATAACAGCCAAGCAGAAAGATAGTAATTGTGTCTCCAGGATGATGAGTGTTTACATCCCCAACCCCATTCTTATTTCATCTTCCCAGCAGCACACAGTCAGAGATGGCCATTCTGAATTAGAAAGTCTCAAGTTAAACAGATTTTTCAGGACTGAAATGTAATTTAATCATTTCCTTCTTTGCAACTTGCCCTTTTTTACCTTCCCCGAATTAGCTTTTCTGATAGATTTGCTAATGATTCCCATTGTTCAGTATCTTCACTGAACTGTTGAATCATACTTTTCATTTCCCTTCTCCTAGAACAAATCTTAGAGAGAAGCTGTGAAGCTGTTTTGAAAAAAGATTCCTAATTCTTTCCAAGCAACAGAAGAGAAGAGTTTCTGAGAGAAGCAAAGGTAGAGAGATGCACAGAGGCTATTAGGCTTGGCAGAGCTCACCTATCATGTGACTGTGATGATTATTATGATTTTATCCCTAGACACATTCTGGGAGCTCTGGCCTACAAGTTGAAGACCTGACTCTGGAATGAGACTTGGCAGCTTAGTTTTTGCCATTGTTGTTGGCTGATAGTTAGCCAGGATCACTGGATTTAAGCTTCTTTTCCTCCTTGTTTTGTCTGTCATCAGAATAATCTTTATTTCTTCTTTTGCTCTAAGCCTCAATGAAAGGAATTTCTGTGGTTATATGATAGATATGAACTACCATGACTAGTATTGTCCTTATGAACAGCTGCTGTTCCCACTGTCTCCTAGAATGTGAATGAAAGTCGTGGCCCCTCCCTCTTTTTTAGGTTTATTAAAAGTTGAGTGGAAAATACAGACAGTTCCCATATACTCCCTCCCCTTACACCCACAGGCTTCCCCACTGTCCACACCAGTGTGGTACATTTGCTGCAGCTGATGAACCAACGTAGACACATCATTATCACTCAAAGTATGCGTTTACATTAGGGTTCATGCTTGGTGTTGTAAATTTCACTGGTTTTGGCAAATGTATGTGCCATGTATCCAACATTGTAGTAACATAGAAAATAACTTTACTGCTTAAAAAATCTCCTTGTGGCTGTACATGGTGGCTCATGCCTATAATCCCAACACTTTGGGAGGCCAAGGCAGGTGGATCTCTTGAGTTCAGGAGTTGGAGACAAGGCTGGGCAACATGGTGAAACCCCATCTCTACAAAAAATACAAAAAAAATCAGCTGGTCATGGTGGCACACACCTGTAGCCCCAGCTACTCGGGAGGCTGAGGTGGGAGGATCATCTGAGCCCAGAAAATTGAGGCTTCCGTGAGCCGTGATTGCACCACTGCACTCCAGCCTGGGCAATGGAGTGAGACCCTCTCTCAAGAAAAGAAAAAAAAAAAAAATCTTGTGCTCACCTGTTCGTCTCTGCCTCCCTGCAAACCAACCCCTACCAACTACCCATCATTTTTCTGTCTCTATAACTTTTCCTTTTCCAGAATCTCATACAGTTGGAATCCTATAGTATGTAGCCTTTGACTTCTTTCATTTAGTAACATGCACTTAAGGTTCCTCCATGTCTTTTTGTGGATTGATAGCTCATTTCTTTTAGCATGAATAATATTCCATTGTATGGATGTGCCACAGTTTATCCATTCATCTCTTAAATGAAGAACATCTTGGTTGCTTCCAAGTTTTGACAATTATGAATAAATAAATAAAGCTGCTATAAATATCCATGTGTAGGTGTTTGTGTGGACATTAGTTGTTTTTTTTTTTTTTTTTGAGACAGTCTCGCTCTGTTGCCCAGGCTGGAGTGCAGTGGCGTGATCTCGACTCACTGCAAGCTCCACCTACTGTGTTCAAGCGATTCTCCTGCTTCAGCCTCCTGAATAGCTGGGATTACAGATATGCGCCACCACGCCCCGCTAATTTTTGTATTTTTAGTAGAGATGGGATTTCACTATGTTGGTCAGGCTGGTCTTAAACTCCTGACCTCATGATCCACCTGCCTTGGCCTCCCAAAGTGCTGGGATTACAGGCGTGAGCCACTGCGCCCGGCCTATATTAAGTCTTGAAGTTGGGTTGTGTCAATCCTCCAATTTTGTGTTTTCCTTCCATATTGTGTTGGCTATTCTGGGTCTTTTGCCCTTTCATATAAACTTTAGAATCAGATTGTTAATATTCACAAAATAATTCAGGATTTTGATTGGGATTGTGTTGAATCTGTAGATCCAGCTGAGAAGAATTGACATTGTAACAGTACTGAGCCTTCCTATTCATGAACATGGAATATCTCGCTAATTTAGTTTTATCCTTTGTGATGTCTTTCATCAGTTTTGTAGCTTTCCTCCTATAGACCTTGTACATATTTTGTTAGATTTATACCTAAGTTTATTTTTTTGATGCTAATGTAAGTGGTGGTGTATTTTTAATTTCAAGTTCCAGTCATTCATTTGTTCATTGCTGCAATATAGGAAAGCAGTTGACCTTGTATCTTGAAACCTTGCTATAATTATTTAATAGTTACTGGAGTTTTTTTGTTGATTCTTTGGGATTAGACAGTGATGTCATCTGGCAACAAACAGATTTCTTCCAATCTGTATACCTTTTATTTACTTTGTTTTGCGGTGGGGGGTGGTTTCTGATTGCATTAGCTAGGACTTCCAATATGATGTTGAAAAGTATTGGTAAGAAGGGGCTTCCTTGCCTTGTTCCTGGTCTTAGGGGGAAAGTATCTAGTTCCTCACCATTGAGTATGATGTTAGTTGCAGGTATTTCATATTTCTATTTTCTGGAAGAGACGTTAGAGAACTGGTACAATTTCTTCCTTAAATGTTTGGTAGAATTTAGTGAAACCATCTGGGCCCAGTTCTTTCTGTTTTAGGAGATTATTAATGATTGCTTCAATTTAATAGATATAGGCCTATTTAGATTATTTGTCTCTTGTGTAAATTGTAATATACTGTGTCTTTCAAGGAAAGTTAGTCCATTGCATGTAGGTTTTCAAATTTGTAGGCATACGGTTGTTCATAGTATTCCCTTATTGTCCTTTTGGTGTCCATGGGATCAGTAGTGATGGCCCCCCTTTCTTTTCTGGTATTAGTAATTTGTATCTTCTCTCTTTTTTCGTAGTTGGCCTACCTAGATGTTTATTGTTTATTGATCTTTCAAAGTTTTTGGTTTTATTGATTTTTCTCTATAGGTGATTTCCTGTTTTCAGTTTCATTGGTTTCTGCTCATGTTTTTCTTCTGCTTACTTTGGGTTTAATTTGCTCTTTTTCTTCTTTCTTATGGTAGGTGCTTAAATTACAGATTTTAGATCTTTCGTCTTTTCTTATACATGCATTCAATGCTATAAATTTCCCTCTAAGCACTGCTTTCACTACATTTCACGAATTTTGAGAAGTCATGTTTTCATTTTCATTTACATTTAATCCAAAATATTTTTAAATCTCTCTTGAGACATATTCTTTGAGCCATGTGTTGTTCAGAAATGTATTGTTTAATCTGTCAGTTTTATAGGATTTTCCAGTTATCTTTTTATTACGGATTTCTAGTTTAGTTCTCTTGTAGTCTGCAAGTGTAATATGTATTATTCCTTTTCTTTTGTATTTGTTACATTGTGTTTTGTGGCCCAGAAGGTGGTCTGTCTTGGCCTGGGCTGTTTTCAAGGAGAAAGTTGCCAAATAGTATAGGGCCTAGACAGTTTATTTTAATCTTCAGATTAAACACTTCTCTCTCTTGGCCCTGGCACACTATTTGGGCCAGTCTCTTACACAAGGACATCTCTCTATAAGCTGTCTGTTGATGCTGATGTAAGTAGTAGTGTAACTGTAGATGAAATACACACAGAGATTGGAGTAGATGACAGATATAACTTTAAAGGCCATTTATTAGACACTTAGTATTTGCCATCACTATTTATTTATGTATTTATTTACAAGATGGTCTGGCTGTGTCACCCAGGCTGTAACTGTAGATGCAATACACACAGAGAGTGGAGTAGATGACAGACATAATTTTAAAGGCCATTTATTATGCACTTAGTATTTGCCATCACTATCTATCTATCTATCTATCTATCTATCTATCTATCTATCTATCTATCTATCTATCTATCTATCTATCTACAAGATGGTCTGGCTCTGTAACCCAGGCTGTAGTGCAGTGGTGCAGTCTCAGCTCACCGCAACCTCCACCTTCCAGACTCAAGCTATCCCACCTCAGTCTCCTGGGTAGCTGGGACTACAGGTACACGCCACCACACCTGGCTAATTTTTGTGTTTTGTGTTTTTGGGTTTTTTGAGACAGAATCTTGCTCTGTTGCCCAGGCTGCAGTGTGGTGGTGCGATCTCATCTCATTGCAACCTCCTCCTCCTGGGTTCAAGCAATTCTCATGCCTCAGCATCCCAAGTAACTGAGACTACAGGCACACACCACTATGCCTGGCTAATTTTTGTATTTTTAGTAGAGGTAGGGTTTCACCATGTTGGTCACGCTGGTCTCGAACTCCTGACCTCAAGTGATCCTCCTGCCTTGGCCTCACAAAGTGCTGGGATTACAGGTGTGAGCTACTGCGCGTGGCCTTTTTTTTTTTTGCGATAAGAGTCTCACTCTGTCCAGGCTGGTTACAAATTCCTGGGCTCAAGTGATCTGCCCACCTTGGCCTCCCAAAGTGCTGGGGTTATGGGCGTGAGCCACCATGCCCGACCACTTTGTATTTATTGTCTTAGTAAGTTCTTCCAACAATCCTGTAAGTTGTAGGTACTATTATACCCTTTTCTACAGATAAGGAAACTGAGGTTCAGAGAGATTAATTTATACAAAGTCACACTATAGTAGATAATGACAGGAAGTGTCAAAATCTGGTCCAGTTGATTCTGAAACCTGTATTCTCAAAACAAACAAAAAACAAGCCGTAAGATCCCATTGGCAGATATGGAAAATTGAAGTTGTAATGCTGTGCCTTGGATTAGTTTCTTTCCATGACTATAACAGCATCACTTGTTAGCAGCAGACATTCTAGTAGTGGTGCTAAGAGCACCTACCCTGGAGTTAAAATGTAGGATATGTTTATCTAGCTTAGCATTTCTCAACTAGGAATGATTTTTATCCCCAGAGGACATTCGGCAGTGTCTGGAGACATTTTTGGTTGTCTCAACTATGTGGAGTGGGGTGCTACTGGCATCTAGTGGGTAGAGGCCAGGGATGCTAAATGTTCTGCGATGCACAAGACTCTTCACACAAATAATTATCTGTCCTAAAATTTCAGTAGTGCAGAGGTTGAGAAACTCTGAGTCTAGCTTGTTCCATTCTGTCATTACTACATGGGAGAACCTTGAAACCTTAGAAATCCCTTAGCAGTCTCTCAGGATTTGGTTTCTGAGGCTAAGTGCCTCGTATGTAAATACTTTCTAGCTCAGTCCATTAACCCCCTCTGGCACATTTCCTGCCTTCATCTTAGTGGCCAGAGGCCTACTAAATGGTTGGGGTTGTTTTAATAACATCAGGCTTTTTCCTCCTGTTGTTTCCAAGAGACAGGCTCAGTTGGCCTACAGTTCTTGAAGAAAAGAACCTGGTAACAGTACTCTAATCTGTTGCTGGCATCTTTAGCTCCCTAATCTGTGTTTATATGACACAAAAAAAATGACTCTCCTTGGTGCCAGGCTTCATTCCTCCTCAGCACCCTGGCACCATTGGCAGAGAGCACCTCCCCAGTCTCTTCCACACAGTGGCAACCCTACATGTTGATTTTATGGCACAGCTGTTCTCCAGAAGATGTTTCTTGAGACATGGACAGTACAGGATGCCTCTGGAGCCGGGATTTGGGAGTCTTAATCATTTGTGTTCCCATTTGCAGATCCACAGTACTCAAAAAGCATCTGGTATTATTCCTTAACTGTTTTCCTGTTTGTAGTTCTTATCCCTTCCCCCAGAATAAGCTCTTAAAATATGAAGTTTGTTTTTTCAATTTATTTTCTACCCTCTCTTAGCAACTAGCATTTTGTTCATCATGTACTGAGAAAATCAACTTACCTTCTATCATTTGGGGTTGTTAAAAGCTGGAGAAAATGATAAGGAGCTAAATTAATTTGAGAGACTAGTGGTCAAAGGAGGGTGTCAACCATCTTGATAAGCAAGCCCAGGAAACAATTCGGAAACTCAGTGGAACTGAGCCTGGATCAGAATGAAATGGAATAATTCCTTCCAGGGAAGTGGTAGACCTTGTAACTAAAGAATGATTTTCATTATCAAAGAGGCATAGAAAAATCAAGAAAGTTCCTTTTAATAAAGTCGTTCAGGTATCTTACCCTCCTCATGACCCAGAGGTTCAGCAAAAGTCAGATATAATTATTAAAGGGGAATTTTCTGTGAAGGTTAAAGCAAGGGTATATATTTACCTCATCTTATGATACGCCACAGGGACCTCAAATAGAGATTTGAGGTCAGTGGACTCACTGACAGCACACCCCCAAATGCTGTCATTCTCAGGTCTCAGGGAGAGCATGACTGGGCTTATGTCTTTGAATTTGCAAGATTTTAAAGGATGTCTTGTTTTGTGGGTATTCATTTATCTAGAACGGTTTGTTTTAGCCTTTATTCCATTATTGTCCTCCTGAGGAACCTTTTTAGACATTTTTTCCCTACTTGTCTCTCCTCCCATGAAATTTTAATATCACAGATACAATGTGTATCTATTTATATACTCTGATGCTTTGGAGGGGAACAAATGATTACACTAAGTTTTTTTTTGTTTTTTTTTTTTTGTTTTTCTTTTTTTTGCCCCTTTGAACCAATTTTTACCCCCATGGGGATGATATTTCCCATGTTGAGAATGCATGATCTAGAAGTATCATCATTTTGGAAATGAACTGTTATTTGTACTTTTCCTTACAAATTGAAAATGAGACAAAGACAAGACTGTCAATAAATTAATGCTGAAAAACAGTCTTCTGACACAGTGGCCAGCAGCAACCGGAAGAGTGCAGAGAGTACTTTTCTCATATTTCTTGGCTTCTATGAAGGTTTTCTCTTTGAACCATCTCTTGATCATTTGGGGAAAGAAAGGGACACCAGGAGTAGCAGTGCAATAAATGCCGCTCTCTAAAAGAAAAAAACTACAGTTCACAAGATGCTTTTGCAGTGATGTGCAGAGGAGGAAGACTAGGTGATACTGAAGAATCTGGGTATGAAATTGTCCATTTTTCCAAGGCTGGTAAACTCTAACAAGTTCAGTTTTTCACAGTAGCCTTTGATTTACAGCTGAGAATACCATTTAGGTTAGCTAGCATACAAGAATGTTCTATTCTTCCAACAGGGTTTGACTCTGTCTGATCAGAAGGAGGGTGGTTGTGTATGAAATGCACCTCAGAAGGAGGAGGAGGAAATGACATGTTCATGTAAATGAAATACAACTGCAAATTAAAGTGTCACCCTGTTAAAAAAATCCATTTTTTATTTAATTGGTTACCAAGGAAAAAAATGTCATACAGAAGAATATATCTCAGAGAAAGTTAAACCTGGAGATGTTACAAGCAAATGTGGATTCAAGGAGGTTCTTAGGGGGTAGGTATTATAAAAGATGGCCTTAATAAAAATATTCTGATGCTACAAAGTGAGGCTCATAAATTTTTATTGTGTTACGTGCCAGGGGTCCAGAAGAGATGAATGAATATTACCTTATTTGTTTTTTACTGTCTGTTTCTATCCAATCAGCTGTATAGTAGCTGCCTCTTCCCTGGAGGAAGCCTGTTTTTGAGATGTCCTATTAGGAAGAAAGTGATAAAGGAGGAGATACTTTGTCTGAAAGAGTGCTGCTTACTATCAGGATGTCCAGGGACTGAAATGCTGCTGGCTTTTCTGTGTTAATGGTGTCTTCCCATTTTTCATTTTTCTTTTCTCACATTTTTGTGAAAATTCACCTGTCTCTTTTAGATGTTGAGCCTACCAGACCATGTATGTACAGTACCTGCCACGTTGTTGGCACTAAGTAAATGTTAAGTAACAATGGGAAGGACTGATGAATGGGATTATATTTCCACATTGAATTGTTCCCTGGCAAACATGCCTGGTTTTTCTTTGAGACAAAGACTTGCCAGATGGGACTCATTAGCTTTCTTCAGCCATAGTCTAGTTTTTCCTCTTCTCTCCCCACTACTAATCCCAGTATTGTTTTATGTTTTGCAGTGGAAACGTGGATAAATAATATAATGTGCTGTCTTTGACTTCTTCCTCATAAGGGGCAGTGATCGGTGATGGACAGTCTGCTGTGGCCAGTAACATTGCCAATACTACCTACCGGCTCCAGTGGTGGGACTTCACTAAGTTTGACCTCCCTGAAATCAGTAATGGTAAGTCAATGTCAAATGGGGGTATCAGTGGAAGGGTTATATTTGCTGGTGAGCCAGAACTCAAAAATTCATGGAGCACTGGGTTTTTCATCATCCTATTGAGCAGTTGTTATCTACATGCCATTTCTGCACCTCTTCTGTAACTTTCTTTTCAGGTCCATTAACCAGATATCAACCATACCATACACTTAAGTCTATTAAGATCTGGATTAATCGAGTTTAATTAACATCACTGTAGTCTTTCCTAAAAGGGTCACAAGGTTTAGCTCTTGGATCCTACACTCCCTTCTCTTTCTCTTCTTTTCAGTTCCACCTAAACTTTAGGTTTTGACCAGTGAACTACTAGTCCACAAACTCTTCAGAGCAGAGAAATCTTTGTTTTTGTGTCTACTTCAGTACCTTACATTGTTTGCTGCTGAGGGTGGGTGCAAGACATGTTTGCTGAATTGCTTAATTGAGAGTTACAGGCTGGGTGCGGTGGCTCACGCCTGTAATCCCAGCACTTTGGGAGGCCAAGGCAGGCGGATCACTTGAGGTCAGGAGTTCAAGACCAGCCTGGCCAACATGGTAAAACCCTGTCTCTACTAAAAATACAAAAACTAGCTAGGCATGATGGCATGCACCTATAATCCCATAGGGCTTAGTTGTTCATATCTGAAGCTGAAATTTTTCTATCTTGTCTGTGTGATATTATAAGACTTTGCCAGTTGCCTTAAAATAATTAAGATATTCTATGTCTGTGGCATTTCCTGATATGCCAGTTTTCGTATCTTTATTCATCTCAATGGTATGGTTGATATCTGATTTACAAACATGACTGTTTCAGTTTCCTTGCTTCTAGTGAAGTCTGCAGTCCACATCCCAGTTGTTCTATTGGAATCACAACATTTTAAACCTCTCATTTCACTTTCTACCTCGTGAAGGGCTCTCTCTTGCACATTTCTGAGAGGGATGGTCCAGCCTCTGCTTGACTGCTTCTGATGATAGACCACACTGACAAGGTGGCCTGACCATCACTGCTAGATTTGTGTTAAAATATTCTTTCAGCCAGGTGTAGCAGCTCACACCTGTAATCTCAGCACTTTAGGAGGCTGAGTTGGGAGGATCACGTGATCCCAGGAGTTCAAGACCAGCCTGGCCAACATGATGAAACCTCGTCTCTACTAAAAATACAAAAATTAGCTGAGTGTGGTGGTGCATGCCTGTTTTCCCAGCTACTCGGGTGGCTGAGGCACAAGAATTGCTCGAACCTGTGTGGCAGAGGTTGCAGTGAGCCAAGATCACATCCCTACACTCCAGTCTGGGTGACAGAGTGACACCCTATCTCCAAAAAAAAACAAAAACACACAATTAATTGAGCATGGTGGCGTACATCTGTAGTCCCAGCTACTTGGAAGGCTGAGGTGGGAGGATCATCTGAGCCCAGGAGGTCGAGGCTGCTGTGAGCCAAGATCACACCACTGCACTCCAGCCTTGGCAACAAAGCAAGACCCTGTCTCAAAAAAAAAAAAAAAAAAGTTTTTTTTTTTTTTGCACTGAGCCACCATTTCCCTTGTCACTTTCTCCCATTGGTCCTAGTTCTGTCTCTGAACCTCCATAGTATAAATCTCGTAATGCTTCTTTCAAGTGACAGTACTCTGACTATTTAAACTAAGCTGCCATTTTCCATTAAATCTTTGTTGAAAGGTCAAACCTCCTTAGATTCCTTTCACTGATTTCCAAATCCTTGACAGTTCTGCTCCTCTTTCCTTTTAACTTTCAGTGGAGGAGGGCAGAAAAGAATAGAAAACTCTAGATGTGAGCTGTCGAATACATAGTACAGTGGTGCTTCAGACACTATTAGCTTACCCTATGGTTTCAGCAGTTTTTTCAGAAGCCACTCTTGAATTTTTAGTCACTTAAAATTTCTTGATAATTGTTAATAAACCAAGACTCAACCTTCCTGTACTTGTACAGCTTGATCTTTTTTTTTCTGAAACAGAGTCTTGCTCTGTCACCAGGCTGGGGTGCAGTCGCATGATCTCGGTGTACTGCAATCTCCGCACCCCCAGGTTCATGCGATTCTCCCGCCTCAGCCTCCCGAGTAGCTGGGACTACAGGTGCACGCCACCACACCCAGCTAATTTTTGTATTTTTAGCAGAGACGGGGTTTTGCCATATTGGCCAGGCTGGTCTCGAACTCCTGACCTCAGGTGATCCACCCACCTCGGCCTCCCAAAGTGCTGGGATTACAGGCGTGAGCCACCGTGCCCGGCCCAGCTTATCTTTTAATAACGAAAACAGATTTGTATTTGTTTCTATTCAATTTTTTCTGTCAACTGTAGTTTCTTTTTCCTGCCTCTCATCATCTATTTGAACTTTGTTTTAGTCCTTCTTTCTCAGTATTCCATTGTCTACTAATTCAATAAACATGCTTTTCTGTCTTCTGTCAGATTGTTAGCAAAAAGTAGTGAATCAGGCAGGGCATTGCACCAAACCTTGTAGTACATTACTGTGGACTTCCTCTGTGTTGATTTTGGTTTATGAATTACCACTCTGGGCTTGGTTGTTCATATCTGAGGACGACATTTTTCTATCTTGTCTGTATGATATTATAAGACTTTGCCAGTTGCCTTAAAATAATTAAGATATTCTCTGTCTGTGGCATTTCCTGATGCCAGTCTTGGTATCTTTATTGGACAAGGAAAATCAGTTTAATTTTTCATGTCCTGTCTCAATGAAACTTCAGCAGCAACCATCTATTTCTAAGTGCTTATAGGCCACATGTCCAGTAATTCATTCTTTAACTCTGCTGGAAATTAACCACAATCCACATTTTCCCTTATTGAAAATGAAGTTTGCTTCTTCATTTCTAGCTTTCTGTTCCATAATTTATTTAAAGTTGGCCATAATTTATTTAAAATTATTTTGTTTTGTTATTTTGTCACTTTCTTTCTTTAATTGTCATCTGAAATTGATATTACTGTTCAAAAATTTAAAAAATATAAAAGATTAATACAGTAAGAAGCCCCCAAATCCTACCACTCCTCCTCACATGTAACCACTGTTAGCAGTTCCTTATATATCTTTTCAGAAATATTATATGTATATACAAGCAAATGCAAATTTATGTTTTTCTGCCTTTTATTTAACCCAAATGGTAGCATGCTGTATGTACTCGTCTGTACTTCCTGCCCTTTTTCTTTACAGTATAGCTCAGTGTTCTTTTCATGTCAGTATATAAAGAGCTTATTTGTTCTTTTTTATGACTGCCTACTATTCCATTGTATGAATGTACCATAACTAGTCTACTATTAAAGGACCTTTAGGTCATTTTCAATCTTTTACTCTACAAACTGTGCTGCAGTTTATCATTTTGCACATATGCAGGTATATCTCTAGGATACATTTCTAGAAATGGAATTGCAGGGGGGAAGAGTGTGTAGTTATTGCCATACCACACTCTATACAGCTCGTGCCAAATTATTATTCCACTTGGAGTTCATGAGAGTGCCTGATTTCATAAACTCTTGCTGATAGAATGTACTATCAAATTTTTGGATATTTGCAAATCTGATATGTTAAAAAAAAAAAGTAGTATGTGGGCATTTTAAATTTGTATTTTTTGTGTTACAAACAAGATTGCATGCCTCTTCATATACACAGCCATTTGTGTTCCCTTCTCTTGACCTGTCCATGTGCTTTACCAATTTTTCTGTTGTGTTACTGGTCTTTTCCTTAGCAATTTTACAGGAATTCTTTATAAATCAGAAAATTAACTTATAATAGGAGCTTCCTACTTGTCATTCGAGTTTTGACTTTGCTGAAGGTTATTTTTGTCATAGAACTTATTTTAAGGAGTCAAAATTATACAACTTTCCTTTTATGGTTCCTTGGTTTTGTGTCATCATTAGGGAGATCATTTATAACTTTTATATTTTAGTTTTTTAATAGTTAAGTCTTTGATTCACTAGGAAATTTAGTCCCAAATAATCAAAGTATGATCCAATTTCCCCCCCATATGGCTACTCACTTGTCCCAACTAATTAATAATCCATTTATCTCCATTTATTTGGGATGTCATCTTCATCATACTATTAATTTCTTTTCTGTATTTAGATATATTTCTGGACTCTCTGTTCTGTTCTAGTGATCTGTCTGATTATTCATTTGAAAGTTCCACGTGAGTTTAATCTTTGAGGTTTTATGTTTTATTTTACTTATTATTATTTTTAGACACAGGGTCTCGCTCTGTTGCCCAGGCTGGAGTACAGTGGCGTGATCATATCTCACTATAACCTCAAACTCCTGAGCTCAAATGATCCTCCTGCCTCGGCCTTCCAAGTAACTCGGCCTACAGGCACATGCCACCATATCTGGCTGATTTTTAAATTTTTTTTTATAGAGATGAGATCTCGCTGTGTTGCCCAGGCTGGTCTCGAGCTCCTGACCTCAAGTGATTACCCTGCCTTGGCCTCCCGTAGTACTGGGATTACAGGTGTGAGCCCAGCCTGATTCTGTGTTTTACTGATGAGTTCAGCAACCACCAAGTTGATTTATGTGAATTGCATTTAACCTTTTCCTGGAGTTAGGCTAAAGATCTTGCCACCTGCTTCTCTCACTTGAGATTTGAGATTAGTGTTTAGAAGTTTATGAATAAGGCCTCATGCATAAATAATTTTGAAATTGCTTTCCTGAAAAAAGTGGCACATTAGATTCACTATGATTTTTAAGAGTGAACTCTTACTGGGTGAATGGAATTGGTCACTAGGCTGTCCTGTCAGAATAGGCCTTAAGAAACCCGGCGGATGAGTGGTGTGGGGCAGGCGATACCACAGGGGATATAGTGCCTTCAGGGAGTGTTTATGGGTCATCTGGAGCTCTGTACAGGCCTTATTCTGAAATCCAGGGGGCTCAGAGATAGCCAGGAGGAAATTTTTCTGCTGATTTAACCCCCCTTGGGTTTTCCAAATCGGTATCTAATGCATTTGCAAAGGCACTGCAACTGCTAATTGCTCCCGTGGCCTCATCTGGCCAGCCAGCAACAGGCTACAAATCGATCTTTGTACAAGGTGTTTGTTTATAATTTATGGAGCTGATAGGAAGGCAGAGCCATCTGCTCCTCCAGGCATCAGTATTTCTAACCCCTCCCATTCCCTGCTAGGGCATTTTCACTTGGAAATCATTTCTAATTGGGAGGAGATTACATTGCAGAGTCTGGAACATGGCTTCCTGCTGTCTCCTGCATTGTTTTTTCTCCCTCCGGAGCTGCCCCCTGAAGTTCTAGAGCAGTTTTGATTTGAAAATCCTTTCTTTCCTAATCTTTATTTCCATTCTTCACTGCCCAGCTAAATACCCCATCATTTTTTTCCAATATGTTTTTTGCCTTTAAGTGAAAGCCAGTTGCTGGAGATGCATCTCCCAGACTAAGGATTATTTGACAAGGTCGCATTTCTCAGGTGTAGTCCCAGTCCGGCAACATCAGAGACACCTGGGAATTTGTTAGAAATGCAAATTCTCAGGCCCCGTCCCAGCATTCTGTGTTTTAATATGCCCTCCTGGTGAGTTTGATACGTGTTAAAGTTTGTGTGCTGCTGGGGTCACACAAGGTATGGAGCACCACAAAGACTTCTAATGGTGTGTAAGCTATAGCCGGTGTCTTCGGCTATATTTTACTTCTCCCTTTTCTCTCTACCTTATATTATTGTTGAATCCAAAAAGGATGAGTTAGTTGTTCTTTGTCATTAGTACATTACTTTCCTGTGGCCTAAATAAACAAGTAATTGAGATCCAAGAAATCTCTTCCTGTATGAATTAACTCATCAAAATTTCAGCCTTACGAGAGGAAGCTGCACAAGTGAATGGAAGCAGTGACACTTATTGTAACTGAACATTTCCTTTTCCACATGTGAAATTAATAGACAACAAACAGCAAATGTGAGAATGAAATTGTAAACAGAACCCAGTGCAATGGAGCTACCAAATCACTCTATGCCACCACATCCCATTAGGGTAGAAGTGAAACCCCAGATCATGAGCTGCAAAATTTCTGAAACTGAATATGCTACCGGAGAAGCTGTTACAATTTTCAGCATTCTCTTTTCGTTTGTCCTTTGCATATCTCTGTGAGCTCATTGCAGTAGCCAGGAAGAGTTATGAAGTTGGGTGGAGTCAGGGGAGAGGGCAGAATTTGGGAGATAGCTATTGACTTGGAATCGTCATCATATAATACAAATGCAAGCACAGTGGCCTGGATTTGAGGCTGACGAAATGCTTTTTGTCCATATGCCCAGTTTTTAAGGGGTTTTAGAGCCAAGCTTTCCAGAAGAAGGAAAATCTTACTTGTACTCTCCTCTGCACACCTTGTCTCCGTAAGCAGTTAAATGCTTTTTTGTGTGTTGGTGATGAGTTTTGAGGGTTACTATAGCCTTCTAGGTGTTTGACCAAAATAAACGTTAACACACACGAGCTGGATCTATGTAACAGCAAGATAGGAAAGTCTACTTTAATAACATACCCAACAGACATTTTCGAGACATTAAATGTAGATAAAATGGTAACTGTTCAAAGCTGTCTTAAAGCCCATAGAGTCTCATCTCCTTTCCTATTTAGGTTCATGTACTACTTAACATTTATGATTTCTTTATTTTCTTTCTCTCCCTGCTTTTGGTGGTTAGAGTGTAAATTGTTAGTTTCTGTTTATTTTTCTGAGCATTGTCAGCCTCAGAGTTAGAAAACCAAGATGGTCTCACTTCTGAAACTTCTCCCAGTTCCTTTGGTTCTATATCCCCAGCTGGATTCATGTGTTGATCCAGAAAAGGAGAGGGATATTGCCGTGTTTTGTTTTTGTTTTTGTTTTTGTTTTTGTTTTGGCAAAGGGCTTGGGACCCTGAGTAGTAAGTAGCAGACGGTCCCAGTGCTAATTAGATAAATCTAGCCTTACAGGCTAGACCAGATGGTGGGTTGGGAGTTGAGCAGTAGAAAGGCCTAATGGTGATAGCAGTGAGTATTTGGATATCATTATTTTATTAGTTAGCAAACAGAACCATCCTTGTGGTCCCTCTTCGGTTTTATGTGTAATGGTGCTGTAGGTGTCAGCCCCCGAGTTGGCACAATAGCCTAATCAATGTATTCTAATGCCTTTTTTGATATACACTGTCATCTCATTAGCAACACACAGGGAAAGGAGAACAAATAGAGTTTTACAAATCACTCTTAAGTATCAGATCACATAAGCCTGGGGGCCTCTGAAAGAGCAATTCCTTGTTTTGTTTTCCTTGAGGTAATTTCCTAGGGAAACTTGCCCTTGACTTTTTTTGGATTACTGCAGTAGATCACCTGGACTCTGGCGAGGGCAGCTGAGCTTGGCTTTTAAAAAATTACCACAATGCCTCTGACAGTGGACATCTCCTTCAAATAAGAGAAACAGTGAAAAGTTTTTTTGCTTGAGGTATATCTACATGAGACAAAGCCCTGATGAGCTTGGTCTGTTTGAATGTGTTGTGCTGTTCTGCCCGGGCCCATGATGTGGGCACTCTTGTTCTATGCTCACATCAAGGGTAAGCCACTTCTTCCTGGCAGGGAATCACACGGTGGGACTCAGAGGGATTCAAATGAAAACCGAAACAAGGCCTATAGGCACAGTGCCAGTTAACATCTCATTGGTGCTGTTGTGTGGAGTGGATGCTCCTCACCAACAGACATTCCTCCACCCTCAGATCTTGCCACCTTACCAGGCTGAGCCTGCTGCCTGCCTGACCCTGCAGTTTGTTCTCAGGAGCTGCAAAGTGCAGACTAGGGCTGTCATGGACATTGGCATAGAGCATAGTGGGAAATGAAAAGAGCCCTGGCCATCCAGCCGCAGCTGGGCTTTGTTCTGTTTCCTCTCTTGGTAGAGTTAGAGATTAGTATTAGCAAGGAGCTGTTCCAGAAAACTGGTCTCTAGATGTTCCAGTTCTCTTTCTCTTAAATGAGAAAGTAAGATACAAATTTATGAAATGACTTTCTTCTCCAAGGTCACATAACAGGTGTTGAATAGGATTCCTGCCCCAAGAAAGCTCTACCTGTATCATCTTTTTCTTGGAACCAGTGGGTTTGCATTTTCATTTATCTTGGTTTTGATCTCTGGGACAATAACAGCTGTTAAATGGCTCTCTAGGAATAATTTTTAATAACTTTTTCCTTATCTAATCTCTCAAGCGGTATTTCCTAAATGTGAACTAAGACTCAGCAGGTGGTTGTGGTGGTGTTGACTATCCTATAGTTTCCTGCTAAGGTGGGAGAAGAGACATACTTTTCTTGCCTCCTGTGTTTTGTTCATTTGACATTTTAGTTTGAATGAGAAGGTATTCTTTAGCATTTCTAGACAAGGTTCAGGCCCTTAGGAAGTCCCTAAAGTTTCTTGGCCCCAGAATTTTTACAGTATCAACTCCAAAGTTTCTTATCCTCTTTTCTTTCTTTGTCTGATGCAGCTTCCGTGAATGTGCTGGTGCAGAACTGCAAGATCTACAATGATGCCAGCTGTGACATTTCTGCAGATGGCCAGCTCCTGGCAGCTTTCATCCCCAGCAGCCAGAGGGGCTTTCCTGATGAAGGCATCCTGGCAGTGTACTCCCTGGCCCCCCATAACCTGGGCGAAATGCTCTACACCAAGCGATTTGGTAAGGGATAGGAAGCCCAACCTAATGACAGAGGGACGCTGGTGCCTTGGCATGGTCATTGCTAGGTGAGGCACAGCTTGGGTGGGAGTAATGGTCACATACTGCCCCTACCTTCACTGGGGCACAGGCCAGAGAAAGATTGCTTTGCAGGAGTGCTGGCTAGTAACATTGCAGAAGCATCTGAGCATTAGAGTCCTACCGCATGCCCCTGTTACGACGGTCAGGAATAAGGGAGGAGGTGGTTGTAGCACACACATGCACTGCAAGACAGTTTGGCATTGTGTATTTAAAACCTCCCAAAATGTGTCAGCTCTTTGGCAATCCAGCTTTTAAGGAAATAATCAGAAAACTATACAAAGATTTACATACAAGGGTGTTCACAGCAGTGTTACCATACAGAAAAATGCCAAATTGTTGCCTTGAGACTTTTTTGTTTGTTTGTTTGTTTGTTTTGCGGGAGGGTGGGGTGGGTGTTTTGTTGGTGTCACCTTGAGTTGAATTTAAGTGTTTTTTGTTTTTTTTTTAAGAGTTGACTAAACAAATGATGGTGCAGTGATAGAACTGCTCCATTGGCCCTTAAAATGCTCTTACAGAACAGTGTTCATAATGTATTAAATGAAAAAGGTGGGTTTCAAAATAGTAATTACAGGATGTTAACAATTTTTTAAAATGTTGATAACAACGGTTAGCATTTATTAAGTACTTTCTTTCTTTTTTTTTTTTTTTTTTTTTTGAGACGGAGTTTCACTCTTGTTGGCCAGGCTGGAATGTAATGGCGTGATCTCAGCTTACCGCAACCTCTACCTCCCGGGTTCAAGCGATTCTCCTGCCTCAGCCTCCCGAGTAGCTAGTATTACAGGCATGCGCAACCACGCCTGACTAACTTTGTATTTTTAGTAGAGATGGGGTTTCTCCATGTTGGTCAGGCTGGTCTCAAACTCCCTACCTCAGGTGATCCCCCGACCTCGGCCTCCCAAAGTGCTGGGATTACAGGCATGAGCCACCGCGTTCAGCCTTATTATGTGCTTTCTATATGTCAAACACTACACTCAGTATGTATATGCCTTCTCATCATACTCCTCACTACAGTCCTATGAGATAACACCAGGATGAGCAAGTGAATATGAAGATTAGAGAAAAAGACAAGAGTAAGAGTGAAAGTTGTTTCCTTGGAATGGCCAGAAGCCTAGGAAATATTTCTCTGTTTTGTTGGCCCTCAGGTCCCAATGCCATTTCGGTGAGCCTGTCCCCAATGGGCAGATATGTAATGGTGGGCTTGGCCTCACGAAGGATCCTGCTGCACCCCTCCACAGAGCACATGGTGGCCCAGGTCTTCAGGCTGCAACAGGCCCATGGTGGAGAGACCTCCATGAGGGTGAGTGCCATTGCTTGTGCCTTCACTGTATGGCAGCTCCCCTAGGCTTGGAAGGGTAATGAGGGGACAGTGGTGTGACCTCCCAGCCAGGACCAGAGCTATCACACAGTCATAAGGAGTAAGGAAGGGCTGTAGTCAAGCCCATCCATGACCAGCAGGCTTCATTTGTGGAAGCTCTGGACTATCAAAGGCCTTTCCTCACACCCTAGAATATGTGCTGCATTCCCCAGAGGCCTGCAAGTATCTTCAGATAAACTGAATACTTCCTTACTTCTACGTGAAACTTTTAATCTGGAGATGCATAAAGGACCCAATGAAATGCTTATTTTTAAAGCTTTTTGTGTGTGTGTGTGAGGGAACAAGCTGTAAAAAGTAATAGTATGCCATGAAATGTTTTTTTTCTGTGGGTTATAATTATGATGGAAGATGAAGACTTTAGGCAGTTGCTGTATTCTTAATCATCCCATTCATTTCACCAGTGGAGAAAAGGTCCTGTCTAGGACCCTGTCTTGTCTAAGGCACGTCTCTCTTATATTGCCATAAAAGCCTTCTGGGCATCCTGTGGTTCGTGGCCTTTTGGCCTCAGCCAGACTAACGTGCCTGAGTGAACGTCCCACGTCCCATAGGTGCTCATTTAGCCAGGGTTTTGTCAAGGGGATTCAAGCATTTGAACAGTTCTCTAATTAGATAGTATTCAAGCTTTGTCAGAATCCAAGAACCTGTGAATTTCCTTAGTACTTTGTGCAATCTGTACCATTTATAGTTGGATGTACTTGTTGGTCCATTTTTTGTCTTCTTTAGCTGTGTAGCGTATGTGTTTAATCCACCCAATTCGGTTCAGTGTAAGCTCCTTAGAGGGATATCCCTCAGGTCCCTCATTTAGTGCTGTGCATGTAGATGGCTGTTGAATATCTGGAATGGGAAGCATTTGTTTTAAATAAAAAAACTAGAGATAGCACCCATTATATACAAAGTGATAGAAAGTGGGTGGCCTGGTGTGGTCCTTTCCTCTCCAGCCTCTTCTCCCTCCTGTCTCCTACAGATATCCTCTGTCCAACTACACTGAGCCACTTTTCAAGCTTCTTGAATTTGTCAAAGTGCCTTCTTGCCAGGGTACCTTTACTTGGAATGCCCTCCTGTCCCCTATCTCCAGCTACCTGCAAGCTTTTTACTTTCTGTGGCATCCATCTTAATAGAATTGATCACTCGTTCCTTGTGCTATCATTGTACCTCTTACACATTCTCATGTCAGTACTTGTCACACCAAACTGCAGTTATTTGTTTCCATGTCACTCTCTTCTCCTGGGCTGTGAGCTCCTTGAGAATAGAGACTGTGTCTGTTTTATCTTTATGAAGTCCAAGAACTTCATGCGGAACCTGACACTTAGTAGAAAGTGAATGAATGAATGAAAGAGAATCTCAAAAAAAAATAAATAAATAAAAATAAAGCATCCTCTTTATCATTTCTAGGTGGTAACTAGCAGAACCAATGATGGGTAACATAACATCATGTCCCACCAAGCTTCTGAAAGGAAAACAAGTCATTCTGTCCTCTTGATATCACAATGACAAGAAAGTTCTGATCTTGAATTCCATATGGCTGGAAATATTTGACATTGGGTGAATAGGAGATGTCATTGTGGGATGTTCATCAAGTCTATTTTCTTATCTAGATATTTGAGGATGGAAGTTGAGTTTTCATTTAAATATTCTTCTTTTGCTTCTCTTAAGCAGAAGCTGGTCTCTGCTTTTCACCACCTGGAATCCCAGTCCCAACAGCTGCTCTTCTAACCCTTCCGGCCTAATTGTGGAATAATCGTTTAAATCATTAAGAGACAGAATCTGATGTTGGTAGCTCTGACAGACCTCTCTAGCTTCTTTCATAAGCCAGGGCTCTTGCCCAGCTCCTGCACACAGCCTGCCAGTTCTCCATCTTAGCACAGTTCCACTTTTCCATAGTAGCCAGAAACATCTGGCTGAAGACAAACAGTTACAAAGCAGAAGCCAAGGTGATGGGATCTGTTGTCACATATGGGGCTGGCAGCTCAAGGAATGTGGTTCTCTGCTGAGGAGATGTGGTAATCCAGTCAGCCCCTGGCTGTCCTGCCAAGGGTCTCAAGGCAGCTAGCCAGCAGCTGCATGCTTGGTGACTGGAGCTACTACTACTGCCAGGCTGCCTGGTGAACCTTTTTTGATTCTCAGTAGGTACCATCTGCCACCAAGCACTAAGAAAGGGAGCTGAAGTACCTAGAAAGTTCCCATTTGGGAAGTGTTCCTGTCACCCAAGAGACAGGATCAAGGCATCTCAACAAGGTTTAGGTCAACCAAGTGTCCACCCAGTCTGACTTTAAACCCCCATGCTACAGAAAGGTTTCTGGTTTTCCAGGTCTTGGTTGCCCCTTACGTCCAAAGGCACCAGATCACTCAGCAAATGTCCCTGAATTCAGTGATTGGTGGAAGGGAAGACACCAGCTTTTTTGGATAGCTGTGCTGTATCACCGTTTAAGGCAAGAAGTGAATTTTTGTCTGAGAACAGGGAGCAAGGGTTTAATGGGACAGTACAGCATCTCCCTCTTTGCACAGGTAAGTATAGGTGGGTGTCTCCATCTCTAATGTCAAGCTCTGACCATAAAGGAATGCTTTAGTGGGTAATGGGCCTGTCCTAGAGCTTTGCTACCCAGAATTCCCCTTCTGTCTGGTGTTACCTCTTGGAATTCACTGTGGTAATGTTCAGAGAGGCAAATGTGTTGGGCCAACAGACATTCCCAGGAGAACATCCTCCAGAGCATTGATTTATTTTAAGATGGCACTAAGTGACATCTCTCCCCAAGAGATGATCTCTGACACAATCCCATATGAAAACTCTTCTGAAAATGAATTGCTAATTGCTATTAGCCTTGATGCACTTACTCTAAGCAGTTCTTCAGACTTCTGGATCAGTGCTTCTCAAACTGTGGTTCTTGGACAACTTACAGTAGAACTACATGGGTCCTTATTAAAATACAGATCCATTTCAGACCTAAAATCAGAATAAGAATGGGAGTCAGAGGGACCCAGGATTAGTATTTTTAAAACAAGATTTCTTCATTTTAGGTGTCTGCCCTCAGCCTCCTCAGCAAGGCAGAGTCAGTCTCAGGTCTACTTGCCATTGTGGTTTTGTGCATGGTGCTTTGATTCTTTGCTAATTATGTTGCAGGCACAGTGGTGTTTGTCTTCTGTTTCCTACCAAACTCAGCTTTTTTGGCTGTCTGCGCCTCACCTCCCATCTTTTCTAGGCTGTTGCTGCTTTCCAGGTTTCTCCCTTGAATAGCTGTATGTGCTGGAGTCTTTTCTTTATGTTGAATCATTTTAATTTTTGTCCTTATTTCTAGGATCTAGGGTCCTTTTGATCTTTCCCTTCTCTGTTTATCGTGCTAGTCCTCCCAGTTTTAATGATGGGTAAGTCAGGAAAGTAAGACTGGGCACATATTTTCTCTCTCCCTTCCCACTGTCCATTTGCGATTCCTCCAGACTGGATATGCTACTCTCTATGACTCAGAATCTTATTTTCTGTCTGATTCCCTTCTGCTTGAGCCAGAGAGGGCTTTTTGTTAATTTTTGTTTTGTTTTTAGGTTAAGCTTTTAGAGACTGCTGAGCTGAAGTTTTGCTGAATTCTCAAAACACTAAACTGCCTGTGTTCCCTCTCGGCTTTCATTTTCTAATTGGAACCAGGCACAGTATTGTAACAGAGAACTGCAATTAATTTTCTAAAATAGTGGCAACTTGCACAGTATAATAACTTTGGTTGTAACCAAGTGAAAGCATAATAACAAAAATACAAAATTACTGATGAAACCAGAAAGAGTCATATACCACATTCTTCCTTTAGTTTGTATCTCAGTAAGTGCTGTGTTACTTAGGAATAGGGGCAGAAGCCTGCAACTGGGCAGGGAGGTTCAGGGACATGAGGACGAAGCTAGGGCATTTTGAGCTAGAAAGCAAGAATAAGGATTAGTGCTTTCAACACTGGAATTAACATGGACCACCCCCCCACCTCCCAATAAGTGGGGATTGTAGGCACATAAGTGGTTTAGTAAGAAGTGGAAAAGGTTTTTCTGTGGAGTTCGAGTTCCATCGGCTCCCATCCGGGCTATCCTGCCACCTTAGCGGCTGCTCCTCCCCAGGATGCGGGCAGGGGGCCTCTCTCCCACTCCCCACACACCGATTTCTGAGTAGCGATAGGGGCTGGAGGCTTATTTTATGGGGTAGGGGGCCGCTGGTAGGCGAAGATTGTCCGAGGGAGAGGGGGAGGATGAAGCCAGTGCGTGGCGGAGACCTGCCAGATGTTGATGCCTAAGAAGAACCGGATTGCCATTTATGAACTCCTTTTTAAGGAGGGAGTCATGGTGGCCAAGAAGGATGTCCACATGCCTAAGCACCCGGAGCTGGCAGACAAGAATGTGCCCAACCTTCATGTCATGAAGGCCATGCAGTCTCTCAAGTCCCGAGGCTACGTGAAGGAACAGTTTGCCTGGAGACATTTCTACTGGTACCTTACCAATGAGGGTATCCAGTATCTCCGTGATTACCTTCATCTGCCCCCAGAGATTGTGCCTGCCATCCTACGCCGTAGCCGTCCAGAGACTGGCAGGCCTCGGCCTAAAGGTCTGGAGGGTGAGCGACCTGCGAGACTCACAAGAGGGGAAGCTGACAGAGATACCTACAGACGGAGTGCTGTGCCACCTGGTGCCGACAAGAAAGCCGAGGCTGGGGCTGGGTCAGCAACCGAATTCCAGTTTAGAGGCGGATTTGGTCGTGGACGTGGTCAGCCACCTCAGTAAAATTGGAGAGGATTCTTTTGCATTGAATAAACTTATAGCCAAAAAACCTTAAAAAAAAAAGAAGAAGAAGAAGAAGAAGTGGAAAAGATCCTCATTGCCTAATCGCTGCAGATCCTAGAGGCACTAGGAACTTGAATCTCACCAGGCGTAGTTTGCTTTTCTCTCGGGTCATTTTATTGGCAGAAGGGATGACTAAGGACACCTTCATTTGACTTGGGTTGAGGAGGAAGCTCTGGGATAGAATGCAGTTTTGCTCCCCCTTCTCCATGGAACAGTATTGTGGTCTTTAAGGGAAAGCCTCCAATACCTAAGGGTCAATTTTATTGAAAGCTTTTTCTTTGTGGCCATGTGGTAAAACCGTAGCCAAGAGTTGAGTGAGTGTTACCCAGACAAATCAATAGTTCGTAGGACACATTGAAAAGAAAGTATCCATCTCTCTCCCTCTCCTCTTCTTCCCCTCCCCATTCCCCTTCTTCTTTCTTCCTTTCTTGACCTAAGAGTTTTGCTGGTCAGTAGTGGTCTATCCCTTTATACCCCTTCTCCCTCTAGAGCGCTAGCAATATGCCTCCCCCTCACCCTAAACAGGTCCCAGGCAGCAGGGAAGGAAAGCATATTTGTTACTTTTTTTTTTTTTTTTTTTTTTTGACATGGAGTCTCCCTCTGTCGCCCAGGCAGGAGTGCAGTGGCACAACCTTGGCTCACTGCAACCTCCGCCACCTGGGTTCAAGTGATTCTCCTGCCTCAGCCTCCTGATTAGCTGGGTCTACAGGCACTCGCCACCACTCCCGGCTAATTTTTGTATTTTTAGTAGAGACAGGGTTTCACTATGTTGACCAGGCTGGTCTCGAACTCCTGACCTCAGGTGATCCGCCCACCTCTGCCTCCCAAAGTGCTGGGATTACAGGCATGAGCCAGCGCTCCCGGCCTGTTACCATTTTTTATAGACCTACATCCCACCCAAATCTGATTGCACAGCAGTTCTCAATGTGTGCCCCCAGGGGACCACATCAGCATCTCTAGGGAACTTATTAGAAATGCAGATTCTCAGCCCCACTTAAGATCTGCTGAGTCAGAAACTCTGGGGGCGAGGCCCAGCCATGTGTGTTTTAACAAGCCTTCCTGATGACTCTGCGCGCTAAGTTAAGAACGAACCATGGGCTGTAGGGCGATTCCATCTAGACCTTGCCTGTCAATGTATCTTGATCCTTTCCGCTTTTGTTCTTGCTCTGTCTCTTACTATCTCTGAAAATAAACATTAGATTGCTTGCTTTCTTTTATACCGTTGGGTATCCATCCTTACAGAGACTAATGATGGCTGCTGCTGCTGCTGCTGCTGATCAAGTTCATTAAAATGAACCATAGAAAAAACTTGGGATCCAGACTTCTCAAATTAGTGGTAACTATAGTTGTGGCTTAGATCCTGGGTCAGGATGAGTGCCCAGTGCTGTCAGCACTGACCAGAATTTATATAACTTCACAAATATAGGCTCTTTTGACTTGTCCCAGCTTTATTCTTCAATCTACAAACTTCATTATGACTCTCTCCTTCCCTGCCCTTGAATTGAACTTATAATATAGTCCTAATCATCTGTGCTTCCCTATATTCTGCAAATTTGATTTCCAAAAGTGACCTAGAATTCTAGTTCAATCCAGAGTATTCTCTAGAAATCTAAGGAAACTGAGCCTTTTCTTAATCTTGTCTGGACTTGGGGGTGGCAAATACCAAAAATAATGATATTTTATTTTTGTATCCTGGAAGGGTACTATTTCTTCAAGGGGAGATTGGGATAAAAGACAGATGGCTTTGTTGTCAGAAATGATTTACTCCTTCCTAAAATTTTGTCCTCATTAATTTTCTTAAAGCTGCCTGTCAGTTGATTAAAAGCTGCTTCCGCTGCAATTATCTTAAAGTTGACTTCTGAGATGTGGCACAAAGCATCTATCCTCAAAAAGTTCTTTTCTTCAGAACATTGTAGGAAAAGGGGGAAGAAGTATAGGAGAAGTAAGAGGTGTCTCTGGTGTGATTTGTCAGAGAAGGGAGGGGGGCAAGATAAAAATTAAAAATAACACTAGAACTGCAGTCAGAGCCATTCATTTAGGAAATTTTTCCATGACAGATTCACCAACTCTGACAGTGTCTTTCCTCTGTGGCCTCTTAGTAGAGTGCAGTCTATGCTGCATTTTATTCTCTTCACTCAAAAAAACTTTATTGAGCCCCTGTCATTGGTCTAGGAATGCAGCAGTGAACAAAATGGACCTAGTCCCTTCCTCTGTAGTGCGTCCATGTGCAATGCCTGGCTTCTTCTGGTCTTTTCACTGCCATCTCCCCAGCCCTCACTGTGCTTAGTTAGCTGCGGGAGGCATGCAACGTTTGCTTCCTAAGTGTGTGTTACTTTGAAATCTCATGTGCCCTGGGTTTCTCTGCATGTCCACGCATGTGCACCCTGCTCACCACCACTATCACTGTAACAGCCCATTACTCAGTACGCCCTAATTGAATCAAGGTAGTAATGAGATAATCCTGAAAATAGGGAGCATCTTACTCATTTCCACAATGTTTTCTTTCTTTTTTTTTTTTTTTTATTTTGAGATGGAGTCTCGCCTCAGCCTCCCGAGTAGCTGGGACTACAGGAGCCCGCCACCACGCCCAGCTAATTTTTTTGTATTTTTAGTAGAGACGGGGTTTCACCGTGTTAGCCAGAATGGTCTTGATCTCCTGGCCTTGTGATCTGCCCACCGCAGCCTCCCAAAGTGCTGGGATTACAGGCGTGAGACACCACGCCCAGCCCGCTGTTTTCTTTTTTTTTGTTTTTGAGACGGAGTTTCGCTCTTGTTGCACAGGCTGGAGTGCAGTGGCACGATCTCGGCTCACTGCAACCTCTGCCTTCTGCGTTCAAGTGATTTTCCTGCCTCAGCCTCCCGAGTAGCTGGGATTACAGGTGCATGCCACCACCCCGGCTAATTTCTGTATTTTTAGTAGAGACAGGGATTCACCATGTTGGTCAGGCTGGTCTCGAACTCCTGACCTCGTGATCCACCTGCCTCAGCCTCCCAAAGTGCTGGGATTACAGGCGTGAGCTACCGCGCCCAGCCTCATTTCCACAGTTCTAACCGATATCAGTGAGTTTCTCCAGGTTCTAGTTCCAGCACTGAGACATGATGAGAGGTTCCCAGTAGATAGTTTAAAAAGTGAAAGGCAAAACATCCTTTTTTTCAAGAATTGGAAAATCAATTCATATATTTGTAAAAACTGAAAGTATTTAATATAATCCCTGTCCTGAACAGAGAAATACTACTTCTTACACACACACACACACACACACACACACACACACACACACAAATGGATCAAGCAAAAGATACAGAAGCATTGTCTTATCCAAGGTGAATCTCTAGAACTCATTAGACCATTTCCTTTGAGATGTAGAAAGACACAGAAGTTCAAGAACTTGTGTTGTGCTCTGTGCCCAGAGATGTGGAAACCAGAGTAATTGCTTTCTTTCTATTTATTTATTTTTTGAGATAGAGTTTCACTCTGTTGCCCAGGCTGGAGTGCAGTGGCGTGATCTCGGCTAACTGCAACCTCTGCCGCCCGGGTTCAAGCAATTCTCCTGCCTCAGCCTCCCAGGTAGCTGGGATTACAGGCACCTGCCACCAGCCTGGCTAATTTTTGTATTTTTAGTAGAGATGGGGTTTCACCATCTTGGTCAGGCTGGTCTTGAACTCCTGACCTCGTGATTCACCCACCTCGGCCTCCCAAAGTGCTGGGATTACAGGCATGAGCCACTACACCTGGCCTATTTGTTTAAAATTTTTTTTAAGACACAGGATCTCACCCACGGTGGAGTACAGTGGCACTATCATAGCCCACTGTAAATTTTAATAACTGGGCTCAAGCAATCCTCCCACCTCAGCCTCCCAAGTAGCTAGGATTAGAGGTATGTGCCACCATGCCTGGCTGTTTATTTGGAGACACACAGATCCTGCTATGTCAGCTAGGTTGGTCTTGAACTCCTGGTGCCAGGTGATCTTCCTATCTCGGCCACCCAAAGTGCTGGGACTACAGGCAGGAGCCATCACGCCCAGCGAGTATAATTTCTGGGAATTCCAGAAGCCGTGAGTGCCTCAGTATTTCTTTTAGCACAGAAGTAGATTCCTCAGCTGAAGTAATCTCTGTGCTTTGATCCTAATGGCCAGGGGTGGCCTTTGGAAAGCAGCGGGCCAATTGAAAAATAAAAAGCTTGTCCTCTGACTGTCTTTGGGGTCTCCTTCAGGAACAAATGAATAAGACAAAGTTTGTAGGAATCAGCAAATCATAGGAGGTTGCCTAGAAATGCCTTGAAGGCAGCACATTGTCAATAGTAACAAAGGGCAACAAATTTGAACAAATTAAAAAAAAAAAAAGGCTGTTTGCTGTTTGCCCTTTTTTTCTGCTGGGAGAGAGCTTTGGTTTGGATATGTGCAATCTAGGGATTTGTTCCTGCTTCAAAGGGGGAGAGTTAGGTGACTTGTTATTTTGATTTTTTAAAAATTTCCAAACAAAGCTGTGATTTGGGTTTTTAAATAATCACTTTAAAAATTGGGTGCACTGGCTGGGCACGGTGGCTCATGCCTGTAATCCCAACACTTTGGGAGGCTGAGGCGGGTGGATCACCTGAGATTAGGAGTTCGAGACCAGCCTGGCCAACTTGGAGATACCCCATCTCTACTAAAAATACAAAATTAACCAGGCGTGGTGGCCCATGCCTGTAATCCCAGCTACTCGGGAGGCTGAGTCAGGAGAATCGCTTGAACCCAGGAGGCAGAGATTGTGGTGAGCTGATATCGTGCCACTGCACTCTAGCCTGGGCAGCAAGAGCGGAACTCCATCTCAAAAAAAAAAAAAAAAAAAAAAATGGGTGCACTGCCTGTGAGTTAGTCCTGCTCTGTCAGAACAGTAAAAATTTAAAAATAATAAAAATTGGCCGGGCACGGTGGCTCACGCCTGTAATCCCAGCACTTTGGGAGGCCGAGGCA